>NC_000002.12:313030-616060 GCF_000001405.40 Homo sapiens | reverse complement strand
CCCCTACTGCTGATCTACCATGGTTCCCACAGCCCATGTGGTATGCACTCACTAGATTTCTGGATTTTCCCTTTCTGTTGATCAATCTATGGGGCAACTCTACGCTGTTTGCTGACACAGGTTCTATGACACATTTTGATACCGGCTAGAGCAGCCCCGCAATTCTCTTCTTTTGCAGGAGACCCCTGGCTATTCTTGCATATGTGCCCTTGAAAACCCTTCATATTCAACTTTTCCTGATCGTGTTGGGGAAGGCAGTCTTCATATTGAACTTTCCCTGATCATGTTGGGGAGGGGAGTTCTGATGGTACTTTTCTTGGGATCACATTATGTATAAATTTCATTAGAGAGAAATTCCATCTGTACTATACTGAGCACTTTTAGCCAAAAAATACAAAAATATGATGGCATGCCTTTCCATTTCTTTCATTCTGTTTTTGAGTTTTTCTGAGCATTTCCTATAGGCTTTGTATATTTCTTCACTTGAAGCCTGCTTTTTTATTTTTTTCTGTCTTAAATGAAGGTTCTCCTCAATTACCTCTTAACCAATTTTTGTTTGTACATATGAGAGTTATTGGATAACATACAATTGTATATCCTGATACTTTATTAAGTTATCTCATTGTTTGTACAGGGTGAATATTCCTAATTCACAAATCCAAAACATTTCAGAATCTGAAACTTTTTGATCACCGACATGACACTAAAAGAAAATGGTCATTGAAACATTTTGGATTTTGGATTTTTTGGTTAGGGCTGATAAATATAATGCAAATATTCCAAAATCTGAAAAAAAATCCAAAATCCAAAATACTTCTGGTCCCAAGCATGTTGTATAAGGGGTGCTCAACCTGTAGTAGCTAAACATTACTGGGGGCAGTGGGGGTGGGGTTGCCGGTTATATAATCATGTCATTGCACACTGAGATAGTTTTTTCTTTTCGTCTCTCAAATGTGATTGAATTTGAATTAAATTCTTTTGTCTTTTTTTTGTCTCATTGCATTGACTAATTCTTTCCATATAATAATAAATAATAGTAAAACCAATGGTTATCTGGTTTTCTGCAGTTTCGCAAGAAAGGAAATGTTTCCACATGAAATAAGACTCAGAATGAGGGCTGTGCTGTGTTGATCGTTCTTAATTTTAAACTCTAAAAGCTATTGAGGCTTGAAAGATACTTTGTATATGTGGTTTATATTAGTTACCATACTGTATTTCACTAGTTTATATTAGTTACTAGAAATAGAAATATTTAACATATTTATGTAATTTAAAATTTAAAAACAATAAACCAATAAACCCATTAAACATGAACATAAATAATATTTTGCATGAATACAACTATATTTACCAAAACATAGTGGGAAAGTGTGGAATTATTTTACAGTTTGGCAAATCTCTTTAAAGTTTGAATAGAGAACAATTGGATTTCCAAGGCTTTTTCAGCCAATATGGACTTTCTTCCTTAATCCAACAGGGATGTGAGATGAGTGGAAGTTAGTTGCAATGTGGAGTCTAAGCCCACATCCCTGAGCATTGCGCATCCTCATCAGGTAGAACCCACTGGCCTACCCTGCATTTCCAGTGGATCTGTATCCAGGCCTGATTTTGTGATGTCAGGAATTGGCATTTTGGAACATCTTGGTCTCACTAAATTACACTGATCTTCCCAATGTTGACACATTGAATTTTGCAATGTCAAAATATGGAATGTGTTCTCATCATCACTGGTGTCACTCCAAAGTCTTGGAGGACTTGGAAGCTTTCAATCTCACTGTGATGGATGCAGATTTTCTAAAATTATTTTTCTGTTGCTTGAAATTTGGAATTTTACTATGGGCAGCAAATACTGTCAGCCATTTTTGGTGAATTGACACGTCACGTTATTTAGTTTCCCAAGCCCCCGCGTGTGAGTCCTTCTTAGAGTGGGATGTGTTCATGGCCAGCAGCGGCCTCCGTGTGTCAGGAGCTTTGTCGTTACAGGAGCGTTCACTTCAGTGTGCAGCTGAGGGCCTTCATGTACACGTCCCGTTCTGATACACGGAATATTGTTTTAAATTGTACTTTTAATAATACTTATTGTCCCAAAGAATCGTTAAGTGAAGCTGACAAAAGCTTTGGATGTTGTGAACCTGACACAGGCATGAACACAGTGAGGACTGAGGTCCTCCTGCCACCGCCTGGATTGAGCCGAGGCACCAGAAAGTTTATCCACCTCCTTTTGGTTGGATTGAGCCAAGTCACCAGCAGTTTCATTCACCTCATTTTCGTTGGATGGAACCAAGGCACCAGCAGACTTATTCACCTCATTTTGGTTGGTTTCACCACCGTGCAAATGTTAACACGGGGAGAAAAAACAGCATCTAAGTATCATCATGAAAATTGTTCTGGCCTCAGGTGTCCCCTCAAACGGTCTCCGAGGCCTCAGGGGCCTGCAGATCACACTTTGAAGACTGTTATATTCCATGTGATTGGGTTAAAGATATGTCATCTTTTTAATGTGTTGTTAGATTCCGTTTGCAAATATTTCATTTAATTTTTTTGCATCTTTACTGGATGACAGCAATTTGTTGTGTTTCATTCTTTGTCTGCCTTTGGAAAGATCATTTGCAGGTTTTTCTTTCTTCTTCTGTGCTCCAGAATAATTCAGGTAGCACTGGAATCATCAGATTTATAAAATTTGGTTGAATTCCCCTGTTAGACTCTCTGGGTTTTTGCTTTCAACAGGAGAGCCCTTACTTAATTTTATTTCCTTTAAGGCTATTGGTTTAAACTTTCTGACTTTACTGTGGTCAATTTTATAAAAGTATTTTTTTCAATTTCTGTTAGTTTTTACATTTTATTTGAAGAAAGTTGCATAAAGTCTTATCTTGGGATTTTAAAATTCTCTTATTGAAAGAGAAGAGGAAGAAAATGACTTTCTCTTGTCATTTCTAATTTAATTTATTTTTTCCTATTTTTCTTCATTAATTTGGCTACTAGATTTACCTGTTTTGTTAGTTTATTAAAAACACGTTTGGATTTGTCGGTTCTAATTTGTTAGAATCTAATTTAGAATCTGAATCTAATTTATTAGATTCTTCTTTTAACTTTATTCATTTCTGACTTGCTTTATTTTGCTCATTCTGTTGTACTTCATTTGAAATTTTAATATCTTTCAATTTGCTTTTTATTTAAAAATGTTTTCAAAGTAAACTTTTATCTGAAAGATAAATGCTTTTTGTTGTATTTTTATTATTATTTTTTCAAAATACTGTGAAATTTTATTTTCTATCTTTCTTTAGTGGCAAAGGTTGCTTAATATAATTTTATATGCATCTCAGCTCTATTTTTATTCATCATTAATTTCTAGATTTTTATTTTGCATTCTGCCCTAAGAATCATGTCTTATTAATTAAAAAATTCTATTCTTTGAGTTTTTGAGGCTTTCTTTAGGGTCAGAAATTTACAAATGCTCCATGTGCATTTGGAGCAAAAATGTCTTCTCTTTGATTAGACACCTTTAGGTTTGATTAGAACCTGAGTTCCATGGATCCCACCCAAACCATCTTGCAGATCATTGTGCTGAGGACACGTGGGCCCTTACAAAGCTTTGGCTGCTTGGCCCATCTCAGGCTGCGAGAGACCTGCCTGTTATCTGTGTTCCTGTCCACCTCCCCTTGTATCTCCAGTGGTTTCTGGCATATCATAGGCTTTGCTGGGTCACTGGGTTATAATTATTAAGAGCTGAATCCTGTGGAATTATAACATAAACTTCTTGGCCTCTTTTAATGCTTATTACTCAAAATTCTTCCTCAGCAGAGATCAAAATACTGAGGCCTAATTCTTTTTTCTTTTGCCTGCTATAGTTGAACCTTTTTCTTTAGTTTCTACCTTCTTGAATATTTTGTTTTAAGTATGTTTCCTATATACAAACTAATGCATTTTGCTATGCAGCCAACCTAAAAATCTTAAAAGGTACTTTAAGCCCACTTACATTACCATTATAAGCCCACTTACATTATTGTTATTTTTTTACCTACGTTTTGTCATGTTGTTTTATATTTTTATGTAAACAAGGCTTTCATAACATTTTTCACTGTGCCCTGTCTCTGTGTCTGTGTCTCTGTGTCTCTATCTTTCTCTCTTTCCCCTCCCCACCCTCACCTTAAGCATATTTAAGGTACAGTATGTTTGCTTGTGTTTTGGTTGTATCCTCAGCTTTATGCTAATAGTACTACGTGACACCTCCTGAGCCCCCTCTCCTGCATGAGGCCCCCTGAGCCCCACTCTCTTGCCTGAGACCCCTGAGGCCCCTCTCCTGCCTGAGACCCCTGAGCCCTCTCTGTGTTGAACGCTGGCTGTGGCGCTCACTGTGAGGACGATGTGTTGGACAGCGCCTGTGTGTGTCTCTTCTACCTTCCTGCCATTCAATTTGAGGCAACAGTCTTCCACCCTAATTCAGCATCTCTAAATAAATTGACAAGGTCTCTCTCATTTTTCATGTTCTCTTCAATTCTTTCCTTCCAGTTTAAATTATTTTTTCTATATTTTGGAAACATATTTACTGCCTATAGAACTTTCTTTCACATTTGCCTGCTTTTATTGCTTTTGAAGCTGCCCTGACACCATCTTCTGGCTTCAACCTCTGTTAAGGAGTTAAATCTCAGTCTCGCTTCCTGCAATTATAAACTGGAAAGACTTTCTTTCCCTGGTTTTTCATTTTTTGGCATATAATTAATTTGATATTCCTGGTTGTGACTATGTGATCTTTATTCTGATTGCTGACTAGGACTTTCAGGATTCTTGAACGTGTGGCTTTATGTCTTTTGTCAGTTTTCAAAATGTTTCAAGCATCACCTTTTCAATGATTGCTCCTCCTCCACAATGCCCTCTCCTCCTTTGGAGCCCTGGTTACGAGTGCAACAGACACAGCACCTTGTCTGAGGTGTGGCCTGTGTGTCTAGTTCT
This sequence comes from Homo sapiens, assembly GCF_000001405.40. Lineage (NCBI taxonomy): Eukaryota > Metazoa > Chordata > Mammalia > Primates > Hominidae > Homo > Homo sapiens. The sequence goes on along the minus strand of NC_000002.12, from coordinate 611,110 downwards.
TGTAGTTTTTCTCCTGTGTTCTCTCTGTGCTTTTTCTACATATTATCTTTTAAACCTACTTCATGAATTACCTCTTTTGTTTCCTTAGTTCTTAATTTCAGTGATTGAACTTTTTAAAATTCTAGAATATTCAATAGAATTTTTTCATAGCTTCCAATTATCTTCTGAAATGTCCACTGTATCATTTCTTGCACATATTAATCACAATGATTTTGAAGTTCATGCGTGCTTACTGATAGCTGCACCTGCCTCAGGGGTCCTCTGCCTGAGGAAAGCTGCCTTGTTAGACAGCACCTCTCTAGGATGAAGACACTGCCACTGTTTCCATGGTGCCAGACAAAGCCACCCCACACATAAATATGTGTGGCCTGGATTAATTTATCTATTATTTGCTGTATATTTTATCTCTGGAAGACACGAGGCTGATAGCTGAGGATAAACAAGTTAACAGGGCCTATTCCTGCCTCTGAGGGACTCTGGAGGAGTCACTGGCTGGCAGCCGTGTGCACTGCAGGGTCCTGGGCAGGGTCACATGGCAGCTTCATTTCTGTAGAAGAAGGAGCTTTATCCAAGCTCTGGAGGAAGGCAGAGGGGATCTCCTTGTGGGACATTCAGACTTGAGTCTGGTATTTTTGTGCTTTCTATTGGATAATGCATAATGTGTATTAATGTTTCCTTATTGTGAGAAAACCTACTTCTTGTGTCTAGAATGTGCTCAGACTGTGGTATGGGGCCAGGTCCTGGGTTCGCCCTGGAGTTCTCTTTCCTGATTTCTTGGTGAATGATCCGGGTAGGAGGAGCGTGGCATATCTGGGAAGCTGCCAGCCTCTCCAGGCTGGGGTATTCCTGGCCCTAGGGGAGGCGTGATGGGGCCTGGCATTTCCTTGGAGAAATCAGGCACCCAAATCCACTGATGCTCATGAGAGCAGGTGCTACTCTTTACCATGTGCATGGCGCTGGTGTGTAGTGCAGGGCCAGACCCAGCCAGGCCTGGGGCAAAGGGCCCGCTGTCTACCCAAGGACGCCAGCAACACAGAAGCTGAGGTCCCAGCTGCATCCTCAGACGGCCCCACCTGATTCAACTCCCAGCCAGCCTCACGTCTGAAGAATGCAGCCTCTGCATCTGCACAGGTTTTAAAGGAGGCCTGTTTTAGACTCATTTCACCTTCTGTAGATGTGTCTGCAGCTCGTTCCATAATTAAACTCTGAAAGCTCCTCATTCCCGGGAACATGACTGCCTTCAAAGGATGCAGCTCCATCATTCTCAGCGTCTTTCAAAGAAAATACACAGATGAGAAAGTGCAACAAGGGATCTCAATGCTTTAGGTTCTGGCGGTCTCCAAGCTGGTGATGCTCAGCTCAAGAGGCTCTGCGCTGCACAGAATTCCTCTTCCGGAGACCCCGGCTGGAGTCTGACACTTGCCGATGGGACCGTCCTGGGCCCGACATGTCTCTTGACTCATTAGCAGCCCAGTTTGGGCAATTCCAGTTTATTTGTTTTGAGTGGGTAAATTGCTGCTGTGGGTATGGTTATTCCCATTAGCAATTCTGTAACCCACAGAGATTTTCTGCCCGATTGATCAATAGCCAACAGAGTCGGAAGCATGGAACTGCCACAGTAAATGAAGCTTCTCTGGGCTGCAGCTTTGTGTCTGTGAGCCACTGGACACTGATATCTGCATTAATGTGCAGAGCTGGTATCTAACACTCCTTGCAGTGAACCAGAACATGCATTTTAAAATAGAACAGTAATTTTGAGGTAAGGAAATGTCCGTTCGATAGGCGAGGTCTTTACAATGTGATCACATGGACACAGCAGCTGCCTAAGACAGATCCTGTCCAGTCAGAGTCAGCTCACCCCCTAGACAGATCCTGTCCAGTCAGAGTCAGCTCACCCCCTAGACAGATCCTGTCCAGTCAGAGTCGGCTCACCTCCTAGACAGATCCTGTCCAGTCAGAGTCAGCTCACCCCCTAGACAGATCCTGTCCAGTCAGAGTCGGCTCACCCCCAGACAGATCCTGTCCAGTCAGAGTCGGCTCACCCCCTAGACAGATCCTGTCCAGTCAGAGTCGGCTCACCCCCTAGACAGATCCTGTCCAGTCAGAGTCAGCTCACCCCTCTTCATCTCACCTGGCTGCCTGACAGACACGGGTCACGTCTCAGGTGAGGATGGTTGAGAGGGCGCCAGCTCCTCAGGCTTTGCCCGCTGGTGTCAAATGAGGAGGGGTACATGGCACCAGTGGTGGCCTCCAGCCCCTGTTCTGAAAGAGCTGGTTTTGTACCTCAAGCTCAGCTCGCAGTCCAGTGCCTCCCCAGGGAGAGTCTCTGGTTTTACTGCACCTTAGTTCCAATTTTAAATTTGTCCTTAACTTTATGCCTTTTTCAGTTGGGGCCTCTCTACCATTTCAAAGACAAAATGGGAGCAGGGAGTTGTAATACAAAAACGTCCGGAATCCTAAAAAAGAGTGGATGAGGCTATTCCTTAACCCGTCAAAGCTAATGGCAGGATGGCCAGGATGCATGGAGCTGGCCTGAACTCAAAGCCAGCCCTGGCTCTGCGGGCCTCAGAGCAGCTTTGCCAGGCCCTGCACCAACGACCAAGACAAAACACACCTCTGCCCAGGGCCAAACCTGAACACAGTGTAGCTGTCATAAACATGCCTCAGGCCCCACGTCCCTCCATCTTCAATCCCATAAGATGGCTCATGGACACCTCCCCACAGGGGTATTTTGGAATAACACTACAGAATCAGTTTTCTCAAATGAGTTTTAAAATATTCAGGAAAGAAATAAACAAGACAAAACAAAACATCGCCCACAAAGGAATTGACTGACCTTTCCTTGTGTTGGTAACCTTTCCAGTAATTGGGCAAGAAATCCACATTTTGCCGATGTTTTTTATAAAGCCATTTTTTAACAAACCTGCATGTATTCCAAAAGTAAAGACAAAACAGGATGAATCTTGAGGAGCCAGAGAGGGGAAGGAGGAACGTTTGTTTCTTAAGGGCTTTTCTGAGGCAGGTTCCCAACTTTATGCCTTGATAGCTGATTTCTTTCCCTAATCAGCACCTTCTGTGTCAGATCCAGGCAAGAGTTGAAATCCGTGGGATTCGTGGAAAAGCATACATTTAGGAAGTGCATTTGGCTGCATCCTGTTATGTTAAAGAATAGCACCTCCACCTTCCTCACAACACTGACCTCAGCCTCTTGGGTCTATCCAGCGAAGGTGAGACACAGGCTGGGTGCCTGCAGCCTCCCTGCACAGGAGCCACGGCAAGGATGCAGAGGAGACCCTGAATTCCCCTTCCTTTCATAGAACCAAGAGCACTGTAAAGACCCACAAGATCACAATTACAAATTCCACAATTTAAGGGATAATCTCCACTTCTAAATATTATGTGAATGTAGTATCTTCCATGTAGAAGTGACTCCTTTAAACTTTAATTAAATACAGAGTTTCTAATAGCTTTCATGAGAGCAGAGGATGATGCGCTTGAGGAAACACAGACCTTGGAAGTCCGATTGTGATTATTTCCAGAACCATAAATTTTGGGTTTTCGGCACAGGAGAAAGACTATTTCTAAAACATATGATAAAATACAATTTAAAAGTGAGCAACAGGTCCTCTCCTCTGCTTGGGACCTGTGGCCACCGCCTCACCTCACGCTGGTGTGACCCACTGAAACTTAGTCTCCTCCCATGGTGGGTGAGCTCGGCCCTCCTGGGGATGGACAAGGGCATGGGAAGATGCACTAGGCCCCGATCCCTGTGGCTGTGGCCTCTGCTCTTCCCACCTGGAGCATCCTCTGGTCACCAAGAATCCCACCTCACCCAGATCCAGACGGCCCGACCAACCCCTCACGCTCAGGGCCCCCAGAACCTTCCTGACACTCGATTCTCAGCTCTTGACAGATTGTGGCATTTTTCCCTCCACTTTCAAATTGTGTATAGATTGCAATTGTGGAATGCACAGTCGTCAGTCTTCTTCTCCAGGGTCCAGACACCTCCACTGAAGGACAGCTTCCTAGTAAGCATTTCCACAGTTTGTGGGATCCTCTTGGACAACAGTGCTCAGGAAATCATCCTTAAATGACAGACGTTGAAACCTCCATGCAGAGAGTCCGGAAGAATTCAGGAAGGCAGGGTGGCAGCTGGGAAAGGCAAATCCTGAAGCATTGTGGATTTCCAAGGTGACACGTGAGCTAATCGTGCTGAAAACAAACTCTGCAGCTTAAATTCTTATTCTGTCCAATTTAAATCCCTGGGCACACAACAGAAATACAGGATAACATCTTAAAATTAAAACAATTATGAAAGGAAGGCTGTAAATTAATATTCCATTGGACTCTCCTGAAAAGTGATGGTTTCTCTTATTCTTTTAGACAAAATGGGAGAAAATGCCGATGTTAGAGTCGGGGTTCAGAATATGTTGATATTTGTGCTAATGTCAGAAAAAGTGATACAATATGTTACAATTAGTGCAACACGTGTTTATATTTTTAAGGTAAAATACTTTTTCTTAGGGTAAAAATAACATGTTCAATTATAGGATAAAAGTAAGTTAAACTAAAGTAAAATTCCCCATTATTCCCATCACCCAGAAATAATCGGTAACATTTTGCCAATCTGTATGCATTACCATTTTCGAAACAAGGATACTGTTATAGTCACTCTTTTGTAATCTTGTTTTCAACATTTATGCAAGTCAGCATTTTTCTGCGTTGGTTACATTAGATGACATGCTCTCTAGGCCGACTGGGAGACAGACCAGGGGTGCCCCTGGGGTGGGACACGCAGCCCTGGGTCCCTCAGCAGGGGATATGGCCAGGTCAGCTCCGTGTGAGCCGACAGCCAGGCTCTCCTTTGTCCGGCCTCCACATGAGCAGGCCCAGCCCACGCCCAGCGCAGCCTTCCCATCGCCTGCAGAAGGCTCCGGAGAGCGGCGCCTGGGTGTGACCAGCTGCCACAGTGAGGTGGCAAAGGCCTGTGTTTTACGCTGCATGTTTAAGGGTCTATTGCACAGCAGGAGAAACACAGGCAGCCTCTACCTGCTCCTCAGACCTGTGCCCCTGCTGGCCCAGGGTGCCTCCCTCGCTGCCACGAGCCAGGGGACCCAGGTGTGCTGGCGCCCAGGCGTGTGTGTGGGGCTCTGGGGGCTCACCTGCAGCATGGAAGCCACACACAGGTGAGCAAGTGGAGGGTGGGCGGCCGGGCCTCCAGCCGCAGGCCTTGGATTCCATCCTCCTCCTTTTCCTTCTAAATCCACCAGGCTTCCCTGCACATGCCCGTTCAGTCAGTCAGGTGACTCAAAACACCAAACCTTCAGGCCCCATGCACCTGCCTCTTCAGACAGCAGCACTGGCTGGGACAGGCTGGAGCCCCAAGTGCACTTTCAAAGTGAAATCTAGGTTTGGTGTTTACGTGAGATTTGCTTTTGTGCATGCATGTGTGTGTCCATGTGTGTTTGTTTGTATGGGTGTGTAGTGTTGAGTGTGGTGTGTGTGTAAAGTGTGATGTGTCTGATGTGTGTGTGGAGTAGAGTGTGTGTGGCGTGGTGTGCGTGTGCGTGGTGCGTGTATGTGTGTAGTGAGTGTGTGGTGTGTGCAGTGTGTGTATGGTACATGTATGTGTGTAGAGTTTAGAATCTGCATGCACACAAAGGTATGTGTGGCTGTGTTGTACACGTGTAATGTGTGATATGTGTGAGGTGTGTGGTGTGGTGTGTGTATAGTGTGTATTGTGTGTGTGGTGCATACATAGTGTGTGTGTGGTGTGTGTATAGTGTGTGGTGTGTGTGTGGTGCATACATGGTGTGTGTGTGGTGTGTGTGTGGTGTGAAGCATGTGTGTGTGTGGTGTGTTTGATATGTGGTGTGTGTGAGGTGTGGTGTGTGTAGTGTGTCTGTGGTGGATGTGGTGTGTGTGTGTGGTGTGACTGGTGTGTGGTGTGTGCTTTGTGTGTTGTGTGTGTTGTGTGTGTGGTGTGTCTGGTGTGTGGTGTGTGCTTTGTGTGTTGTGTGTGTGGTGTATAGTGTGTGGAGTTTGTGTGTTGTGTGGGGTGTGTGTTGTGTTGTGTGTCTGGTGTGTGTTGTGTGATGTGTTGTGTGTGGTGTGTGTGTTGTGTTGTGTGTGGTGTGTGTCTGGTGTGTGGTGTGTGTGTGGGGTGTGTGGTATGTATGTGGTGTGTGTTGTGTGTGGGGTGTGTGTGGCATGTGTGGCGTGTGTGTTGTGTGTGTCTGGTGTGTGGTGTGTGTGTTGTGTGTTGTGTAATGCGTGTGGTCTTGTGTGTGGCATGTGTGGTGTGTGTGATGTGTCGCGTGTGGTGTGGTGTGTGTATAGTGTGTGTTGTGTGTGTGGTGTGTGGGGGTTGTTTGTGGTGTGTGTGGTGGCTGTGTGGTGTGTTTGGTGCATGTAGGATACCTGCGTGTGTGTACAGTTTAGGATCTGTGTGCACACACAAGTGTGTGTGGCTATTTTGCACAGGTGTGGCTTGTGCAGACACAGACCTCTGTAGGCTCCGGGCAGGGCAGGGCAGTTCCGAGGAGGAGGCCTCTGGGGACTCCACCATCTAGGTGGGTTCTGGCCTCTGTTCTCAGCCTGGGACCCCCTGCTACTCTCGACCCCTCTGTGTCCCCCGCTGTGCTCAGTGGGCCCTGAGCTGTTGCCGCGTTTGTCCGGCTGCATTGTGAGCCTGCGCTCAGGTGCAATGTGGATGAAGGAGTGTGCTTGATTTTATTGCATTTTATTTAAATGATTATGGTCGGTTCAGCATCTGAATGGTTGGATTCAGATGTTTTCTAAATGTTTTATTTTTCAATGTGTTGATGAGCTATTCTGTAAACTGCTTACTTCTTTAAGATAGGGTGCATGTTGTACATCCTGAGTGCATCTGAATGAAAGTGAGCAGGTACGATGTTGATTCATTCCCATGTTGCTTATCTCCAGCTGAAAGACGTCTGTGGCTGTAATCCCCGGGAATCGTGGAGATCTCACTTGGATCAGTGGCCTCTGGGACAGGCCCACAGGGCGTGTGGACAGAACAAGGCTGACAGAAGACTGCGTGCCAGCCAGGAAAAGAAGACAGTTCAGTTCAAGCTCTGAGCTGCAGGGGAGGCGGCCAGCCATCTGCTTTCCCTTCCCTTCCACGTGAGTGGGCTGCCACCTCCTCAAACACCAAAGGCAAGAAAGAACCTTTAAAGATGTTTGTGAGGCAAAATAATTGGATTTCATACCAATAAAAATTTAAGACCACAGAAGTGAATGCTGTGAGCAAATATGGTGATGTGGTTTGGCTGTGTCCCCACCCAAGTCTCACCTTGGATTGTAGTTCCCATAATCCCATGTGTTGTGGGAGGGACCTGATGGGAGATAATTGAATCAAGGAGGCGGTTTCCTCCGCACTTCCTCGTGGTAGTGAATAAGACTCATGAGGTCTGATGGTTTTATAAAGGGTGGTTCCCCTGCACACACTCTCTTGCCTGCCCCATGTAAGACGTGCCTTTGCTCCTCCTTGCCTTCCCTCATGATTGTGAGGCCTCCTCAGTCATGTGGATGTGTGAGTCCATTAAACCTTTTTCCTTTATAAATTACCCAGTCTCAGGTATGTCTTTATTAGGAGCATAGGAACAGACTAATACATACGGTCTCTCTCTCTGCATATATAGGCTGAAACAAGGAACTTAGTTTTTATAAATTGTTAGAGATTTCAAAAAATGTATTTCATTTTCAAACACCTCACAGAGGGGAGGGAATCATGACTCAGGCTGGCGCAGTCTCTAAAGGAAAACATTTTCTTCCTGGACCTGTCTGGGAGGAAGCTGTGCAGCCCCTCCTACCTGGACGACAGGTTGGTGCAGACTTGGGGTCAGGGGCGCCACAGCCAGGTCGCATTGCTCACATCTGAACTGGGTGGCAGCTTTGCAGAGTCACACTGAACCATGGGTGCACTGGGGGTGGCTCTGGTTTTGAAGTTTATGATTGAATTTGAGGTTAATTTTGGGTCACTGGGCACACTGCCTTACCTATATTGCATTAAAACACAGGTTTCCAACTTGCTCTTGAAGTCAATAGATGAATCAGCTCAGTGATTCACTGTCTCCTTATCTTGTAAATTTTGTTATATCCTGAAAGAATCATCCTTGAATATTGATGGAAACCCTTTGAAGTTCCAATACATTGTGTTTTTCAAAATAAGGTCATCATTTTTATCTAATGCCTGACCTATGAAAAATCTCTGCTTCAAAACCCATGACGATCCTCCAGCCATGTGGCCAAGCTGTTTACCGGCATTTCCTGCATGTGCCTCCTGGGTCCTGGGTGAGCTGCGGGTTAGGAGTGTGAGGCCCTGGGATCCGGAAGGGATGGCTGTGTAGCCGACAAAAGGATTTGTGTCCCAGCCTTTGCTGTTCTTTGAACTACAGCGATGGTGCTGGACCACGCCCTGCACAGACGCCTTGTGGACTGTGTCAGATTAAAGCCTGCTGTACCGGTGGTCCCCTTTCTTCTGTGCACCTGTGTTTTTGGCTCGTGAAGCCCACCTTGGCGTAGGATGTAAAAAGCCTTGGCATAATTCGTTCAGTAGCAGAAGTCAAATGAACACTCACTTGGCCCCTTCCACTCACACAGTGATCTGAGGCGGCCCCAGGCCTGTGTCAGAGCCGGCTTCCAGGTCAAACAGTCTGCCTCTCTGTCTGGGTTCAGCATTTTCGAAATAGAACTCCCGTAGCCAAGTAGCCCATGGACAATTCCTGCAGGGCGGCATAGGACAAGCTTTGTTTTAGCTGGGAATGTTCGGTTGTCAGTAACAGAACACTCGACAGTTTTGGCGGAGGCAGGAACGGGGCCGCTCCCTCAGCACTGCAGGGTCGGGGCTTCCACTCTGACTCTTCTCTAGGTGGCTGCTTCGTTATTTCCTGGAAAACCAGTCCCCTGGGGACCCGTAGCCCGCGTGGGCTCCCGGTGTGGATGCGCTCAGACCTGCGTCCCAGCCTCAAGCCCTGGAGGAAGAAGGCTGGGAAGCAGGCAGGTGCCCCACTTAGAATCCAGACTCTAATTCCGACTGTCTGGATAGGAACGCCCACCAGAGCCTTGGCTTTCAGTCTGGAATGGTCCTCTTAGTGTGGGGGCCCAGGGAATGGGAGTGTGGTGTGCACTGTGGGCCGTCGCAGACACTGATGAGCCGGCGTCTGAGCCACCGCCCGCAGGAACCTGGCCGGTGCAGATATTTGGCCATCATTGGGAAACTGAGTTAAGGAAAATCCTGAAGAAAACCCGTCAGTGGTTGCGCTCCGTGATGTATGCCTTGTCTAGAAACACACGTGGGGGTCTTGGCGTGAGGAGGAAGAGAAAGTTCTTAGATGCTGTGAACCTCAGTTTTATGGCCAGTTTGACTGGGCCACAGGGATCCCAGAGTGATCAGGCCTTATTCTGGGTGCCTCTGGCTATGTTTCTGGACGACGTTAATGTTTAAATCAGCAGACGGAGTAAAGCAGTTTGCCCTTCCCAGCGCAGGGGCCTCGTCCCATTAAGCCAAAGCCCACATGGAACAAGAAGCCTGCCCTTCCCCTGAGAGAGAGAATTCCTCCTGCCTGGGGGCCCTTGGACCAGAGCCACACAGGGCTCCCCCGGCCCCCGGCTGCCCCCTCGTCCTGTAGATCCGGGACTGATTGGCCTTGCCAATCAAGAGTCCGCTCCTTATAGCAAATCTCCCTCTGTGTCTGTCCTCACGTTCTGTTGCTTCTGTTTCTTGGGAGAACCCTGATTAATGCAGACTCTGTGCACTGGAGGAGAAGAAAGAGCCACAGGCAGAAGATGCCATCCGGATCCATAAGCCCAGTGCGGCAGGCCTCTGATTAGACCAGATCACCCGGCCCAGTGATGCAGGCCTCTGATTGGATCAGATCACCACACCCAGTGATGCAGGCCTCTGATTGGACTGGATTACCACGTCCAGCATTGCAGGCCTCTGATTGGACCAGATCACCACATCCAGTGCTGCAGGCCTCTGATTGGACTGGATTACCACGCCCAGTGCTGCAGGCCACTGATTGGACCAGATCCACATGCCCAGTGCCTCAGGCCTCTGATTGGTCTGGATTACCACGTCCAGTGCCACAAGCATCCGATTGGACAGCTCATCATGTACTTGCAACACAGATGCGCACTGAGCACCCACCATGCTCAGGGCCTGCTTCTCACGGGGTTTATTATTAAAGAACCCTAAGAAGCTCCTGACATCCACAAGAACATTCTCCATGAAGTCCCTCGACCACACGTTGTGGCAAAGAGAGCATTCCCTGGACTGGCGAGGCGGCGTGCTGTCTGGGGCTGTCTGAGACTGTCTGGGACAATGGCTCTGGCAGCGGCCTCTGTGGCCGGCAGGTTGTGCCACAAGACAGGTTGGTCTTGTGAGACGCTGCTCGTCTGGGACCTGAGTGGCCTCTGGACAGTCCCCAGGAGCACCTGGAGAGTCAGACCGGGCCTCACCTCTTGCCTCCCCTTTTGAAGTCTGGGGACAGAGTGGAGCCCCGCTGTTCCGCATGGGAAGCGTGAGTGTTGAAAGATCAGAACCTTTATGTCAGTTTTACACAAATAATTTTTCCATCAGGTAAAATGACAAACGACACCACTGCAAGTGTGGCAGTGACAGAATTTAAAATGCCTACTCTGAAAGGCAGGAGCCTGCAGTTGCAGAATCACCGTGATTCTCCCAGGCAGGGTCAAGAATTCTAGCTCTTAGAAGTTTGCCGCCTGCAAATTCCTAAATCCCCTGCAAGGTAAGAGAGGGACTGGCGGAGCCTGAAGAACGAAGTTACATGTTAATACCTCCATAGGCCTCGTGACCAACAAAAAAGGACTGAAAGTGAAAAAGCGAATCCTGTGTTTGAAGACCTTTGTATATTCAAGTTGTCTTTTCCTTCGTTTCATTTTCTTTCATTTTAACTTTCACAAAAGTCGCTATTTATTACTCATGCACATAAATATCTCTACTCCTGACTCAAGCTGGCAACCTATGGAGATTTAGGGTATTCACGACCCCCAGCAAACAGCAGCGCTCAGCGGAGCAGCTGTCTCTGAATGGAGCTGATGTCTGGGAGTGCTGCACTCCGATGAGCCAATGGAAGTCTCTATCATCTTGAATCTTCACTGTGTTAACTGTGAAGTGCCTGAATCTGGGGGGACTGGGCCCTCACAGCCGCCAGGTGAGGGGGACCCTCTTCCCTCTCCTCTGGGTGAAGAGGTCCCAGCTCACACAAGTCACCCCTGGTAAGAGGCAGAGTCCACAGCAGGACCTGGGTAGAAGCCAAAGGCAACACTCCCTACCCCACACATGGGTTCCTCTCAAGTAAATCACCAGCGGGGCGAGGTGCACACAGCGTCTAGGAAGACAGGACAAACTGTTGTCACCTCCTTCAGCCAGGAGGCCCCACACGGAGCGCCACTGCCTCCACTATCTGATGCCACAGGGCAGACGTCATGTGCTGGTTAAGGGAGGAGAAACTGCGGATCATTTTCCATCTTATTGGAAATCACTCTCTGACACTTTTTCCTCATCCTCACTAAGTACCCACCGAGTATACCAGCAACAGTGTAAAATAAACACAGCTTAAAGAAGTAGGAACCCTTTATTCCTGGGACTTAAAAGCTTGACTATCCACGGTAAGTCGATGACCAGTGCCCATGGCGTGAACAGCTCTGACACCAGAGTTGACAACAAAAACAGGAGTGTTTGCATTTCTGGGGCCTCAAGAAATGGGGAGGTTCTCCCAAGTACACTGACAGGGGTATTGTTCCCCTATTTTAGAATTATTACCCCAAGATCAGCAAATTGAAGTAAGTTGGTTGATCTCACGCCACAGCACCTGTGCTTTTCCAGCAAGGGAGGGATGGAGTCCAATGCAGGAGTCCCCGTCACAGAGAAAACCACTGTGATGGGATGTCTATTTGGGAATTAGGACACAAAGGCAGATGGGATAGGGTGGGGAGTCTACATATTTTTTATTTGGATGCTTTGATGGATTAAAGTTCCAAAACAAGTGTGTATTGGGCAGAGGGCAGTCTGGGCTGTGGTTCTGCTCTGTGAGGCTGGGAGTCCAGGCAGGTCCTGTGTCCACTGGTTCACTTTTACAGCCTGAAGCCCCTCGGCAGGACATCTGCACAGAGGCCTGCAAGTGACTCCAGGGTGCTAATGATGCCCACAAGGCGAAAGCCAGAGAAAATCCCATCGACTCTGCTAACCAGGGCACCCGTGGCCACCAGTGCGGTTTTATCCTGCAAAGAACAAACCAGTTTGCAAACCACGCTTTGAGGCCAGAGGCATGGCGGTACTCACCAGTGTCTCCTGAAGGCTGGAGCCTCCGAGGGTTGATTCAAAAACTGTATTTTCTTATAAAATGTAGTAACATTTGAACCTTAAAAAAGGGCTAGGGAATAAGCTTATCTAGCCTCTCATGTAATTTTGTAACTGAGTGGGATGAAGGCTGAGGAACAAAGGCATCTGGCGCCAGCACCCCTGCTGATCTCTGTCCTCCCGGGGCTTGCCTGTGTTGGGAGTCTCTCCAGCAAAATCAGGCTGCAGAAATGAGATTCTAGTTAAACAAGGCCCACTGTTGCTTTAAGATGAAATGTCAAAGTTTTAAAAAATGTATTAACTTGCTCTTTTGGCCAAGAGATAAACAGATGTACTTCCTTCTACTCCACAGGCATTGAGTTGACAGAGAAGAGCTTGAATCATCAACATGGCGTGAGTGACCACATCCCTCACTCTGAGCCCCACTCCACAGCAGATGACTCTGAATCGCCCCGGCTAACGGCGTGCCCAGCATCCTGATGCTCTGATTAGTCCTGAATCACCCGAGGGCGGGCGGTGCGGTGGCTGGGCTGTCTCAGAGGGCATCGCGGGCTGGGTGGACGAGGCTGGCCCAGAAGAGGGCAACAAGCATTTGACAGGGAGTGGCAGGCTACCATCTTGCCTCTTCTGCAGTTTGCGACACTTAGGGTCATGAGTGTTTTTCCTCACACTAAGGAAGGAGACCACTACTCCTCCTGATGCCCTCCTTCCCCCCACCTTGCCTAGTTCACAAAACAGGAAGAGAGAAAAAGCAAAAAGTTGGAAAAAAACAAAAGTAAGATAAATAGCCAGATAACCTTGGCACCACCACCCGGCCCTAGGAGTTAAAAAAAGTGATAATAATAACATCAACCCCTGACCTAAACTACTTGTGTAAATTCCAGACACTGTATGAAAAAAGCATTGTAAAACTTTCTGTTCTGTTAGCTGATGCCTGTAGCCCCCAGTCACGTTTCCCACGCTTGCTTGATGTACTACGACCCTTTCACGTGGACCCCTTAAAGTTGTATGCCTTTAAAAAGGCCAAGAATTTCTTTTTCAGGGAGCTCAGCTCTTAAGACTCAAGTCTGCCAATGCTCCTGGCTGAATAAAAACCTCTTCCTTCTTTAATCCGGTGTTTGAGGAGTTTTGTCTGCGGCTTGTCCTGCTACAATACAGTGGCCCGAAAGGCAAGGAAACTCCCGCAAGCGTTCAGAAAGGCTGCGGGTTTTTCAGGTAACATTTCTGCAGCCACTGATGTCTGACCCAAAGAGCTCTGAATGCTTGCCAGAGAGATGTGTAGTTCTAATCCCAAAGCCCTGAATGTTCTGATTTCCTCATTAAGACTGACTTAACATGAGCTATTTAGTCAGCTGAGTTATCAACTGAAGAAAGTAACCGGTGTTTCCCACTTATTTTCTTCTGTGGTTGTTTGAAAACAGCCGTGGTGTGGACAGAGTTCATGCAGCCTTGATGGTGGTGTGTCCCCAGCTCCACGCACGCACTAAACCTTTAATTCATTTCAGCATAAATAAGTTAATGAATATGCATACATGAATAAATTAACTGGCATAGTTTTAGTCCTATTGAAGTTTTAAACTCACCAATTTATCCAACTTCTCTGCACTGAGTTTTTATTCAAGTGAACTATTCCAGTCTTGTGACTTCTGATATAATAATAGTAACGACTAATATTTATTAGAACTTTAGTTTACCAAGCACTCCACATTTTATTTTTACATTTTGTCTTCACAAACCCCCATGAGACAGGCATTCTCACCACTCGCAGTGTTGATTGGCATGCAGAGGCTCAGGGGTTTAAATGGTTTCACTGAAGCAATGTGATCCGGTAGGATGTTGCTTTCCTATTCCTCCTAATACCACCGTGTTCAGACATGGGCAGCCGAGTGAGAATAGATCATTTCATGTGTGTGTATAGACGTAACCTACACTCACAGGCGGAAAGCTGTGCAGGCTGAGAAGTGAAGCCCTCGGCTGAATGACCAACAACAGCGTTCTAGGACCCCTTGTCCTTGCTCCGCAGGCTACACCCCTCACATCTCCTCTGAACCAGAAAGAAAACTCTGCGGTTGCTTCTCCCTTTGACAGTCAGCCACAGTTCTCTTCAATGTTCTCCTGGGGACTTGGGTCAATGTTCTCCCGTCAAATCTTAGCCAGGCCCAAGATTACTGTGCCCCCCACCCCCCGCAGATCTGTCAGGACACACTACTGCCCCAGATGTATTTGGTCGCCCCATCTGTGTCCTATCTGCCGTCCGTGCCTCTGGCCAGGCTTCTTGTGAGGTCCTGACTCACGCTGTCACTCTCAGGTTGTTTGCCTGTGGCTGGACACATTGTTCATAGGAGCCCAGCTGGCAAAGCAAAAATACCTGAGACTGTGATGGCAAGCTGCTTGTTCCCTGCATCCTTGGCTGGCGAGAAGCTGAAGAGAAGTGAAAGCTCTACCTGTGAAGAGGCAGCATTGCAGAAGGGAGGAGGTGGAGATTCTGTCCTCAGTGCCTAGGGCCCTGCCTGGATCTGGTTTTGCAGAGGGGAGGACGTAGAGATTCTGTCCTCAGTGCCCAGGGCCCTGCCTGGATCTGGTTTTGCAGAGGGGAGGACGTAGAGATTCTGTCCTCAGCGCCCAGGGCCCTGCCTGGATCTGGTTTTGCAGCTCCAGGGGAAACGTTTTGCACAAATTCTCACTGGGAGCATTATCAGGGCTGCAGCACTTCAGTCTCTCCTGATCTGAATCCTTTTAACATTAGCTGTGATGCTGAGAAGGATGAAATTGATGACACCAACATCTGGTGGAAGACAAAAACCAGAGGGATTTCCACCCAGGCAGAGCCCCTCCGCAGGCCTCCCCTCTTTGTGGCCTGAGGTCGGAGAGGCCTCTGGAGCAAGCCAGCGGATGGAATTCTCAGTTTTCTTCCATTTGATTATTTTCCTATTTTGACGTCTTTGAAAAATGGCTCAGCCTTATGGTGCATGCGTTTTCTGATTGCTTTTGTCTTTGTTTTATTCTGAATCAAGGACCGTGGCCACTGTGGGCTCCTCATCCAGGACGTGGGGGCCCTCCGGGGCCTCAGTCCATCCATGCTGCAGTACATGGTGATTCTCATGCAGAGGATGATCTCAGGGATCAGCTTGAGCTGGCAGAGAATTAAATTATATGGTTTATAAGAGTCCTGCCTCAGGGTCAGTGACACCAGGCCTGTCTCTGCTGCTAGCAAGGCCGACTTTCTTATGTGCTGTCATCGTGGTAAAAGCCTTGCCCACGTGATGAAGACCCTGGACGGCTCTACTTGAGACAGATTTCAGCTACGTTGCCTGGGAGTCTCTGGTACTTCTTCAAGGTTCTACTGAAGACAATGACGTCATCCAAGTACCTTGCAGTGCCTAAGTAGCTCTTGCCGCGGGAGCTCTGAGACCCCCTGTTATCTATTTTCGAATTGGCCAAGGACCCCCGGCCAGGCAGGGGATGCTCTGCCCATCCTCGTCAGCCCTCGTGTCTTGTGATCCTCCCCCAGCCTCCTGGCAAGCATCCCTGTGCTTTCCGCGGGTGAGCGTGGCTGAGCTCAGTCTCGCTTACTACAACGGCAGGCACGAGGTCTGCGGAACTAAGAAGGCTCCTCTTTGCTCACTGGCCTTTCCTTTAAGTCCCTGGTCACTAACCTCTGGCAAGACAATCCTTCTTGTGTTTTCTGGCGATGGACTTGAGTGATTACAATGTAAGCGGTGGCTCCTCCTGGGGGCACGTCCATTTTCTACCATGAGGAGGGCGTTGCCCCTGCCAGGCTGCTGCTGTCCTCTCGTATGCCCACCGGGCCGTCCCCCAAGATGGCTTGGTACCCACACTGCCTGGGAATTGCCACTCCTGCTTGTCCCGGACCCACCTCCCCTGCAGCCATCCCGCACTCTTGAGGGGCCGGGCCCTGGCTGAGCGCTGTTCCTAGGCCCTGGATGGCGGTGTGGATCTCCGTCCTTGTCAGGGTAATTTCCTCTTCTGTTTCCAGCATTTCGAGTAAATTCCTTTCTAATCATTAGGTGCCCTAGAGAGGACAGATGCATGGCTGTGGAGTCTTGTTCTGTGATATGTCAGGTATGTGCTTGGGCGCGCGGAGGCTGCAGGAGGTGGACAGGAATGGTCTTTCTCTTGCTCTGAGTCGCATGTGTGGGCCAGCCCACGGGTTCTGTGGAGGAGAATCCAGCTGCCCACCTGGCTGAGTCTAGCCCTGGGCTGGCGATGGCCGAACCCCAGTTCCATTCCCGGACCTTCCCTAGGCTGCTGGGTGGGTTCCCTGGCCACTGTCGCTGGGCTAATCCATTCTATCTTCTCCTGGGGCGAGGCCATTGCCGTGCTGTGCTGGTGCTGGCTCTTCAGGCAGCTCTTCAGCTCCGTGGCTCCCGGCCCAGCCCAGGCCTAACACAGGCCTGTCCCTAGTGTTCGTGCACTGAGCTTTGTGTCTATTGCTGGTTTTTCTTTTCTTTTAAAACTTACTTCGCAGAAGGAATTCGGCCTGAGCAGCTGAGCTTCCGTGGTAGCCTCTCCTGCTCAAAGCCGTCGTTTGCTCCCATATACCTGGCCTGCCAGTTTCCATTCTCTCTTTCCCTTGTTTCATCTTTTCTGCAGTAGGTCCTCTAGTTTCAACCACAGGTGTTTACAGTGTTGCAGTTTTAATTTGTCGTTGTTGCATTTAGTTTACTTGACGCACGTTCAAAACTGCAAAATGCTGGTTCCTACCCGTCTCTGATGTCACCAAAGGCTGCCCAGAGGCCTGCAGCACATTGACGATGGTCTTAGTATTACACAGCTGTCTGACCAGTACCACAAATCCAGAGTCCAAGCAGCTCAGGTTTGCCTTCTCCCTGTCTGTGTGGGTCCAGCGCCCTGGGCTCAGCAGGGCCTCCTGCTCCTGCTCCTGTAGGGTGGGCTGGGCCTTCCCACACGGGCCTGGGGAGGAGCCTCTCCTAGGTGCTGGCAGGGCCCTGGCCTTTACTTATTCCCTCTGATGCCAGCCAGCTACTGCAGCCCTGGTGGCGTCTCCCTGGGGGTGCCCGGGTGCAGGTGTCCGCTGCCGGGCCGTGGGTGTCTCATTCTGTGTCCGGACCTCTCTGTGATGTGAACCTTGGGCTTTTTTTTTTTTTTTTTTTTTTTTTCAGATGTTAAGGGAGTCCACCACATGTTTCCATGGTAACGGCTCCTTTTCCTGGTTTACTGGAGGGTTCTGACGGTCAAGGCCTCCTGTGTATTGACTGGGTTATCGCCTGGGGGTTTTATTGCTTTGTCTTTTACATTTAGTTTTACTGTTCCTGGAACTGAATTTGTTTGTGATGTGAGTCAGAAATCCTGTCACATTTTTCCACGTGGATATCCAGGGCCCCCGCCGTTTGTGGGAAGGCCGCACCTTCTGCCCGCTCTGCTGTCCATCCGCGTGCCCATCTCCATGGGTTTCTCTCTGCACGGCTTGTTCTGTCCTGCATGTCCATCCTTGAGATCGTTTTTCTCTGGCTTAATGATTACAGCTGTACGGTGAGTCTACAGTTATTCCAAGTTTATTTAGACAAGATTTTCTTAACCTTGTAAATTATTCTAGGGTTTTTTATATTATTATTAAACCCATAGGACTCTTTGGTGAAAACTGACATAGTTAAAATGGTTGAGTCTTTCAGTTCAATTAGGTCTTTCTTTTCTGTAATATTTTCTGGACTTCTCCATTCAAGTCTCATGCATTTTTTTGTTAGGAGTGTTGCTAAGATTTAACTTTTCTAACCCACTGTAAAAGTGTTACCAGGGGGTCCTTGCTCCCAGAACTCCTAAGATGGTGGCAGGTCGCTTCCAAAATGGCGGCGGCCCACTTCCAAGATGGTGGCAAGCCTACTGTTCTCTGACCTGGGGTTCTTGGCCTCACGGATTCCAAGGAATGGAATCTTGGGCCATCCGGTGAGTGTTACAGCTCTATTAGAAGCCGTGGGTCACGGAAGAGAACCATGGAACCCAGTGACTAGTGTTCAGCTCAATTAGGACGAACTGAGGCACTTAGCCATGCAGAAACAATGGCAAGACCTTAGCCTGATCCATCGGGAGTGGCAATGGGCGCCTCGCTGGATCAGGAGCACAGCGGACACCCTGCCGGCTCTGGAGAGATGGAAGTCAGCGGCGGGTCTACGACGGCAGCAAACAGCAGTGGTGGAGGGCGAGCGAAAGCTCAGCTCCAGCCGTAACAAACACGGACCAGAAGAGTGCAGTTGCAAGATTTAATAGAGTGAAATAGAGTGAAAACAGAGCTCCCATACAAAGGAAGGGGACCCAAAGAGGGTAGCCATTGCCAGCTCCAATGCCTGGGTTTATATCCCAATCACTGTCCCTCCCGCTGTGCTCTCAGGCAGTAGATGATTGGCTATTTCTTTACCTCCTGTTTTTGCCTTATTAGCATTTTAGTGAGCTCTGTGATTGGTCAGGTGTGAGCTAAGTTGCAAGCCTGGTGTTTAAAGGTGGATGTGGTCACCTTCTCAGCTAGGCTTAGGGATTCTTAGCCTAGGAAATCCAGCTAGTCCTGTCTCTCAAAAGTATCTTTTACATTTTATTTTCTAATTGTTTATTGCTTGTATGTTAAAATAAAGTGAATATTTATGTTGATTTTTATTCAGCATCTTGTTAAAATTCAGTTGACTTTACAAATTCATTTTCATACTTTATTGTATACTTTATATATACAATCATGTGATCTGTGTATAAAGGTGGGTTTTTATATTTCTCTCCAATTCTTACACATTTTCTGTTGTTCCAGTTTCATTTTCATGGCTGGGATCTGCAGGACGAGCTTACATATAGGTAATGATAATGGACTTCCTTGCTTCATTTTCCATCTCAGGATGGACAGTGTTCAACCTTCTATGACTAATTACAGCCATGCTGTAGGCTTTTCATAGATACCCTTTTTTTTTGACTCAGGAATTACATTCTCTTCTTATTCCTGGTTTGCTAAACCTTTTGTATTAATGGTGTCAACTATGAATATATATTGCATTTCATCAAATACTTTTTTTCTGCATCAATCAATACGATTTATCTTTCTTCTGTTAATATGGTGATTTACATTAATTTGTCTTAGAATGTTCATTTCTTTCAGGTCCTTGCTGATTTTTTTGCCTGCCTTTTCCATTAGTTCCTGAGACAAGCATTTTAAAACCAAACAACATAACTGAGGAGCTGTCTGTCACCCTTCGTGATTCTGAAAACACGTGCTGCATGTGTTTTGAGGTTGTTATTTGGAGCATGTGCATTTACAATTGTCTTACTGCCTTTGCAGTTTGAGTTTTTATTAAATGTTTCTCTTCATCTCTGGTCATGCTTTATGCCGTAGAGTCTGTTATTAGCAGAGCTACTCCAGGTTTATTTTTCATGATATTATTTTCACTTCTTTTTACTTTCCAACTTTTATATCATTATGTTGAAGGTATCTCTTTTGTTAATCACATAGTTGCATTGTGTTTTCTTTTTTCAAATATGTATGAGCAGCATAAAATTGGATGTTCCTTTGAAACAACAGCAGTCAGAAGTCCATGAGGAGGTGTCTTCTGACTGCGAGGATAAGGGTGGATCACCTTAATGCAATCAGGGAATGATGTGTTAGAAGCATCTATAGTTCCTGCTTCCCCTAATTTCTAGCTGTAGCCATTTGAAGATTCTAAGCAAGTCCTCAACTGTTCAGCAGAGCCTCTGGTCCAGCATGAGACCAAAACCCAGGTATTGTTTCTCTGCTCCTTTGAGACTTCAGAAACCTCTGCTGTGGTTTTCAGTGTCTCAGAATTGGCCATCATCTCTATCAAAACAGCCTCAGCGGCTGAGCTCCTCGCCCCGTCTCCTTCCCCACATAGGAGCTGGTCTCGCCCTTGGCCCTCCTAACTCTCCAGCGTGTCCAGCCTGACTGGGAGAAACGTCCTGTTCAGGTGTTTGGTTGTCTAAGTGCTTCCCGCGGGGACGCCGGGCCTGAGCCTCTGTGAGAAGGGGAGATCCCTGTGCAGTGTGGACCAACTTCTTTCCCTTTTCCAGGCTCCCAGTTTCTCCGCCTGTGCTGAGACCTTGTTTCCCAGGACCTCGGTGGACTTGGCTTTCATGACTGGTGCCTCACCCCAGCACATGTGCCTAAAATAACAGAAAAATACAGTGCCTGCATGTTGGGAGCAAGCCCCCCAAAGTCTGGCCCCAAAACTGGCCATAAATAAAATCTCTGCAGCAATGTAACATGTCCATAATGGCCATAAAGCCCAAGCTGGAAGGTTGTGGGTTTACAGGAATGACGGTAAGGAACACCTGGCCCGCTCAGGGCGGAAAACTGGTTAAAGGCATTTTTAAGCCATAAACAATTAGCCTGAGCGATCTGTGCCTTAAGGGCGTGTTCCTGCTGCAATTAATTCAGCCCATCCCTTCGTTTCCCTTAAGGGATACTTTCAGTTAATTTAATATCCATAGAAACAATGCTAATGACTGGTTTGCTGTTAATAAATATGTGGGTAAATCTCTGTTCGGGGCTCTCAGCTCTGAAGGCTGTGAGACCCCTGATATCCCACTTTACACCTCTGTATTTCTGTGTGTGTGTCTTTAATTCCTCTAGCGCTGCTGGGTTAGGGTCTCCCCAACCGAGCTGGTCTTGGCACCTGCATTTAATAATCTACTTTTGCCTTAGACTTTAGAACCCATCATTGAGAAAATAAGAAAGTCTTGGTGAGTGGGCAGAAATAAGCTCTGAAACTTGGCGTGGAGAGATGAGAATTGCCTTTCCAGCTGTGAAAGGCTGGCGCGCCTCCTGGTCATCTGCCCTAGCTCAGGTGCTCTTTTCTATCGTATTTAAGGAAGGAAATCTCAGTATTCATTAAGAGAAAGTAACCAAAAACTTGCATTAGTGGAACTATTGGCAGAGTGTGCAATGCCTTTTACACCTGTGGCTCCCAGGGATTAAGGATCCACACCTTGCCTTACAAATGGAACGCTGCCTGGGACCTTGCCGACCAGGAAACAGGAGAAGCCCAGTTACTCACTGCATTCCTGCATGCTAAAAGGACATCTTGTCCTTGGCAATTGTGGAGACTGTCTTTCTAAAGGTTTTTCTTGTTTTCCATGTAGTGTGAACCTTCTCACAGTTGACTTAAGGTGGCTATGGGGCTGCACCTGTTTCTTCTGCTCTGGGGCTGCCGCACTCACAGCGCCACTCATTGAATCCCCTCGCTTTACTTAATTAGCAAATGAGTCGCACCTGAGGGCTCACTCAGCAAAATTAAAAACTTAATTGGGCTCCTCCTTCAGCTAATGTCACAGTGGGTTCAAGGCAATGAATCCCAGCTAGAATTAAGAGTTTACTTAAAACTTAAAGGAAAATAGGCTCCATTTTCATTTCACAGTAGGCACCATTAAAGCTTTTGGGGGAATGTGGGTTAATGAGAAAATCCATTTACTTTAAGGATTTGTGATCTTTGCTTCACTGTAAGGGAAAGTGAAATCTATCTCATTTTTACTGGCTGTGCTAGTGGGTGGTTCTTATTATTTCAATGCTGGCTTTATAATTATTACACAGTATTATTATGGATGTGACATGTACCTAAATATGTCAGTCATGAAACTATCACCTCTGCACACGGATTGCACCAATAGAAGTGTGTCCAAAACCTGCAGAACCCGCCCGGGATCCCAGACTACCCCTCCTCACCTATCACCCCCCTTGAAAAGGCCCACCTTCAAGGCCCCACTCAAGCTTTGCCGTCTCCATAAAGCTTCCCATGGTTTTTCTGGCCAAAAACCATGATTTCATTTATTACAACATTCTGCGGCTCTGTACCTCGTGTGTGGGCCTGCACTGTGCTGCATGCCCCAAGGTGTCTAGTAAGGGTCCCCAAATCCAGCCCTTACGTTTTCTGCCCTTTCTGCATCATGCTGCCTCCCACCCTTGGCGTTTTAAAAAATCTGAGACAAGCGTGTCCATGGGGAGCAAAAATGCACCGAGACAAGAAACCAGTGGCACATGTTTCCGAGCTGCCGCACCTTCTGGGAACCGAGACGCAAACTCTCAGAGACGTCTGCAGACCCTGGGTGCACATGGGGTCTCTGCATACATTTTTGCTGCAGATGAGTTTATGGTCAAAGTGAAAAACACACGAAGGACATACACGTTTCCACAAACAGTAGCATCCTGTCTGGATTTTCAGAGGCGAAGGGAATAGTCAAGGGGCTGTGGCGTTAAGTGTGTCTATAATCAAAGCTCACGGCCGAGGCCCTGGGGGAGGTTCAGGTGTGCACCAGTGGGTGTGGTCCAGCGCTGCACTGCCAGGGGCCTCACCTTCCTTAAATTCTAGGCCTTTTCCTGGGTGCTGGTTAGAAAAGGCGGGTTCCATGAACCCTAAGTCCTGTGGCCGCCACCTATCTCAGGGCCGCGCAGGTAAGGTCCCGCCCCCTCCACCTTCTGCTGAGGGTCCAGGTGATCCCCTGGTGGTGCAGCCCAGGCCCTCACCCCTAGGAGACCCTGAGCCTTGCTCACCACGGAGTCCTTGGGCTGGGCTCCTGCACACGGCCACACACCATCCAATGCTGGGCACCGGGAGATGCCTGCGTGAAGCCCCCTGCCCCAGGCAGCACAGCCCTGCTCCTGCTGACACCAGGTCCAGGTGGTGCCCATTTTCCTGCCTGCGGGTCCATTGATGAGCAGCCTAAGGACACTGTTGTACACAGAGCTCATCCTTCCAGGAAACCTGGCCCTGCCCCTCCTGGAAGCCCCACAGCTGTGAAAACCGGGAGCTCCCACCTTTCAGAGCTGATGTGCAGGGTAGAGATGCACCCACTGATCCTGGGCGTGATGCGGGGCTTGGGTGGGGACACTGGGCTTCTGACGGCAGTGGGTGCTCCCATTGCCACATGTTCCACCTGGTGGGACATGGCACTAGGCAAAGGTGATGGATTCGCCTAGACGCTGTGTCCTCCAGGCTCAGCCCTGATTTTGCACCTGAGCCAGGCAGCTGGGTCTGCAGCTCCCAGGGGTGCAGGTGCCGTGACCAGACCCATGGTGTGCGCCCTCTTCCTCCCTCCGTGGCATGAAACCGGTCCCTGTGACGGTGTCGTGTGAGATCTCGTCCTGGTAGATAGCACTTTCTATAAACTGTCCTGTGGCCCTGAGGAAAGGCTGGGTCATCCCTGCAGGTTTAGCTGTTTCTGTCAAATGCATCCCTGTCCTTCCCAGGGTGTCAGGGCCTGGTGCAGTTGATCCAGCCTGGCAGGCAGTCCTCTTGAGGGTTGCATGGGGGGGTGGGGCACAGCCTGGGCCTGGCTCAACACCCTGGCAGGAGGCAGCTGAGCCTGGGGCTGACCTGTGCTTCCTGCTCAGTGGTGGGAGACACGGGGCAATATTTCTTGCCTGTCCTTTAGAGAACGTCTCCCAGCCCGGCTAGGCCACTAGACTCCTAAAAATGTGACTGGTAGGCAGGGCCTGGCTCTCTGTGGTGGTTTTTCCCACTCTGAGCACCGGTGTCTTCCAGGCCTCCAACTCTGCCGGCTTCTCCCTACCTGAGCTCCTGGGTCAGGGTGAGGACTGTATTGTGGCAGACAGTGTACCAGTTTATACAGCTCTGGGACAAAACTATAGGTATACACTATTGTATGTCCCAGTTAAGTGAACCCCATTTCTGGATGCTTTTTGGACACGTTGGGAAGAAATGCATTGGTGAGATCCACGGGCCAGAGCTCCCTGGCCTGTGCTCCGGCTCTGGGAGCCGCTGTGTGGCTCCGGAGCTGTGGGTAGGGCTGCTGTGTCTTTGTTCACTGTGTTAAAGGCTTTCTTTGTTTCTTTGTTCAGTTTGTTTTCTTTGGCCCCTGTTTAGCAATAATGAAAATCAAACATTCCTAAGAGGTGGAGACATTGCTTTGGGGCAGGGGCAGGGGCAGGGCATGGGATGGAAATGGGGGACAGGTTTATGGTGGGAATTTCATTTTCCCGAGCCCACGTGCAGCCTCTTAATGGCTCGTCACACATTCACCTGATAACCTGAGTGGCTGTTGTCCTTCTGAGTGGTGTACGTGCTTGACAGGCACATGAACAGTGCACGCTCACATTTTCCAAGTGAAGGGCTAAGACGGGGTTGTCAGCAGATTGTAAGCCTAAAGTATGCCAGTGTTTGCTCCACAGTAAACCACTTGTCGGGAGCTTTAAAAAATTAGCTTCAAATTTGGCAAGAAAATGACAGTAACAAATTAAATTATTATTGTAATATACATTCTTCTTAAGTTATAATTATATATTAAGTAACAATTTTGCAGAAGTTTCTCATCCACCAGTATTTATTTTTCTTTTTGTATAATCAGTCTCCTAGGAACCCTAGTGACAAGGACTGTCTCCTTTAAAATTAAATTTTGTAATTAACTCCCAGAGCCCTGGTGGTAAGAAACAAAACAAAACAGAAACGTGAGACGAACATTGGATTTCTGCTGAAAAGGAGGATGCAGCATGGCCGTGCCTGCTGCGCTGCCCCACAGCTGATCCTTGGGCTGAAAGAGCCTCCCGGGTGAAGCTCCACACTCCTTGTCACGGGCTGTGGGGAACCAAGGCCGGCTCCAGATTCGACCATCTTTACCCAGTCCTGGGAGTTAGAACATGTCTCTTAAATTATTTGAGCTGCAGCTCTCACATGTGTAAAGTGGACATATTTTTAAAACTTTATTCTGTATTATAACCTTGTGTAAAGATAAGATGCAATAGTACATTTCGAAGCATTTTAAGTCAACGTTCGTGTGCCTGCATGTGTGTGCACACAATGGCTTCTTATTTATTTTTAGGGCTTAACTAACCTGGTTTTACTAGTACTGTTACTAGCACTGTGACTTTGTGTCTCTGAAGACCATGAAATACTTAGAATTAAAACAACAAGAAGCACCTGTCAGAGTGTTCTGTACCCAGTGACACTTAAAATAACTGGATATAATAATGTCTTCAATTCTTCATTGTTCACAGACTCCCTATGAAGGCTCAGATTACTTCTTCTTCATTGTACATTTTTGTAAGTAAGTGGGGACCTAAGTTCCTGATTCGGGCACCTGCTTCCCCAGGGCAGGAGAATGAGCCCAGTGGAGCTCCCATTGCTGAGCTAATGACTCGTCACGCCAGCATCTCCAGAAATGTAGCAGGTCTGTGGCATCTGAACGTTCCCAAGTGGAAGTGCAGCTCAGCAGTGGTGTAGATAATGCACATCTCTCCTCCTCCTAGTTTTACGCTTTGGAGCAGCAACTGCCTCAGGCCCCTGCACCGGCCTCCCTGGAGCTGGAGCCGCCTGGCTGTGGGCGCTGTCTGCTTCATTTGCATGTGGGTTTTCTCATGTGGTAAAATGGTGAATTCACTGTACACAGAGGAAGATCTCGACCCAGGGCAGTGGAGGGCGGAGCTTCTGTGTCCTGGGCCATCTGATTTTGCGGGCTCAGGAAAGTGAACCTTTTCCTTTGTTGCGTTTTTTTCTGCTTCCTCCTGGGTCTCTCAGCCTGCGTGCATCTTCCTACTCTTGCTGGCTTGTCTTGTCTCTACCAGCTTCCCCGGATGTCTGCGGCTTCTCCAGTGCAATCGAATCCTCTCAGGTTAGGGTTTCTCATTCTATCTACACATGCTGGCATCAGCCTTTCGCTAAACCCGAGGATGTGCTGCTTTGCTGGCATGCGAACACGAGGCTGATTGCATTTAAATTAATTAAGTAAGTTGAACACCCTGGTCCCAATCACACTGGCCAGATTCCAGGTGTGCCGTGACCACATGGCCAAGACCCTGGCAGAGGATGGGCAGGTATCAGCCCCCACAGGGCCTGGTGCTGGCCTGCCTTGCCCTGGTGGAGCAGCCCACTCTCACTTCAGGTGGCAGAAGTTGTTGAAATAGGCACAGTGGTTCTTGTCACCTGCTGATGTTACTTTCCCTGCCTTAGAGAGGCATTGATAATGATACACTTCTGAACCACAGCCAGGGTCCAGGCCTGAACAGATGTCAGCATCTTCAGGGAGCTTTTGCCAGGACGCCGCCCAGCCACATGGCCACCACGTTCATTCAAACACGGGGCTTCCTGTCAAACTACACTAGAATTTTATTGGAATAACCTTAATAGTAATATGTCTACTTTTAAAACAATATTCAAGAACGTGAATTTCTGTTCCACACACCCATATGTAGACCAAAACACTTACAAGTTGATGCAGACCACGTTAAAAATCAGAGCCCAGGGCATTTTACACGATAAAGCCCGAAAGACATGGAAAAGCTGCTGTATGGTGCTTCCGTTTTGTTTAAATAACTCTGAATAAACAACCTACCTCTACTCATTAGACTAGGCACTATGGTCAGTAGTAATTTCTCTCCTGCTTATTTTTATCTTTAGAATTGCATGTGGCTTCCAATAATCTTTAATCAGAAGTAATGTGATTTGGAATTTAGGAGAATACTATTTTATATATACATATATACACATGCATTTATATATAGGTGTATGTCTGAAGTGACATGATGAAGAAAACACCATCTTTTGAGCAAATACTCAATGCCTCATCTTAAAGGCCAAGGGGGCATTTTTCAGAGTACTCGATGGGAAGACGACCTCTTATCTCAGTGGCCAGTTTCAAGACCGGCTGTAGGGGCCACTAAGAAGGATTTGTTAACAAATGAAGAAATGAAGCCTGACCTAACACAGACGGGGCCTCCCTCTGTGACTTCCTGCTCGCCAAACACAAAAGCAGACGGCTTTCACTGATTTTACACCATTTCTTTTTTGAGGGGGACTAAAGCTTGCTCTGTCGAGCCTTCCCCCAGGAACTGAAAGTAAGTGAAGCCCACAGTTAACGTCCGGGTGGGAGATTTTCCCAGCAACGCGTCATGGGCGCCAGGACCACCGAGGAGGCGCCGCTGCCTTGTGGGTGAGTGGGGACGTGATGGGAACAGGTTCCCTGCGACCAGCAGGGGTCACTCTGAGGGGTCAACACTTATTCAGGCACACACTTTTCTGGTATATTTGTAAAACTCACACCTCTTATTAGGTCTTGTCTTTATATTTTAAAAAACTTGTCTGAAATAGGTGTTTAAAGACTGATAATAATGATATAGTAATATTAAGTTTGGGTTTCACAGTTGAAAAGTTTCTTTCTACTATTTTTATTATTGCATTAGAGAAAATCACCCAAAGCAATAATCAGTTGTAAACATGAATTACCTTCCTCATACAGTCCGGGCTCTAGTTTTCCGATGATAACTCAAATGCTCCACCTACGAAGTCCACACGAGGTTTTGCACTTTTCTTCCAGTGTCAGAATGAATAACCTCACCTAAATAAATATTCCTAAGAAAAGTGGACGGACACATGTGAAAAGTTCCTGTGAACCAATGAAGGGACGCTCTGGACGCTGGAGGTCGAGGCGTCATGCCTGGCAAGCGTGGGCTCGCCACCGTCCCGGGAGAACCTTAGCGGGCACGGCCTTGTTCCCTCTGCTCGGCCGCTCCCTAGTCGTAGGTGCTCTCACTGCCGAGCTCAGGATGACCCAGGAAGAAGAGGGACCGATGGTTCTGAACTTCTATCCGCTCCATTTACAGTCTCAGGAAAAATAAAACACAATAACAGCAAGTGAGCACGCCCTGGAGCAGGATTCCCTGAGCAAGCGCCGCGTGGAGCTTCTTCCTCACACGCTGGCGGCCGCCGCCTGGAGCTTCTTCCTCACACGCTGGCCGCTGCGTGGAGCTTTTCTCACACACTGGCCGCCGCGTGGAGCTTCTTCCTCACACGCTGGCCGCCGCCGCCTGGAGCTTCTTCCTCACACGCTGGCCGCTGCGTGGAGCTTCTTCCTCACACGCTGGCCGCTGCGTGGAGCTTCTTTCTTACACACTGGCCGCCGCCGCGTGGAGCTTCTTCCTCACACACTGGCCGCCGCGTGGAGCTTCTTCCTCACACGCTGGCTGCCGCCGCCTGGAGCTTCTTCCTCACACGCTGGCTGAGGTTCTGTGGGCTGCAAAATGAGGGCTCATGGATTGCTCATGTTAAGAATATTGAAAGAAGGGCTGGAGAATGGAAACGCTTCCGTTTGCCCTGAGTTTCCTGTGGCTGTTAGGGGTTTGACTTCTGCACTGCCTGCTCTCCGTGCCCCTCGCTGCTGCTGGACGCTTGCGGTGTTGTTCTGGTGGTCGAGGCAGCTTGTGCCCCTCGTTGCTGCTGGACGCTGGCGGCATTGTTCTGGTGGTCGAGGCAGCTTGTGCCCCTCACTGCTGCTGGACGCTGGCGGCGTTGTTCTGGTGGTCGAGGCAGCTTGTGCCCCTCACTGCTGCTGGACGCTGGCGGCATTGTTCTGGTGGTCGAGGCAGCTTGTGCCCCTCGCTGCTGCTGGACGCTGGTGGCATTGGCCTGGTGGTCGAGGCAGCTTGTGCCCCTTACTGCTGCTGGACGCTTGCGGTGTTGTTCTGGTGGTCGAGGCAGCTTCCATCAGAACCCGGCTGCCTCCTCCGGCTCACAGCTCAGCGTTGTTGTTCTTTCTAATGAGCCTCAGCGTCTCTCTGCCCTAATTACATTTCACTGTTTGCTAGCATTAACTATTATTTATGTAAATGATTACCTTCTAATACTACTTGCAGTACAGAATTTATTTCAATTAAGGACAGAACTTTTCCTTTCTAAATGTCCCTGTTCTTCTTTCATTTCCAGATACAATGAGCCAATTTCTCGTCACAGCCCCAGGGCACCTTTATGTCATTTTCATCAATGTTTTCTAACTGTTCTCAAGGTTTTTCTGCTTATATAATGCAATTAAAATAGAGTTTTATTCTAATTAGAGAAACATCTGAATAGAAGGGGAAGCTTTAGGAGCTCTGGACAGGGAAGGGATCTGGAACCTTGTCTCAGACCACACTCCTGTTTGTCAGTGTGGAGGCCGAGGCTCACAGGAGTCATGCTGGCCCGGACTACACCCTCCACAGAGGGCTGCAGATGGACACAGAGGTCTCTCCACACAGACACAGGCACTCTGGTCAGATCTTGGGAATTTCTTGCCAAATCAATGGCCCGAGTCTGGCATCTTACGATGGAGGCCGGATGCCTCTGCACAACCGTCGGCTCACAATCCTTAAACTTCCCAACAATGTTTCATCAGCACCACACTCCCGGCTGTGTGCACCAGCTGAGATCCTGGCCCTTACCCACCCTCAGGGCTGGCTTAGCTGCCCTTTCCTCACTGACTGCCTTTGACTGTGTGTCTAGGCCCAGGAAACTTGCCTGACAAATTACAGAGCTCTCCAGAAATAAGCATTCACTTTTATTTTTCTTTAATAATGCTTTATGCTTATACCCATAAATGCAATCATATAAATATGTAAATTACCTTGTTAGGGGTGCATTCCTTATTTTTCTCTTATTTTTTTTCTCTTTTCCATTTTCAATAACCTTTTTTCTCCTTGCCGCCTCCTCTCCCACTCCCTCCTCCAGATAGAAACCTGGCATGTAGACTTCCACGTATTTTTCTCCATGGCCATATGATAATATGCAAACACAAGCATAAATATTTAAATTCACATTTACCTTAGCCATTATTAAAAATCCCATTAATACAAATGGGATTCTATTGTACGTCTCCCAAATCTGTTTTTTTTTTAACTCATCCACAACTTTGAAACCCAAGTCAACTGATATATTTTTAATTAGCTCTTAAAAGCTCATGATGTTAATGCTGCGTCTGCTTAACCCTCCACCGTGTTAAATACAATCATCTATTCAGCTATTCTTCTACTGATGGGCATTTGCCTGGTTTCCAGACTTCTGCAACTACGAACATAGTTTGCCATAACTTTCCTTGCACATTAATTCTTACTTGGGCTTTTATTCCACAGAACAGATGCTGGGGACTAAGCTGGCTCACAGAAAGGTTGATGCATTTTTAACTTGAATGCATGCTGTCAGATTTCTCTCCAAAGTGCTTTACCAAGCCCAGCAGCCACGGATGAGACCGTGCATCTCTCCCACACCCCCATGGGAAATAGGGACCTCTCTGTATCACCTTAGCCAGGCTCGTGCAGTGATGTTTTATTATCGAGTGGCCACCAGCCGTAATGTGAGACTTGCAATGTTCCTTAGAAATTGAGATTTGATCTAAGGATTACCCTTTCATCCTGTTACCCACTTCACTATTACTGCCTTTATTACTTTTCGACTTCTAAATTTCATTTTTTTAAATGGTCAGTGGATGTTCATGTTTTCTATTCAAGTGACATTCTATATATATAGTTACTGAATTTGTTTTACTGACTGCGTGTTCAGTTTTTCTGCATCACGATTTAGGTTTATGCACTGGAGCGTCCCCATTCTAAAAGTTGTGGTTAAAATTTTCCACTACTATTTTACTGGATTGGATGGGACTGAAATCCATTGGGCTTTTTATGTATTTTGTCCCGTTCTTATTACGTTTTCATTGTTGGTTTATACTCAGGTGCTAAGTTCTGTGCATATAAATTGGTGACTGTTAAACGTGCTTTCCACAGAGTGCCCCCAGGAGGCTTTGACCCACTGCCCCCACTCAGCGCCCTCACACGGAGACCTCCACCCTCTAGCTGGCTTGCTGCCACCTCTGCCCGGCCTTCTGCACATCCCTCTGTGACTCAGTCCTTCTTCACAATCAGGTTTGGTAAACCTATTTCATAAAGAGCCACATAGTAAATATTTTATGTTTCTTGGATACACAGGGCATCTGTTGCATATGCTTCTTTTTACTTTTATAATCTTATAAAAATGCAAAGAACACGTGTAGTTCACGGTCAGTTAAACATAAACAAAAAACAAACTGAAGTCATAGTTTGCCGAACCCTGACTTATAATTTTATTAATGAGTGTTTTTTTTTTTTTTTTGTAAATAGCACGTTGGGTTTGTTTTCATTTTATTCAATTAAACATTCTTTGTAAATAATTGAAAAAAAATCCCTCTGTTGAGCCTACAAGCATGATGATCGATGTATCAGTGACAGGAAGCAAAACCAGTTGCAACAAGAGAAGACCCTGAGAATTCGGCAGGAAACCTCAGAGCCGCAGCCGCCCTGTGTGCATCATGGGGTTGAAGACTTCCCACTGGCTGCTGCTGTCGGTCTCCAGGTTGCTGTGCACAGAGGGGATGAGACGGGAGACGCGGGTGCCAGGTGCAGCCCAGTCCTGCCCAGGCCAAGCTCCTTGTGAGCACAGGTGGAATGGCTGCCTTCCAGTGGACCACAGAGGCAGTTGGCAAGCTGGGAGCAGAGGCTCTGATTGGGCCTCAGGTTGCACCCTTGTTATTTGTTTGTTTGTTTTACTGACATCTTTGTATTTGTTATAGCTTGCCAAACTTTCAGAAGATAATGAGAGCTCTAAACACAGGGCTTGATGAACTATGACTCAGCACACAGCGTCCAGGTCAGCATACAGGACACCCCTGGCATTTCCGTGTCTCAATCTCCCTCCATCGCCATTCCCTCTTCGCCAACGCAGCATCATCCTAATTCCTAACAGGAGAATTCTGTTTTCTTATTTAAAAAAAAAATTCTAATTTTCAGGCCGGGTACGATGGCTCATGCCTATAATCCCAGCACTTTGGGAGGCTGAAGTGGGTGGATCACGAGGCCAGGAGTTCGAGACCAGCCTGACCAAAATGGTGAAACCCCGTCTCTATTAAAAATACAAAAAAAAAAAAAAAAGAAAAAAAGCCAGCCGTGGTGGCACATGCCTGTAATCCCAGCTACTCAGGAGGCTGAGGCAGGAGAATCACTTGAACCCGGGAGGCAGAGGTTGCAGTGAGCTGAGATCACACCACTGCACTTCAGCCTGGGCAGCAGAGCAAGACTCAGTCTCAAAAAAAAAAAAGAAAAAAATTCTAATTTCCAATATAAATTTTGACCAATTTTTTAAAATGTTCACTTGATGAGTAAAAATTGTATATATTCACGATATACAACATGCTGTTTGGATGAATATGCATTGTGGAATCAGCTTTGACTAATGTTGACATTTCAATGAAGAGACTCATATAATATATTTTTCTGTGTCTGGCTTCTTCTCAAATGTTATTTTATAAAATTTATCCTTTTTATTGTATGTAACATTTTGATAATTTTGTTGTTCTATGGTATTTTATTGTAAGCTTATAACACGACTTACTCAACAATTCTGTTGACGAGCATTTGAGTTGTTTTTAGTGAAAGGATATGAAATCCTGCTCTGTATATTTTTCTAAGTAGATGTTGGTGTCAGTCTGCATTTCTCAGGCTACACATAGCAGTGGAATTGGTGGGATCCAGAGTCTGAGCACCTCCAGCTTCCATGAGAGACGCTAAAACGATTCCCACTGCAAAGGTGCTGGCCCGACAGGCTCAGAGTGTTCTTCTCCTCCACATCCTCCCCATCACTCAGTATCACCAGCATTCACTTATTAGCCATGGTGGGTGCATGATAACAATGCAAAGATTTTATTTTACATTTCTCTGATGACTGATGAGATCAAATACTACATCTTCATAAGTTAACTTGTTATTTGGTTAACTTTTTATTTATGTGTTCATGTGTGGTTTCAGTCTTCTCTTTTTTGAAGTCCCATTTATGACTGTCGCCATTTTCATTTTAGATCAGGGTGTCTTCTCTTCACTGGCCTGCAGTTCTCCCTGTGGTTCCTTGCTGGCCTGCAGTTCTCTCTGTGGTCCACATGTAAATCCTTTGTTGGTTGAATGGATTGTAAATAGCATCTACCATCCTGTGGCTTGCACTTTGGTGCTCTTCATAATGTCTTGTGAGATAAAGGTTTTAATTTTAACTTTAACTTGCAAATATTTCCCTTTATTACTTATTTTTTAAAAATTTAATTGACATTATAATTGTATATATGGCATACAATGTGATGTTTTTACATATATTTACAAATGTGGAATCATTTTCAAAATAATTAGCATATGTATTACCTCACATACTTAATCTTTTTGCAGTGAGAACACTTAAAATCTATTGTTTGCCATAAAAATTGAGATACGATATCAGTGAAATTGGAAGCAGTTAAAGAATAGAAAAAATCAGTGAAACCAAATCTAGTTCTTTGAAAACATTAATATCCATAAGCCCCAAGCCAGGCTAACTAAGAAAAAAAGACACAATTGCCACTATCAGAAATGGAAGAGAGTCTATCCACTACTGATCCCAGGATGATTAAAAGGATAAAGGGATATTATAAATAGCTCTAGGACCCCAAATTTATAATTTATATGAAAAGCATGAATTTTTTGAAAGACAGTAATAAAACTCACTCAGGGAGAAATAGACAATCTGAATAGGCTCATAGGAGTTATAATAATTAATTATTATACACAGAAATTAAGTCAATATTAATAATCTTCCAAAAATGAATTATCAACTGTCATCTGTGAAAGACACTAAAAAAAAATCAAAAGACAAGTGAAATACTGCAAGAACATCTTTGCAATACACATATCTAATAGTTGACTTGTATCAAAAACATACAATAAATGTTGAAAATTCAATATGAAAACAAAGAACACAAGAAATGAGCACACAATGGATATGAACATCTCACCATAGATGAGATACAGACGGCGAGTAAGCACATGGAAAAATGCTCATGGCCACTTGTCACTAGGAGATTGCAAACTGAAACAATGAGGTCCCATGACACATGTATTAAAAAACACAACATAAAATTTTAAAAAGCCTGACAAAACTAAATGCTAAAGAGGAAGCAGAGAAACAGGAGCTCCGATTCATGGCTGATGGGAAGGCCAAGTGAAGGGGTTTGGCAGTCTCCCACAAAGCTAAGCATAGCCTGATTGCAGCACCCAGAAGCCACACTCCCAGCCACTTACACAGTTTATCTGAGAACTGTGCCTGCAAAAAATCCATATGCAATGTGTAAGGCAGCTTTCTCCATAACCACTAAAACCTGAAAACAACCAAGCTCCTTCCACAGGTGGATGGACAAACAGACCTTAGTGCATCCCTGCAATGGGAAATTATTCAGCACTAAACAGAAGTGAGTTACTAAGCCTAAGAAAGATATGAAGTAAACTTAAATGCATATTTCCAAGTGAACAAAGCTAACCTGGAAAGGTTGTATACAGTGTTATTCCAATTACATGGCATTATCTTAAAAAGCAAAATTATAATGCCAGTAAAGTGATGAGAATTGTCAGGGGTTCAGTGGGTGTGTAGTGGAAAGAGAGAAAAAAGTGAGACAATACTAATGATCAGTAGCATGAATGACAGATGAGACATCACTACAGATCATACATACATTAACAGGAAAACAAGAAAATATTATAAACTGCATTACAGAAATATATTTGTCAAACTTGAGAAAATAAACACATTCCTTGAAGAGTGCAGCTTATCAAAATTGACATGAAAGGCTAATCTGAAAGCTTATATTTATCAGAGCTGTTTAATACATAATCAAAAAATCTTCCCAAAATAAAACACCACAGGCATGTAGCCTTAGTGGTGAGTTATATCAGTCATTCAGGATAGAAATGAGGACGGGTGTGGTGGCTCATGCCTGTAACTCCAGCACCTTGGGAAGCTAAGGTGGGAGGATATCTTGAGTCCAGGAGTTCAAGCTCAGCCTGGACAACATAGTGAGACCCTGTCTCTACAAAAAAATAGCCAGGCATGGTGGTGCACGTTTGTGGTTCCACCTACTCAGGAGGCTGAGGTGGGAGGATTGCTTGAGCCTGGGAGGTTGAGGTTGAGGCTACATGATTGCATCACTGCATTCCTGCCTGGGCTACAGAGCAAGGCTGTCTCAGAAAAAAAAAAAAGAAATCAGAAATGATATTTTCAGAATATTAAGAAGGAAGGAATATTTCCCAATTTATTTTATGAGGCCAGAACTATTGTGACACTGCAAAGCTGCAGCAGGAGATTTTAGAAGTGATGATGTCATGTTCCACACCCTGGTTTGGGTAGCTGATTTTTTTTATACTGGTGAATATGACTGCCAAAACTCAGTAAGTAGTACAATGATGATTTCTGCATTTTATCTTATACAAATTATACTTCAATACAAATTACATGTGAAGAGACACATCTCATACAAGCCTTTCCTTGTTATTTCCACTTTCACTGTCCTTCAGACCAGCAGCACTCAGCAGGACTCTCGCAGTCATTCCCTAACAGGCTGTGTTCCTTCTGGCCCTTGCACACCCTGTGTGTCCCATGTCCAGGCTTCTCTTCCTAGAACACAGAGTTGGTTACATCTCTCATGCTCCTAAACAGCCACACCTCTAAAGGCTGCCCATTGCTTTTAGGATAAAACCCAGACTTCTCAGTGGAAGCCCACAGGCCCTGCATTGCTGTAGCCCCCGTCCCCATACCCTGTTCATTTACTCAGGCAATTTCTGTGATGGACACCGGAGTCAGGGGCGAGGGTGGCAGGCGTGGCTGCTGTCTGGGGACACAGCCGACCTCATGCACAGTGATAGCCGTGTGACTGAACCAGGAGAGGCACGTGCAGGGCCCATGTGAGCTGCCTCGGCCTCCTCCATCTTCTGTCTCTCAACGACTGCTGGTTGTTCCCGGGTCTCACAGCTGTGGAAGAAACCTCTCACCTGCCACTCTCCCCTGAGATGTGCTTCATCCTAGGGGTCCCGTCAGGGCTCACTGAGCCCCTCCCTCCCTGGACTGGGTGTTTCTATGCCGTCCTCCGAGGTGCACTTTAGGGTCTTTTCCTGGAAGCCTTCCCATCTGTCTCTGGTGGAATGAAGGGTGCATCTTCCACTGAGACCCCACAGTTCCCTGGACACATCTATATTGTTGTAATTTTTCATTTTTGATGACTACCAGATTACAAGACCCTTCAGGGCAAAAACAATCTTATTTACCTCAGCAGTATCAGCACCGACACAAGACTGAGTGCGTAGTAGGTCCTTGATCCGTGAATGCACAAA
This sequence comes from Homo sapiens, assembly GCF_000001405.40. Taxonomy (NCBI): domain Eukaryota; kingdom Metazoa; phylum Chordata; class Mammalia; order Primates; family Hominidae; genus Homo; species Homo sapiens. Next base: position 574,838 of record NC_000002.12, on the reverse strand, counting down.
AGATCTTGACTTTTACTAGTTTCTGTGTTACACCCAGCTAAATAGCTGAGCAGCATGCACTGGCACTCACTGGGCCCGTGCCTCACCTTGCACTGCTGTTCCAATGCTGTTTCGTGGAGCATAGCATTGCTTTTCTGGGGCTCTGCTGTATTCAGATCCATTGTTAGGCCACTATATTCTTCACTTCTATCCCTCTCCTCTTATGACACGAGACACACAATGAATTAAGCTCCATTTATTACAGGTAACTTGGATTTTGGATTTAAAATAAAGTTAAAAAGAAGACTGCACCAACAACGCACACTTGACTGGCCAAATGTGCCTGTGATGGCCCCTTTCTTGAAGCTTTGTTGACTGCATGATTAATGAGTTGTTGGTAGAAAATTGCAAGCATATTTTCACTTCTAAGTCATATTATTTAAACTTCGATTATTGACTGGTTAAAAAACCAGAAGATGTAATTTTATGTGGCAGACATTATTAATTTGAGACTGTAGAACTGTAAAATAGAGCTTCAACTTTCTATTTATCAAACATTTAAATTGAAATAATAGCAACCTCACTTATGTCTCTGTTTTCTTAAGGTGGAACTAAATGATCATTTTCAGGCTTTTAACCTATCTTCTGTTTTTCCAACCCAAGCCATCAGCCAAATCTGATAAGTTAAGGCAGAAATACAAGGGGCTGCCAGCTGGCATTTGGAGGGTCCATGGGTGGGCTGGAACCCCGGGGTCACCTGCAGAGTCCAGAGTCCCATGCAGCCCATCTTCTCCCAGCACACCAGCACAGGAACCAGAAGCTGGAGCAGCAGCTGCGGTGGGTTTTCAGGGAGGAGGGAGGCTCCGGTTAGGTGCTTTGGATGCGGAGATGCTGTCTTGATATGCTAATTGGAAACAGATTCAGGCTGAGGCCTCTGTTTTCTCACTGCTTGGCTTTCAGGGAAGCTTCAGTGAGACTTTTAGAAAAAGAGCTTTTATGTGCACGTCTTGGGCACCAGCAGTGGTTGTAGACACTGTCCGGGGGAGCCTGTGGTGCACAGCAGGCACCAGGTCAGTGTTCCCCGAGATGATGCTGGGAACTGCCCTGCAGTTTAGATGTACTGCGAGTCACCCGTATTTATCGGTGATGCTGCATAAATGTCTTTTAACAAAACAACCCCTTCTCTTCTTTTCCATAGGTTTTAACTTCATTGAGACTTAACGGCTTCTTGCCAATATTTTTGCCAAAACCCTGTAATCAGTCTCATTTCTTTTATCTTGCTATACCAACTTACAGCTCCCAAAACAAACAAACTATTCTCTTCTCGGTCTTGGAACTGGTTTTCTAAAAACAGCACAGAGTCACCTGAGTCCTCCTAGGTAAGTAGATGACTTTCCCATCGCGATTCATCCAATTCCCCATCAGGCTGCAACCATCTCCTCTCTCCACCCCACTGGCTGAATGACTGGAAACCACCAGAATCTCTCAGACCCCATGGCTCATAAATCCTGAGCCTGGCATCTCTCCTCTCTGACACGAAAGACTTCACTCCCGCTCACACTTAGCAGATTCCTGGACCCTTCAAGGTCCAACTTGTGATGCTCGACCTGCTCCCCTAGAAGGACGGTCCCTGGCACTTCGTGGACATTGGCTGTCACTGTGCTCTAATTGTGTACAGATGATCTTGTCTCACTGTATAAAGTAAAGCACTGCGCGGCCTCTGGTGTGTCGGAGCAGGTGTGACACTGATGCACAGTTGGGTAGGTTCTCTCCAGAGGTCCCTAAGGACGCCTGACAGCCCAGGCCTATCTTCACCACAGCTGGCATCACAAAACAGCCTCAAATGATGGGGTTTAACACTTCCAAAATGTGTTTAGGTATATATTTTTTCATTTTGAATCAGCTTATTTTTTCCCATTTTAATTTTTAATCTTTATGGGCACACAGTAGGGGTATCCATTTATGGGGTGCATGAGCTATTTTGATACAGACATACAATGTGTAATAATCACATCAGGGTAAATGGAGTGTCCATCGCCTCAGGCATTGATCACTTCTTTGTGTCAGGGACATTCCAATTCCTCTCTTTTAGTTATTTTTAAATGTGCTACAAATTATTGCTGATTGTAGTCACCCTGTTGTGCTATCAAGTACTAGGTCTTATTCATTCTATCTACTCTATTTTTGATCCATTAACCATCCCACATTCCCCCAACCACCCACTACCCTTCCCAGCCTCTGGTAAGCATCATTCTATTCTCTATCTTCATGGGTTCAAAATTTAGCTTCCACAGATGAATAAGAACATGTAAGTTTGTCTCTCTGTGCCTGGCTTTTTTCACTTAACATCATGACCTCCAGTTCCATCCACGTTGCAAATGACAGGATCTCCTCCTTTTTTGTGACTGAATAGTACTCCATTGTGTACATGTACCATATTTTTACCCATTCGTCTGTTAGTGGACACTTAGGTTGCTTCCAAATCTTGGCTATTGTGAACAGTGCTGCAACAAACATGGGAGTGCAGAGATCTCTTCAACAGACTGATTCACTTTGGGGTATATACCCAGCAGTGGAATTGCTGGATCATATGGTAGCTCTATGTCTAGTGTTTTGAGAAACTTCCAAACTGTTCTCCATAGTGGTTGTACTAATGTACATTCCCACCACTGTAGAAGGGTTCCCTTTCCTCCACATGCTTGCCAGCTTTCCTATTGACTGTCTCTTAAATAAAACTCGTTTTAACTGGAGTGAGATGATGTCTCATTGTAGTTTTGGTTTACATTTCTCTGAGGATCAATGACATTTAGCACATTTTCATATGACTGTTTGCCATTTGTATGTCTTCTTTTGAGAAATGTCTATTCAGATCTTTTGCCCAGTTTTAACTGTATTATTAGATTTTTTTCCTATTGAGTTGTTTGAGCTTCTTATATATTCTGGATATTAATTCCTTGTCAAATGGATAGTTTGCAAATATTTTCTCCTATTTTGTGGGCTGTCTCTTCACTTTGTTGATTGTTTCCTTTGCTGTGCAGAAGCTTTTTAACTTGATGTGATCCCATTTTCCATTTTTGCTTTGGTTGCCTGTGTTTGTGGGGTATGGATAAATAAAACTTTGTCCAGACTAATGTCCTAGAGAGTTTTCCCAGTGTTTTATTTTAGTAGTTTCATAGTTTGAGATCTTGGATTTAAGTCTTTAATCCATTTTGATTTGATTTTTGTATATGGCAAAAGAGAAGGGTTTAGGGTTTCATTCTTCTGCATATGGATATTCAGTTTTCCAAGCACCATTTATTAAAGAGACTGTCTTTTCCCCAGTGTATGTTCTTGGCATCCTTGTCAAAATTGGTTTCCTGTAGGTTGTGGATTTGTTTCTTGGCTCTCTATTCTGTTCCATTGGTCTATGTGTCTGTTTTTATGGCAGTACCATGCTGTTTTAGTTATTATAACTCTGAAATATACTTTGAACTCAGATAATGTGATTCCTTCAGTTTTGTCCTTTGTGCCCAAGATAGCTTTGGATAAATTTTAGGATTTTTTTCTATTTCTGAGAAGAATGTCACTGGTATTTAGATAGGGATTGCATTGGATCTGTAGATTGCTTTGGGTAGTATAGATGTTTTAACAACATTCTTCCAATCCATGAACATAAAATATTTTCTCTTTTTTTGTGTGTTCCCTTCAATTTCTTGTATCAATGTTTTGTCATTTTCATTGTAAAGATCTTTCATTTCTTTGGTTAACTTTATTTCCAGGTATTTTATTTTATTTGTAGCTATTGTAAATGGGATTACTTTCTTTTTGATATTATTTGCTGTTGGCATATAGAAATGGTACTGATTTTTGTATGTTTATTTTTTGTTCTGTGACTTTACTAAATTTGTTTCTCAGTTCTAATAGTTTTTTGATGGAGCCTTTAGGATTTTCTTTATCATCTGCAAACAAGAATAAATTGACTTCTTCCTTTCCAATTGAGGTGCCCTTTGTTTTTTTTTTTTCTCTTGTCTGATTGCTCTAGCGAGGACTTCCAGGGCTGTGTTGAGTAACAGTGGTGAAAGTGGGTATCCTTGTCATGTTCAAGATCTTAGAGAAGGCTTCCAGGTTTTCCCATTCAAGACTAGCTGTGGCTATACTACATATGGCTTTTGTTGTACTGAGGTATGTTCATGCCGTCTCCAGTTTTTTGAGGGTTTTTTTGTCATGGAGTGTTGAATTTTATCAAATGCTTTCTCAGCATCAGTTGAAATGATCATATGGTTTTTGTCCTTTATTCTATTGATATGATGTATCACGTTGATTGATTTGTGTATGTTGAGCCATCCTTGCATCCCAGGGATAAATCCCACTCAATCCTGATGAATGACCTTTTTGATATGCTGCTGAATTTGGTTAGATACTATTTTGTTGAGGATTTTTGCATCAATGTTCATTGGATACATTGTCCTGTTTTATTTTTTTTTTCTCTTCTTCTTCTTCTTCTTCTTCTTCTTCTTCTTCTTCTTCTTCTTCTTCTTCTTCTTCTTATTGCTGTATCTTTGGTTTTTGTATCACGGTAATACTGACCTTGTAGAATAAGTTTGGAAGTCAAAATATATTTGTATTTTAACAAGATAATCTTTAGCAAACAATCATGCAAAAAACAAGCGAGCAAACATGAAAAGGTTTGCTATGGAAGCCAGTGGCTGAGTAACTGGAAAGAGGATGCCACGGGACCACCCTGCCCACTGGCCACCTATGCCTCAGCAGCGGATGAGCTGCCTTCTAAAAGCTCTTGCCCGGTGTCTAAAAACAGTACAGTTATTTACTTCTGGCACAGATCTGCAGAAAAATGGAGATTTTTATTTTGCAAAATAAATCATGAATAGGCTCCAAACTACTGTCACTTTAGAACTGCCTTAATGAAACAATTGGGTAGATTGGATAATTCTTGGCTGGCTGTGGGAGGCTGGGAACAGGAAACCTGGTATCCTGAGGCTGGACAGGACCCACAGTGGCCAATAAATGCATACTGCTTTTGGCTAAATGGATATACCTTTTAACTTAATTTCTCACAACTAAACGGCCTGCAGAGGCTGCTGATATCATCTGCACAGCCGTTCTTCTTTCCTCTGTCTACTCTCCTCACACCACACACATTTTGCCATTAGAATCAAGAAAACTGGAAATGTAGGGAGCATTGTGGTGTCAAAGTGTACAAGAGACGGGGTCTGTGGCACATAAGTGGGCATAAGCCCATCGTAGACCATGGGCTGCATCCTGTTCTGACTTTACTAAAACTTAACACCAGACGAAAATAAAATGAAGATTTTGTGTCATTATTCTTGGTGCCTAGGAAGATCTATTATGCCATGAATAGCTTTATCTGTTGTTCTGAATTTATATTTATCTTTTGACATTACTGTTTAGGTCAATGCTCCCTACAGGCTAGAAGAAGCTCAATGCTCTAGGACACAGTTAATAATAATGGAAAAACTTTGACACGTTCATTTTCTAAGTTACTGTGTGGAAAACATAGGATGCTTATGAGACTGCATTTTCTCTATGTGTTTAGTTTTGTAAAAAGCAGCAATATCACACATTGCACATCAGATAACAGATACTATTTCACTTAAAGCTCAAAACAGCTTTGTGCAGTCAGGTCATTATTCCTGCTTTACAGGAACCAAAGCTGAACTTCGAATCACACCCTGCTCTGGTGACTTAGACAGTGATGGCAATGCCAGAGCCAGAGGCTACATCTTCTGATTCCAATCCCCACTCTTTTCTCAGCACAGGCTTTCTCTAACTATTCCCAAGTGAAGTTAAGCACTGGCCTCTGTTGTGGAGACAGATTCTTCTCTGCTTTGCAAATAATATATTATTTGTTTAGGTTACAGCTAAAACACAACAACTGTTTGGGTGAATTCCTGTTGTTCGAGAAACAGCAGTTCAGATGTGTGCACGAGATGCCAGCTATGTGCACAATGTGGCCACAGGCTTTAAACTAGACAAGGAGACAAACTGACCACTTTGCAGGCAACATCCCAGACCCCTTAGAAAAAGCCAGGTGACTGTGGGCAGACCGCCCAAACCCACCAAGTCCAGGGGTGTTCACAAGTCTGCAAGGAAGAAAGGTGCATGTGCCTTGCAGGTGGAACTAAGCCTAGGTGAAAGCAGGGGTTCAGAGTTGATTTCAGAGTCAGAGCAGAGGCCAGGGGAGGCTCTGGGCTGGCAGGCTGAGCAGCTGCTGGACTTCAGGACGAGCTCCTAACGTGGGAGGAGAGCACTGGATGTGCTGAAGAGGAAGATGTCGCCCGCTTTGGCAGAGGCACACGTCTTAAGGGTGGGAAAGCTGGGGCGGCGGTAAGATAATACCGTGGTGCTCAGCCCGAATCTGCTTTCAATTACGATGATGTTGTCCATAGAGCTATTCACAGCATCTGAGTATCAAAGTCTGTCCAGCGGTCTTCCGTCTCGAAGAACATGATCTTGAGCCAGCTCCTGTTTTCCATTTCTGAAGGAAAGAAACTGCATTTGGCCTCCAGTCATGCTGGCCGCCCAGATGCAGCACAAGTCTATGAATCATGGAATTGCTCAGCACGCAGGAAACATGCAAGGGGAGGCTGAGAAAACAGCGGGGTGGGGCAGCCTCGGCCTCAGCCCCGAATGTGGGCAAAACGGAGGCACGTTCCTCTCTCTCTTGTGACTGTCCCACGGACCCATCAGATGTGAGAAAGTGCAGGACTTACAGCTCCCCTTGCCGTGATTTTTGTTAAGATCATCGACATAGGTGTTTACACATTCAATCAGCTACGCTATAGAATATGAAAATTGCGTCAGAACCCAAAGCAAGAAGTGAGTTACAAGCACCAGGGAGATTTACTGGAGATCAAATTTTCAGCCCAGAGGCTATATTCCTAAACCCCCACGCAACTAATCCCAGTGAATGTGTTTCCTTAAAAAAGCATTTTCCAGGCCACATGCTCCGCTCTGGTGGCTTATGTAAATATATATGTTGTTAGAAACGTGATTCTTATCAGGGGTGACTGTGAGGGAAAATTGTCATGTTTTCTTTTTTGGCATTTTCTACTTTCATATTTCTAAAGATTACCTTCCGTATATGCTGGAACTTGTCCATGTTGGTAGTTTATAGCGTTACCAGGACGGACAGGGACCCGGCCAGCGGCCCCGTGCAGATCGGCCCTGTATCCTCTCTTCTTGTGAACACCCAGCTTCCTCTCACCCTCTTGAGGCCTCACCAACACCCTAAACAGCTCTGAACTAACACTGGGTGCCTCTCCTCTCTCGCTCTTGGGTTTAATCCTCTTCTACCTGGCAGCCTTTCATGTATTTGTAAACAACTGTTCCAGCTCTGACTATGGACACCCCTCGTTGGCTCCTCAAGTTTCCTTCACTTAAAAGCAACACAAGCAGGTTCCTTCAATAGTCTTCTCAGTACAAGACTCTGAGAGCTTCTATCTTCCTTGTTTCTTAAGAACACGTTATCAACCATATAGCGTGCATCAGGCGAAGCCCCAACAATTGGTAGAGAGAATGATGGAAACCAAACCCTGATTTCTCCTTAAAACTTCGCTGTCTCTAAACATCCCTGCAAACCCTGGCCAGAGGTGTCCCATGGAGTGTGGTGACCAGCCAAGGTCACCCGTGTCACCGTGGAGTGTGGTGACCAGCCAGGGTCATCCCTGTCACCGTGGAGTGTGGTGACCAGCCAAGGTCATCTATATCAGCTGAGGTCATCTGTGTCAGCCGTGAGAGTGGAGGAGCCTTCCGGAAAGGCAGCCAGGCTGGAGTTGACAGCTGGCAGCTCCTTTCTCAGGGGCTTCTGTGCCTCCTGCCCACTCTGGGCGTTGGTCTCCAGCACCATCTCGTGAATTAAACAAAGCTTCAAGTCTGCAGTTCCACAGTGTCACTCCTCTTCCTCCGCCTCACGATCTTCTTAGGCTTCTTGTGCTGCCATGCATGTTTTCTCAAGAACATTTTCGAGTCTAAAGTGCTCAAGCCCCGTCAGGTGCACGAGGCTGTCCACCACGTGGTTCTGCTTCAGCCTGATGCATTCCTTCTCTAAACCTAATTTTCCGTGTCCTTTTTATAAATTGTACTCTGTACTACATATTTTAAAAACATCAATGAATGTACCCCTTCAATCGTCTGCGTTAAGTAGGGACTACCATTAGCTACATTTCATCCATGAAAAACAAAAATATCAGAGAAGCATAGGCTTCACAGAGACAGAGACAGGTGTCACAGGGCAGGAACAGCAGCCTTTACCCTGGACTCTCCCTTGCAGACACAGGACCCTTCCAGCCCAGCTGGATGCTACACACCATGAGCTACTGACTCGTCTTCCTAAGAAGAGATCATCTTAGCTCCCACAGGCCCCTGTATGCTTTCGGAGCACATGCATGCTGTATTTCACTCATATGGTAACTGAGTGCACAAGTTAAATTCCTAACCAGCCTGCAGGTTCTTTCAGAGCAGCAATGATTTCATTTGCCTCCTTAGATCTGTTCGCTACTTAGAACAGTAGATCACCTCAGCAGGTCTTCCCTTGGCCAGGGATTTAATGGTAGAGTTTGTCCCTCACAGATATGGCTGATTCTGTTCTGTGCGGAGCTGTTTTAAAGGCAATGTTTAGAAACTATGGGTGTTCTTGTGTTGAGGGGCCGTGGCGACGAGCACTCAGACCTCCCCTTCCAGCGGGGGCCTCATCGGGCAGCTGCCTGAGGCAGGACCCTTGACCAGCCTGAAACACCACAGATAAGGAAAGGAGAGCTCAGACAGATGCATCTGAAATGACTTCCCATCAACGATCGTTATCGAAATTCAATGGTCTGTGTGTCACTTACGCTTATTAGTAGAGATCTCATCTGAGGACTTGAGTTTTATTTTTCACTCATGCCTTTTAATTCGGCACAAGGCTTCAGTGACTTTTAGCAACAGAAAGAGTGCTGGGTGTTTGGGAACTGCCAGTTGGGGTCAGCAATGGTCTGGTGACTTTTCCTGCACATTCTGAATGCAACCTTTTCATGACGGGGGATGGCAGGAGTCCGGCCTCCTTGCAAGAGTTGTGTGGATTATACAGAAGCTCTACTGATATTTCTGCTTCCCTGGTCAAGATAGGCAAGGCCAGTACATGATGACAGTGTGTTCATAAATCCCGGGGGTTCATCTGCACCCCACAGACACACTTGGTGTAGGTTGTGGCAGATGTGGATTGAGATGGGTGGTGTTAAGTCTCATTAGAACCTTACTTGACCCTAGGAAATTCCTTAGAACTTTTTTCTATCTAACTTTTATCTTTAAGGTTCTTATTAACAATCATCTATGCGATCATGGGGTTTGGGGTTTGTGGGTCCCAGGGCTACGCACTGCCATGGAGAGCAGCCATGGGCAGGTTTCCTCATCTGGAAAATGGGGCATTAGAAGGACGAGCTCCCACTGCCTCAGGTGACCCCGAGGACCCCAAGAGCTGGGAGCAGCTATGTTCTCACTCAGGGCCTGGACGATGAGTGACTGGAGAACAGGGAACGCTCATGTCAGAGGAACACTGTTTTACAAGAGCAAGGAAAGAGAAAACAGCTGAGGGTGAAGCAGCCATTTACCTTCTTACTTGCAAAAATTAAACCCTGCAGGACCCAAGGATTATACTAGAGTCACCGATGCTTTGAGAGTGAATGAGCAAGCATGAAGAGCTGGTTGTGGGATAGTGTGTACAGACACACAGACAAGACACAGCAGAGAGTGAGAGTGGCTGATGAGTGCACTTGGCTTTGCTGGATGTTGGCTGCTCCTTCCTGACACCAGTGAGTCCTGCATTCCCATGTGGCCGCCCTGCTCCACTAGCCCGGAGGTGTCCCTGGTGCCGGCCACCCCCTATCCTCACACACAGCCCCCTCTGCAGCCTCCCCAGCGGCTCACACTTTGCCACTGTCCTTGGCTCGGCCACGGCCCACGAACATGGCCTGCACCCACGGTGCAGCAGTTTTTCCTGCTGGTTTCCCACATGACTTAACCAGAAGCTCCTGTCTGGTTCTGGCTCTTCTTTGCTGCCTCCAAGAGGACATTTGCGGCGGCCTCCACTGTGTCCGGGTCTGAGCCGGGCACCCAGACCCCAGTTCCCTAGAAGGAGGTGCAGGAGGAGGAGGGGTACGGTTAAATATAATACTTATATCAGGTACGTTGATACTGACGGGACTGCCCTGTGTCCCCCAGCTCCCATTCTTCCTCCCCGGCCCCACGCGGCGCCAGGCCCCAGCTCACCCTGGTTGGTGGGGATGCTGGATGGTGCATGGAACTGGGCTTGGAGTTGGAGTCTGAGTTTCCAGCAGCTGTATCTTCAAGGAAAACTCCATCCCATGTTTTTGGCACAAAAACAACATGGTGTGCCAGGCGCAGGTGCACCCCACGGAAAAGCTTGCAGCTGGGAATGCATTTCCAGACAGAGGTGGTATGCTTAGTCCCAGAGATATCCCCAGATTCAGTGTGGGTTGGGTAGATTATAAGCTTGGGGATTTCTTAAGAAGGTAAGAAATAGGGGTAGGGATTTTGTTAACTAAAAACCAAGGGACAATCTCAGGTGCAACCGCAGGATTTCGTGCAGAGGAAAAACATGTCCGCTCTCTCCTTCACCTCCTTCCCACCTTTCCTTTTTCTGACCTCCAAAATTTTTGGAGCGTAGTGAATGAAGAAAACAAAGGAGATAATAAAAACTGAAAACAGAGACTGTGTTAATTCTTAATCTGTATATAATAACCTCTTGCATGTACAGGTGAAAGTCCTCATGGTAGAAAGGAGATGTTTTTAATGAGGCAGGTCTGGGACTAAACCTCTCTCTCCTAATCCGCTTCGTGGCCAGCGGACTGGGGATTAAAGGCATTCATGGATGCAACAGTCTTCTGTGATGTGGCAATTATTGTGATGATCGGTTTTTATGTTTGCTCACAGATCCCAACCTCGAAGGAGCTTGGAGGCAGGTCCTGTGTTCCGGGGTGGAGCCAGCCGGGCAGCTCCTGTCCCTAGAACAGAAGAGTGAGCAACAGCAAGAGCTTTTCTTTCTCATTTTGGTCGCAATGGCCCTTGTCTGGGCTGCTGCCTTTGCAATCTGGCTCTCAGAGAGGGACAGGTCACTGACACTGAGGGCAGCCTCCCATCTAGACTGTGAGGAAGAGGGTGAGTGTTAGCAACCATGTCTGAGTCCTGGAGTCAACACACGTGGCCTGCCTGGCATGTTGGGGTCATGGAAAGATAAGGCTGGGAAAAGCTCAGCCAGCAAGAAAGAGTGAGCAAGCCCCGTGCATGCAAAACCCGCGGGAGCCACGCACAGTGTGACCTGGGACTCAACGTGCCTGGGATTTCACTGTGCCTGGGGGCCCGCAGTGCCTGGGATTTCACCATACCTGGGGTCCCGCTATGCCTGGGATTTCTCTGTGCCTGGGGTCCCGCTGTGCCTGGGATTTCACCATACCTGGGGTCCCGCTATGCCTGGGATTTCTCTGTGCCTGGGGGCCTATGGTGCCCGGGATTTCACCATAATTGGGGTCCCGCAGCACCTGGGGTCCCAGCTATGCCTCCAAGATGAACGAACGCCACCCATTGAGGACGTTGCTTGTGAGGGGCCAAGGCTCGAGTGCCTGAGGTTGTGCTGGTTCCAGACGAGGGGAGCTTGCATCGCCCATGCTGGCTGCCCTCCTCCTGGGGCAGGATGTGGCTGTCTACCCATGAACTGGCTGTGCCTGCAGCTGATGTGCGACCTGGCCACTCCACACCCGGCTGACTGAGGCACAGGTCTGGAAGCAGCACAGACACCAGGAGAATGGTGGGGGTCTCTCCCAATGCGGCAGCCCCACAGGGTCCAGGTGAACAGTGGGTGTCCCCCGACAGCCCCGCAGGCCCAGGTGAACAGTGGGTGTCCCCCCACAGCCCCGCAGGCCCAGGTGAATGGTGGGTGTCCCCCACAGTCCCGCAGGGTCCAGGTGAACGGTGGGTGTCCCCCCACAGCCCTGCAGGCCCAGGTGAACGGTGGGTGTCCCCCCACAGCCCCGCAGGGCCCAGGTGAACGGTGGGTGTCCCTCCACAGCCCCACAGGGCCCAGGTGAACAGTGGGTGTCTCCCCCATGCTGCAGCCCCGCAGGGTCCAGGTGAACAGTGGGTGTCTCCCCCATGCTGCAGCCCCGCAGGGTCCAGGTGAATGGTGGGTGTCCCCCCACGCTGCAGCCTCGCAGGGTCCAGGTGAACCGTGGGTGTCCCCCCCCTACGCGGCAGCCCCACAGGGCCCAGGTGAACTGTGGGTGTCCCCCCACACTGCAGCCCCGTCGGGTCCAGGTGAACCGTGGGTGTCCCCCCATGCAGCAGCCCCACAGGGTCCAGGTCTCCCGCTACAGCCACCTCATCAGAGACGACGGTGCCCAGAGCACTACGGGGTACAGACCTCACACTGTTGAAAGTAGGTTTCCTTGGAATTCTGAACCTGCTGAAGTAGCCTTTAGAACTGAAGTTGAGAAAAGTACATTTTCAGTTAAACAAAGGCTGAGAGATTGTGTGGTCCTCACACCCAAACCACAATAAATGCAAACAGGATGAAGAAAAATGATAACAATTGGAAATTCTAGTTCACAAAAAAGATTAAAGAGTGCCAAAAACAATAAATGGTGGAGGGAAAATTACTGTTTTAATGACATCCTCTGGAAATTACAACATATGCAGAAGAAACCTCACTGACAACATGGTACAGAAGCTGAGAGGAGGGTGCAGTAAGGATTTTATATTTGTATAAAATGTTATGATCTTTATTTAATATGAGACTTTAAGTATTTATATTTTAATTTCTAAATGACTCACTGAAAATAAATAAAACAAGAAGTCATAGTTAAAAAAAAACAAGGTACAAAATCCATACTAAAAAGACAACCCAAAAACTCTTATTAAACAAACAAACAGACAAAGCAAAACTACAATAATCCAGAAGACCAGGAAAGCGGAACAGAGGAAATAACAGGTTCAGGTGCTGACTTAAACCCAACCACAGGAATAGCAGATCTGCACTGACTGAACACTGCCAGTGAAAAAGAGACTGTCAATGCAGGTAAAAAGCAAGCCTCGATATGCTTTTACAAAGAAACATTCTTTCAAGATAAAGATACAAATAGATTCAAGCTGAAAAGATGGACAAATGTATACCACAGAAATACTTGTTATCAGGAGGCTGCACAGGTGTATGGATGGCAGATGAGACAGACGACAGGAAGGACCAGCATCGCCAGGGACAGAGAAGGACATTTTATATTAATGAGTCCACTTGCTTAGAAAACCTAATGATCATAAGCATGCATGCACCTGATACAAAATAACAAAATATATGAAGCAAAAATAACCAAATTTAAAGGGTAAATGCTTAAATTCACAATTTGACAATTCTAATACCTATATCTCAAGAATTAATAGAAAAATAACAAGAATAAAATGACAAGATAGAAGAGATTATAACTAGAGCACTGGGAGAAAACCGCAAATCCAATATGCTTAAAATTATTAGTCGATAATTTAAGAATTATTTTAAAATGTAGGACACTAAAGAACGGTAAATAGGCTGGAAAACCTACAAATCAGCATAAGAAGGAAATGGAAAAGGAAATGTCAGTTGAAAATAAGTCTGGAGAAAGGAAAAGAGAATCAAGGATAAAGTTTTGCAAATCCAAAATCCAAAATCACATAATAGAAATAAGTTCAAATGTATCACTTTTTCCTACCAAACACAGAGGAATTAACCTCACATATTAAAATACAAAATTATCAATAGCAAAGCAGCACTTTCAAATTAAGGGCAAAAAAGAATGGAAATGAAACTACTGAGTAAATATTCACAGAAAGCAAGTTGCTGTAGCAAAATTAATAGTTCAAATACAATTTAAGGAAAAAATAATAAACAGCAGGATGGATGCCACAGGTGAGCAGTAGAACCAAGGAGGTGACACAGGGTTAAGTCCAATGCTGACCTCACCTCCAGGACACACATGGAGACTAACGGGAGCAGATCGAGAGAGGAACATTGGGATCGTACTTCTCAATTTAAATGGAAAATAGACAAAAATCTTATGAGTTTATTAAAGGTTTAAAAATCACAACAAATACTGAATATACATTATTTTCTAGTACATGGTAATACTTACCAAATGGGACCATATTAGGTTGTAAAAGAAATTACAAAACAACTGGAGGTGGGAACCGAAGAATTAATAGAAGTAAGAACAAAAACCAAACCCCAAACCCCACATATTTTGGGGAAAATGGCACAGTGATTAAATGGTAAATCACTATAAATGTGAAGGGATTCACCTAGAATAGAGATAAGATGCTAGAGTTCAATCCACAACCAGCGACAGCCTAGCATTCTGAAGGATGGCACAGGAAAGGGTGCAGTCCCAAGGGAGTACAGAGAAGGACATCCTCAGGTCCTGAATGGAGAAGGATGTCCCTCAGGTACTGCAAGGAGAAGGATGCCTCTCAGTCCTGGATGGAGAAGGATGTCCCTCAAGTCCTAGATGGAGAAGGATGAACCCCTCTCCTGGATAGAGAAGGATGAACTCTGAATCATGGATGGAGAAGGATGTCCCCCTGTCCTGGATGCAGAAGGACACACCCCAGTCCTGGATGGAGAAGGAGGCCCCCCAAGTCCTGGATGGAGACAAATGCCCCTCAGTTTCTAGATGGAGACAAATACCTCTGGGGACCTCATGCGGAAGGAGGCCCCTCTCCCATCCTTCACATCCATAGTTGTCCTGACCTGTTAACATAGAACAAAGAGATTTGGAGAAATAAACATCAGGTTAAACTTTACTCCTAATCCTTTCAATCAACATTTTATAAATTCTAGATTTCATTTTATAAAAATGAGTCAAATGTATGACACAAATGCCATATAACAACAGATTAAACCTATTTTTCTAAATCTGAGTCCTGGCTACGGTCTCCATTATTCACTCTACTTTTCTGTATGTCTAAAGCTTTTCAAACTTGAAAATAAAAAAGTTCATTGGAGAAAATGTGACTGTTCAAAAATAAGTTTATTCTATGGGCTCCTTTGGAGGGGTTATGATCTACTAAAATTACTAGTGGATATATATTACAAGCTCAGTGGTGGAAACAGACAATAAGAAAATATTCTATTTTGTTAGAAATTAGTGTTGAGTGAATATTAATCAAAATTTTAAAACCAAAATACATGGATGTAAGAATAGATTATTCCACTTAATTCTCCACTGACTTTAAGTCTAATTGCTAAATTTACCCTTTGCCCATTTCCCCTCCTTCAAATCTCCCAGTAACTCTTCATTTTCCTCTCCTGTCAATATTCTGTTCTCATTTATTTATTTTTTCCTATTTCCTGATTTTTTGAACAACTCTGAGGGACTCATGTTTTGCTTGTATTAGAATGAGTTCATTACATAAACCCCTTAGGCAACAAGACCCTCACCCAGGAGAGCACCTGGAGACTCCAGACCATGGAGCCTCTCCTGGTTTTGACTCAGGCTACCTGACAAGTGTGTTTGAGTTACAAATTGTTTAATTTTTTAGATCCCTTACGGAAAAAGAAGGATTTTAATAACCATTCATTTAAAATGCACATGGACATTTTATAACTGACATTTCTTGCCGTTTCTGCGCTGTGACCTCGTGAGTAACTGCCTCTGAAGAACCTCACGATCCTCATTCTACCCTTGCTCCTCAGGCTCCAAAGGGCAAAGCCGGAAATCTGTGGATATAAAACACGGAAACATTCCGTCTCTGAAAGAAAAGGCTATAAACCAAAGACAGGAACGGGGACAGAACGTCACGCTACTACCTGGTGGCATTTTGTTTGTTTTTCATACCTTGCCACGGATGGAACGTCTAAGCCCAATCCAATGATTTGTCTCCTCAGAGAAGCCCTATGAGATTCCTTTCCTTACAATCCCGACTTTCCCTTTTCAGGTGACAGGAGGCTCTTCTAGGTCAAGGGTTAAGTAACTTCTGCAAGTTTACTTGGCCAGTGAAGGGCGGGGTGGGAGTCAGCCAGAACCTTCCAGAACGTGAACCCCATGCTGCAGGTGCCATGCCGTGCGCTCACCCTTCGCTGGGGTTTATGCATCTGAAATTATGACATGGGAAACGTCCACACCACGCATGTAACACGTGTGCTTTCTGTGCCCTCCAATCTGATAAGAGGTGGGGGAGTTTTTCTTGTTTTACTGATTTAATATGGCAAAGGCCTTTCACTGGAAATGGAAGGAAATGTCCCTCGCCAGTGCAGCCAGGAAGCTGTGAGGACAATGTGGGGGGGGGGGGGCGACAATGACCTAGTAGAAGGGAACGGACAGGAGAGGAGACGCAGCCATAGACAGTGGGGTTGAAGCGGGGACGACGCGGCCATGGAGGGTTGGGGTTGGGGGGCGATGACCCAGGAGAACGGAAGGGACAGGAGAGGAGACGCAGCCACGGACAGTGCGGGGGGGCGACAGATGACCCAGGAGAAGGGAACGCACAGGAGGGGAGACGTCAGCCCAGGCGCCTTGTGATTGAATTTGCATTTTTGGGGAAGCCTCACAGGAAGCTGGAGGAATGTGAGACCAGACTCCGTCTTCAGGAGGCCACCGTGGCATTCGTGGTATCCGTGTGAAGAGCAGACTGAGGGGCGGGACGGGGAGAAGCTGTTTCCGCCAGGAGGAGGGCGCTTCCGGCGGGAGAGGGCGGGTCCTGGAAGATGAGAGGCGGCCCCAGCCGATTGGACCAGGAGGCTGGAGACCCACGAGACGAGGCTCTGGGTGACTGGAGTTAGGCAGAGGAGGCATCGGATCCGGGTTTTGCACAAGGGGGTGGATAAATTGCTGTTTGTCGCGGGTGTATTGGACCTCAGCACCCTGGTGTGTCTGTACGCCTTGTATGCTCTAACCATCAAGTCTGGGAGAATGGACTCCGCCAAGGGCGTTGAAGCTCTCAGATGTTTCCTCAGAGAACGGTGCTGGGAGCCGACTAACCTCCTGCAGGAAACAGCAGAGGCGTCCGGGGCTCCGTGTCCTCAGACAGTGACCGAGAGGATGCAAAAGGGCCATTTTCTGAAAACACAGCCAAGAGCTGCAGTGGGCTCTACGTCCTCCCACGTGACTAGGAAGAAACTGACGCCTTTATGTCTTCAGACGGGGTCCAGGAGGGACCGGGGCTCCATCCCAGGGCAGCCGGGTTCTTGTTTCTCCTGAACGCCAGCTGGTCCCTCTATCTTGAAAACGTTTTGTCACTGAAGTAAGGACAGGGTGTGCTTATCTGCAGCCAAAACAGTCTTCAGTGATGCAAATGTGCAGGTGACAGAATCTCCCTGATGCCATTGCTTTCCGAGCGTGCACCTGGAAACCCGGGCAGGTCGGTCCAAGGCTGTGCAGGGCGTTCTGCCGATCTAACCACCCAGAGCCAAGGTTTGCTCATGTATGAAAGTTAATCCATCTCCACAGCCATCCCCACAGCCATTTACACCAAAACCGTGGGAAAATGGCATACATTTATCCGAGAGTAGAAGCAAGCACTATTGTTTCCTAAAATATTCCGTAAGAATGCCCAGAAATGCAAACACACATGAGGTCCTAGTGCCTGGTGGGAACCTGAGGTCCTCTTTCAGGGAAGTTCCTATGATACTGCTGCGGCTAATAACAAAACATGAGGGAGCAGAGCCTAACTCCTGATCAGGTAATTATGCCAACGAAACAGCAGCGATGAAGCATTTAGGCAAATGAGTCATCTCATATAGCCGAATATCATTGTTCAGTAAATGATTCGCAAGATAGCCACCGTTAACTTTAAAAAAGCCACAATTTATAAATTTGGAAAAGCAGAGAAGACTTTATTTCTTGTAAAGGGTTACAGCCTGCAAGGAGGCCACCCTATGGGCTGGGAAGTCCAGCCTCCTGCCAAGACCAGAGATGGGCACTTCCGGCAGGAGGGGTTGGGGCAGGAGCTTCAGGCTGAACAGTTGGCTAAAGATACCCATTCATCAGGCACAGGAGAGCTGCAGATATTTACAAAGGTGGTGCTGACACGTGTTAAACAGACACGTGTGTAACATACGACTCATGTTCACCTTGGGGTGGAGATGTAATATTTAAATGTATTACCGTCAGGTCCTGTATGTCAAAAGGTGTTTTCAGAATGTGAAGGCAGCCTCTGTAAACCGGTCAGAACCCGTCTGTGGTCCGGGGTCGCTTAGGAGAGAGTTACTGAAATCAGCCTCTTGTGCAATCAGAGCTGTAGTTGTGGCTCACGGAGCAGTGTCTGTGAGCTGGATGAGCTGCGATGGGTTTCATGTTGATTCAAGGCTAGTGCTTGTTCGGCTGCTAGAGAAGAAGAAAAACCTGGTGGCAGTGAGGACAGTCGATTCTTTGCATGCGGGGTGTGTGACTTCACCCTTGCCTGCAATGGCCTTAGGTCCTGTTCATAATTTGGTATCTCATTGCCGCAAAGAGTCTGTTCTGTTCGTTTTTATAATCTCCGTTTTAAAGCTGGTTATTGTTGTGTCTAAACTGTAAACTGGAGGGGTATCTGAGGCCCGTCCAGCCTCCCATCCCATCATGGCCAGGAACTCAGCTGTAAGGTTTTTCTGGGGTTTCTGTGGCCATTCCATCAGTTGTTGGGGGGCGCTTAGGATTTTATTTTTAGTTCATATCACTAAGAGGAGAAACAATTAAAATGCATTAAAATGTTCCATGTCCCTCAGAAAAGCTTTGCATAGTAATTTTTGGTTATTCCACAAATTTATCCAATGGCTCTGCACATGATCATATTTAAACCTTTCTAAGGGAACATACAAAATATAAAATCAAGAGCAATTATATGGTGGAAGTTTCAAGGCGGCACAATGTGCAGGAAAATGAGGCAGTGGAAGGAGAGGAAGGGGACTCATCGTGAACACTGGGTCAAAGGAGGAAAGAGAGAAGTCCATGGAAGAACCTGCCTGTTTCAAGTTTGGGATATTCTGCCTAATCCAGGCTTCTATTTCTTCAAGCTTTTTAGCTGCTTTTAAGTCATAGCCTCTGCTCTGTGGGGTCTGGAGGCTGGCAGAGGCCCAGCAGGAAAGAGCTGCCGGCTAATTCCAATAGCGCTGCTCTTCTGCCAAACGGAGTTGTTTAAATGTTGATTTTGGCAAAATCTGTGAGCAGGTTGCTCTCGCCTCCCCAGATCTCTCAGGATACTTTGTAAATCATCTGTGAGCACACTTTTACTGGTCCTGCAGCAATCTTCCTTACTTATAACCTATCAAAATATTTTAAAGTGACGCAGATCTGGGGCATGTGAGGAGAGTGTGTAGACACGTGCCCCACTGGGATCCACAGTGCCCTGAGACCCTCGTCTCCCCCACAGGCTGTGACAAGAGGGCACTCTGGGTCACCGAGGGGAGGTCGTGGAGGAGCAGAGGCCCTGTGTCGTGAGTGCCTTCTGACCCTGCGCGTGACCCCCTGTTCAAGTCCACAGGCTCTGAGTGCCTTCCAACCCTGCTCATGACCCCCTGTTCAAGTCCACAGGCTCACCATGGCCTGGAAAATGCTGGCACTGCTCATAAGTCCACCTTTGAAAATTGGCTTGAACATGAGAACATGATCATTCCTGTTGTATTCATTGCATGTATTCAACAAGTGTTGTTTCATTGTCCTTGTGTTAGGTGTAGGGTAGATGACAAAAAATCAGAACACAGTCAAGTGGGAAGACAGACCTCGAGTCAGTGAACACGGTGTGCGTGTGTGTGCATGTGTGTGTGTGAGAAACAGAGACAGACTGTGAAAAAGACTGATTTAGAGGAAAGGTTCACTGCGATATTGTGGAACTTTCAGCCTAAAAATATAATTTTCAGAAATAGGACTCCGTAGATTTTCTGTTAATTGAAGCTTTTTTCAAAAATTTGGCTTAAAAAATATCTTCAAGACAGTGTTTTTGGAGGGGAGACTTGACCTCAGTTTTCTAAATAATAGATACTCCCAAGAGTTTAAATTTTAATAGGTGAACTATTATTGGTTCTTTAAATTCAGGTCCTCATAAACAAAGCAGGCACCACCAACACTCACATTAAGCAATAGTCTAAGGAAACAAAGCCATGGGAGCACGGAATGACAGCACAGGAGGCAGTGTCCGGTCTCCACGCCCCGCGGAGCAGGCCCACGTCACCCCCAGGAAGAAGGGCCCGGTCTCCACGCCCCGCGGAGCAGGCCCATGTCACCCCCAGGACACGGTGACAGCCCAGGCGGAGCAGGGAGGGCCCCAGATCAGAACAGGATGAGGACAGTTCTAAAAACTGTGAATTGTAAAAACCGCTCTCTTCCTAGAAGGATGACAGTCTTAAGGCTGCATTCTTCATGATACAAAGCATTTGAATGTTTCCCATGATGGAGAAAAGTGTTGAGTTTTCTTTTTAACTGGTTTTGTGAATGAAAACTTATACGTGGGCAGAGACAAGTCCCACGGGGGCCCGAACACGGTGGGCACGCAGGAAGCTGCCTTAAGGAGCGGGTTTTCCCCTTACCACACACCCAGCCATAGTTTTCTGTGTCCAGTGTCATGAAAATATTTGAACCAGGGACGCAAATGAAGTTCTATTCCTTACCAGATTTTTAAAAGAAGTTATTAAGTTTTTTAAAACCTTACTTGTCAAATGAGAATAAAACCTCTCTCTGTGAAGCACAAATTAAACAATGCAGGAACCAGATGGAAAACAGCTTCTGGTGTCCTGCAGCCGCTCCGCGAACTTCAGTTTCCTTAAAACACTCGGATCTTCGTTAAAATGAAACATTTTATCAGGAACGAATAGAAAAGATGGGCCATTATAATATATATTAAGAACCAGGTGCTGTACCCTCAGGGGGTCTCACACCTTATATACTAGGGGGTCAGGGGCCCAGGTAAATTAACTAACCAAAATCAACAGAATTTGGCACAGGACAAATGGGGTAAAATTCTGGACATACCACCTGCTATGTCTGTAGCCTTGGACCCGTTATTCACCTGTGTAAAAGCCAGATAAGATAGCACATGCCTCAATTCTCCCAGGAACCCTCCCCACCTCCTCCTGGGGGCACAGAATCCTCCCCACCTCCTCCTGGGGGCACAGGGACCCTCCCCACCTCCTCCTGGGGGCACAGGGACCCTCCCCACCTCCTCCTGGGACTACAGAATCCTCCCCACCTCCTCCTGGGTGGACAGGGACCCGCACCACCTCCTTCCGGTGCACAGGGAGCCCCCCCACCACCCGACCTCCTCCTGGGAACACAGCGACCCTCACACCTTCTGCTAGGAGCACAGGCCATCCGTGAGTTTTTGCTGAAGTACACAGAAATGTGTAGTGAATCCTCAACAATTGAAGACATGTTTCATTTCCCACCCTGGGCACCAGCCAGTCCCCCGGAGAAGGTAGGTGTGATCAGAGCAGGGGGGTGGCACAGCTCTCCCCAGACACCGTGGCCAGCAGGACAGATGTGAAGGATGCTGAGGTCTGGCTGGCCCCTGCTTAGGTCCCAGAATGGCCAGAACGCACTGTTCTTTTCTGAAAAATCAGACATAACCCAGGGGAATTGACATCAGATAAGCCAAGTGTCCCCAGCAAGGAAAAGTGTCCTTTCGTGTGGGCAGCCCTCCCTCAGCCCTGCCCATACCATGCAGCGCCACTGAGGGCTCCAACAGCGTGCCCTGCATGTAAGGGGACCTGACTCAGAAAAGAAAGCGCAGGCTTTTATGCACCACGTGCCACGCACAGGAAAAATCAACATTAGTTCTGTTTTTCAAATGAGAAAGCTAAATACAGAACGACAACATTAGTTCTGTTTTTCAAATGAGAAAGCTGCATGCAGAACGAGTCGTGCTTCCTGAAGCCACAGTCGTAGCCGTTTGTGGGAACCTGGAGGTTGGATTCTGGAGGGACGTCCCTGTGAGTCGAGTGCGCAGGTTCCCAGGAGCTTTGCTGTCTCCTCGCCATTGCTGCAAGGATGGGGTGCTGGGGACATGCATTCTAGAAGCCTGCTCTGCTGTGATCACAGCCCAGGGGTGGAAAATGGGAGAGCCAGAGCCTCACATGGACAGCAGGACTTTCCCTGATGGAGAAGCAAGTTACACACTACCATCTGGGGTACAATCAGAAACTTTCATGGGGATTAAGTTTTTGAAACAAGACCTGTGTGACATGTAGCTGCATTCTCATATCCTGAAGCATTTGATGGAAATGCCTAATATATTGACGTAGAAATGGGATCCTGCCAACACTCAGCCATCCATGTGCAGAAGAGCAGGCTCGGTCCAAGCCCATGGCCACCAGGCCTCCTCTATACAGCTCTGAAAGAGGAATGCATATCGTTTTGGCAGCAACACCTAATCAGGTTCAATTAGGCTATTTTTAAATGGATTTCCCTTAGTGTGGAAGAGCTGGTCAGTGTGCGGCGGTGGGTGGGGCAGGGCTGGCTAGGAGGTGAAGGAAGCCGTAGTTTTAGTATAAATTGGCTTCAGAGACTCCTTGATACATACGATGTGCATGGGAAGGCCTGGGGATGTTCTGCTTTTAGACACACTTTCTGTCTCTGGCATCAGCTCACAGATGTGCAGACATTTCTCTGTTTTGTGGGGCGGCCAGAGTGGAACAGGCAGGGAAGGGGTTGCTGGAAGACCTTTTCTCATTTGACAAAGTTTCAGTGAGTTGAGAAACTGATGTTAGTTATTGAGTACTGTATTTGCAAGTGTCTGAGCGTCATCACTGAACAAAACCAGCCCAAGTGCATGTCCCTGCGGAGCTCACAGTCTGTGGGCCGAGTGCAAAACACCAACAGGTATTTGTGAGTAAATTGTGTGATGTCAGAAGATGGCAGGGGCCATAGTTTTTGTCTTTTGTTTTCAAGGCCGTGGTGCCTGTGGCTGTGCAGGCGGCATCCTCAGAGCAGCCTGTGGATACCCTGGTGTCCGGCAGGAGGCCCGCGGGAGGCGCTGGGACAGCAGCATTCACACAAAGGGACCAACAGGCAGGGGCTCTGACAGGGACGTCTGCCCTGTGGTGAAAGAACAGGGAAGAGCCCATGGGCTGAGGACACAGGAAAGTGGGGGCAGTGGTGGGAAAGGTCGATGGGCACGACCTCGTGAGGGCTTCACAGGACCCAGGAGAGCGTCCCGGAGGATCAGGAAGACTCGCAGGGTTTTAAGCAGGAAAGTGACAGATCTGACACCTTTTTAAGTGGATTCTCAGGCTTCTGGGTTGAGAAGGGCTGGGCTGGGAAGGTGGCACCTGCCCGAGTCAAGAGGGGCGTCCGCATGGTTCAGGCAGATCGGGCAGCAGCAGTCATGGGAGCTGCTTTCTGTGTGTGCTGGGAGTGGGCCATTAGGATTTTCTGAGGAATTACACTGGGGTATGAAAGAAAGAAAGAGATGGGTGATTAACTCAAAGCACTTGCATAAGCAGCTGAGGGAGGTGTTTCAGCACCCGGGGTGGGGACTCACAGTGCGGATGATACTAACGTCCTGGAGTGAGAGCCCCAAGGCACGGGATGCGAGTACCTCTGTGTCCCACCTCCTTCACTGCAGCCTCTGTCCTGAGACGTGTTCTGGTCTGTGGATGGTGACCGAGAGGAAATAGCTCACATCACCTCCAGGTAGGAGCAGATGGAAGCACCTTTCCTGTTTCATCCTTCCCCATGCAGGGACCTCAGAAGCCTCACCAATGGCTGTGCAGCAGTCAGACCCTGAGTGACTGCACAGAGCAGAGCTCTCTGCTGACAGCTGCGCAGCTTCCGTGAATGAGAAATGAGCCTTCACTGCCTGCAGTCACCAAGGCCTGGAGGCCTCTCTGTTGAAGAAGCAAGCAGACAGGTGGAGAAGGCTGTGGGTGGAGAAGTTGGAAGCTCAGTTCTGAGCCTTTTGAGCTCTCTATTAGACGACCAAGTGCAGACATCAAGCAGGAACTTGATACATGAGTGAGCAGTCTGCAAGTGCGTGAACTTTATGTGATGGAAAATGATAACCCTCCCCCAAAAATACAACTCAGTAGATAAATTGAACTATTTTGAGTTTAAGAAGCTCACTTTCTAAAGAGCAAGCCATACAATAAAATTAATGTGAAGAAAAACTATGCAAATTAACATGATGCCATCATTTGTAATGTTATGTGACTAAACCTTTCGATCTCAATGATAGTTTGTAATACATTGGTTAGTTCAGAAAAGTGCTAAGGCACGGCGAAGCTGCTGAGGCATCCCAGAATCCTGCTCTGTACACTGTCATAAAAATGATAATATTAAAAGCCACGATCTTTAAAATGAAGATGACCCCATGATATTTGGGCATCGGAATTCCCCAAGCTCTTACAATTCTTTAATTTCAACTTTGAATGGTGTTTCATTTTCAGCAACCACCTGCATAAATAATTCATTCTCTTTAAAGATGCTGGGAACTAAGCAACTGGGATAATTGACAATTTTGAAAGGAAGAAGATGAATGTGCATGTTATGGAAAGGTCGTGTTTCCTATAAGGTTTTTCTCTCTGAGGATTTGTGTGGTGCTGAATGAAAAAATATTAAATCAACTAAAATATTTTTCTTGAAAATCTCGTAAAATTACAAAATAAAGTTTCT
This sequence comes from Homo sapiens, assembly GCF_000001405.40. Lineage (NCBI taxonomy): Eukaryota > Metazoa > Chordata > Mammalia > Primates > Hominidae > Homo > Homo sapiens. The sequence continues at coordinate 550,248 of NC_000002.12, read as the reverse complement.
TTTGTGTGAAGTTAAATAGAAATGAAAATTATAAGTGGAATATTTAGAATATATAATGCATCCTCTGTGTAGATAATTTTAATCTAGTCCGGTCTTTTAAAGTCAACATAGTTTTTTTGTTTCATATTAATTAAATATAGATGTGATTTGTCAAATTGAAAGTTTCAAAATTTTTTAGAAAGAGACTGTACGCTGCTATACATAGTAAGTACAAGGATGGTAAGTTAGCCTTAGGGGTGTTGGCTGTTGACTGGTGATATTAAATACAACTGATTTCCCCTTTGTCATACTGGAGCCTTGTTCCATTTACAAAGAGATAACAGTGTAAGTCCAGCAAACCAGCTACTTACTTTTAAATGAAATTTTCAGCATTTACTGAGGCCTCAGGTACCAGACATGCATGACCAGCTGCAGGTACTAAAAGGTGAACAACTTGGTCACCCTTCTTGACTTGCTACTACAATGATAAATTATTTAAAACATGAAAAATAACTATTGTTCATTGAAAAATTAAATATAAATATATTAAATATAAAATAATTAAATATAAAATCAGGCAAGGATTTATAACTTAATTAAAGAAGTAGCCAGGTCCTAGCTCTACATATGGAAAAGTCCCATTGCTAGGCTGACTCTATGATTGCTAAAGCATATGGCACCCTTTTTTAGCCAACAACGAGAAATGCATGCTTCCTGAGCCACTTGCAAGGTTGATGGTCTTGAAGAAATATTATTTATGTCTTGGTGAAAGATCAGTGGAGACAGTGGCATTTTAGCTAGGGCCTTAGGGATGGGCTAGTCATTTCTTTCTCTAGTTTCTTTGAGTTCAATCTGATACCAATGTAAATCATCAGAAAAAAAAATTTGGCAGCACCACTGTGGCTCCCTGTAGAAATGCTGTCACTGAACAGTGCTTCCACGTGTGCCTTTATTTACTTTTATAATTACAGCACTATTCATGATCACACCCACCTAAGAAACTAGCACTGATTGAATAATACCATCTAGGATACAGCCTCTACTTACATTTCTGTAATTGCCCTGGAGAGAGTTTTCTTACTGTTTTTGAACCCAAGTTCATGTATTGTATCTGAAAGGTTTGTCTCCATCCTGTTTTTTTTTTAAGAATTGACTTTTTTAAGCAGGGTTTTAGATTCAGAGCAAAATTGAGAGGAAGGAACAGAGGTTTCCCACATATCCCCTGCACACACAGCCTGGCAGGTAGCAGCCTGCTACCACCATCCCTGCTGAAACAAAGCAGTGGTTACAGTGGATGAGCCTCCAAGGGCACACACTGTGACATCACAGGGTGTCCACAGCTTCTGTTGGGGTTCACTCTTGGTGTTTGGGCAGATGAAGAAGGGTGGAGACCGTAGGAATTTGAGGGAGCCCCTGGGGGTCCTGCAGGGAGCCTGTATTGTGCACAGACCTCCAAATTCTACAGAAGAGGAGGCACTTTGAATGCATGTTCCTGAGAAATGATCTGACTACATGCACGTTTAGAAGGACGGCCAAGGAAAGGGGAGACGTGCATTTAGCTGGGCGTCGGAAGGATCCAGAGGACACAGAATAAAGCAACAGCTTAACGGCGTTTACTTCGACCCCATGCCCAGCATTGCGTGACTGCCTTTCCAATGACAACAGCCTCTTTCTCCATCTTCAGTTATTTTTAACTATATACATATAGAAAATAATATATTTACATATATGCTACATGTGTATATATACTTAAAATAATATATTATTATTCAATGTAATATGCATTTTAAATATGAGGTTGGTTCAAAAGTAATAGCAGCTTTTGCCACTAAAAGTAATGACAAAAACCACAAGAACATCAACCTGTGTTCTATATATTTCTACATATGTGTTATATAGGTTTTAAATATAAACCTCCTCCAATACTGTTTTGGAAATAGGTTTGATGCAGTTAATACATTTCTGCATGAATAGCTTATTCTTTTTTCCGTACCAGCACAGTAGTTTCCTAGAACAATCTCTTGGAGGGGCGCTGTGCTCAGGAGGGGGTTCTCTGAAGACAAGGAAGGATGTTGGCCTCTGAGGATGCAGGTGCCACACAGTGTCCACACATCACTACAGAAATGGACACCAATGCTGCTTTGAACAGGACCCATTTCAGAGCCCATGTTGATTAGGAGAATCTAATTTACATGACTTCTGAGGCTCTAGAATTTCTCTGTAACACCACCAGGCTCAGTTGTGTTGAGTTGAGCCAAGCAGTAACTGGACAAAAATACTGTCCTGGCCTCTGGGGATGAAAGCAGATGCTGTGCCTGCGGGTCACTCTATGTTTAGTGAGACAGTCTCCTCATGAAGGTGTCTCCCTGTGCCCAGCTGTCCCTCCTTGGGTAGTGAAACACTCTCCTCGTGAAGGTGTCTCCCTGTGCCCGGCTGTTCCTCCCTGTGTAGTGAAACACTCTCCTCGTGAAGGTATCTCCCTGTGCCCAGCTGTTCCTCCCTGGGTAGTGGGACACTCTCCTCGTGAAGGTGTCTCCCCATATCTGGCTGTCCCTCCCTGTGTAGTGGGACACTCTCCCTGTGCAGGTGTCTCTCCATATCTGGCTGCCCCTCCCTGTGTAGCATGACACTCTCCCTGTGCAGGGTCTCCCCGTATCTGGCTGTCCCTCCTTGGGTAGCAGGACACTTTCCCTGTGCAGGTGTCTCCCCATATCTGGCTGCCCCTCCCTGTGTAGCGTGACACTCTCCCTGTGCAGGTGTCTCCCCATATCTGGCTGTCCCTCCCTGTGTAGCGGGACACTCTCCCTGTGCAGGTGTCTCTCCCTATCTGGCTGTCCCTCCCTGTGTAGCGGGACACTCTCCCTGTGCAGGTGTCTCCCCATATCTGGCTGTCCCTCCCTGTGTAGCGGGACACTCTCCCTGTGCAGGTGTCTCCCCGTATCTGGCTGTCCCTCCCTGTGTAGCGGGACACTCTCCCTGTGCAGGTGTCTCCCCGTATCTGGCTGTCCCTCCCTGTGTAGCGGGACACTCTCCCTGTGCAGGTGTCTCCCATTCTGCTTTCATGCCTTTCTCACATCTCAGCTCTGGGGAGGAGCCCTTGGGTCGGGCGTTCTTCAGAGCTGAGTCTTCAGAGCTGAGTGCCGCAGTGGAGCTCAGTCCTGTTGAGCAGCCGCTGCTTACGGCACAAACACACTCATACCCTTTAAATTGTTCTCTCCAAAGAGCCATTTCTGCTTTCAAAAATAGGACCACGGCGGATATTAGTTTCCAGAAAATGCTTTTTGGGACATCTTCCCGGCACAGAGCACCACCCTGTTGTATTCTCCGGAGACTTTTCCAGCTACTGGATGCTTCCAGGAATGTTGGCTGGCTGCATAACAGTATGGGTGTCAAATGCATTGCCACGACGTGCAGTAGGACCAAGCAAAGCAACTGACTCGAATTTCATAGCCTCATGCCCAGCTCCGCAGCAAGTCCCAGTGCCTTCCCTATCCACATGGAAATCACTGACATTAGTGTCAGATGTGAGTGATAAATAACAAGATAAGACAGCTGTCTTTAGAAGGCACCTATTAAAATAAAAAACTCACCTTATTCAGTTAGCACCTCTGTAGGACTTTATTTTTCAAACCAGCTTTTGATATGGCTTGAAGCAAAGTACCCTGAACATCTGAGGCAGCACAAAGTTAGAGCCCAGAGAGGGGTGTGAGGAACTTGGCATGAGCTGCGGCTCCAAGAAGCAGTGACAAGAATGTGGCCCTCTGGGCTGGCTGGGCTCCGCATCAGGAACTTGGCAAGCACATGCTCACAGCACCTGCCACGGGCCCGTCCCTGCCATGGGCACAGCAAGGGAAATGTCACTGCTTCTGCCGTAAAGAGTGTGCGGGCAGGCAGCCCCCCCAACCCACAGCCGCCCGCCATGTGGCCTCTCAGTCGCTGGTGCTCCCTGGAGTTCGGTGGGAGGCTCCACTTCCTGCCATGGCCTCTCCTGCCGGCTGGTGTCACTCAGCTCCACAATCCTCAGTGTCATCTGTAGACAAATGACCCCAAGCTTTCATCTTTGCTCTGGAGGCCTCTCCTGAGCTCCACACTTGTGATACTTCACGTTCCAGCTCAGATGTCTCACAATGTCTGGACAAGAGGTAGCAGGCACCTTTGATGCCTGGGAGAACCCACCAGCACCTGTGGCCGGCCCCCCGCATCCAGGACACCACACCCACCCGCGGCTCTCACCAGGAGCCTGGAGGTCCAGCTTCACTCCTGCCGTGGAGGCTGTAGCACATCTGAAATCTCTTCCAACTGGACTTTCTAGTTTGCTGTGTTTTCCTACAGGCCCTGGCGGTTGTTTCCCCGGGGGAAACAGTGAACTGAGGAGACTGAGGGCGGCGTGTGGGTCTCACGTCCTAGACGATGTGCTGGGGCCTTGTGAACACCAAGACACTGAATCCTTCAGGCAGCTCATTGGGTGTTACTCTTGTTCCACACATGAGGAACTTGTCAGAGAACTTTACTTACCACAATGATACAGATAACGGTTATGGAGTGTTAGCTCCTGTTCTAGGAATAGAGAATCTGTCGGTAAACAGCAGAAGGCAATTATTCAAAGGATCACGCGGACTGGATCGTAGGAGGAGCTCTAAGGGTAACTGACCTTGGGTTCTCTCCAGCACGCAGCATCACAGGAGACACCTGCAGGGAATAAGGAAGCCTCAGCCCCAGCTCACTGACTCCGTGTGCTCCACGGCAGCAGCGATGCTTCTCAAACGTCTGTGGGCATCAGGAGAAAGGCAGATCAGGGTTGTGACACAGCCCACAGTCGCCTCCTCACCACGGTGGAAGGATGCCTGCGTTTGTGATTGCACGCTTGATCAACACGGTTCTCCAGAAAGAGGCTGAGGTGAGCCTTCCAAAATCTTTTCTGCAGTCAATTTCCATCTCTGTGTAGGTCTGTAAAATCATCCCTCAATGAATTGCCTACTGTTTTTCCAGTTCGGTAAGTGGGCGGTTGACATGAAGCAACACCCCTGCTTTATCAATCACCTGGATTCCATTCAAATTCCAAACCTCTTCTGGCTTTGTATGTTTCATTCCCTGTTACTTCTTTCCATTAAAAAAAAATCAGAATGTTACCTTGACTCATGGTGAAAATGTTTTATGATGGGACAAAACCTTTAGTTGAAAATAAAATTGTTCATTTATGCAGGGATGCTATGCCCTGAAACAATAAGCTGAAGAATTGGAGAGAAAAGCCTCCTTCGAAAACTGCCCCCAGCTTTGACTGAGGTCACAGGATCTCCTGGAACATGCAGTGAGGGTGAGAACAGGGGCCAGGGGAGATTCTCCGTGCTTCTTCAGCGCCCGCTGTGGAAGGCAGACAGGAACAGGCCGTGCTAGGAGGAAAGCAGAGTGGGGGACTAGCCCTGGACTCCAGCTGCAGGGCCAGGAGGGGCCTCAGGAGGGGCCTCAGGAGGAGGAGATGGCGTTTAAATTAGAACATGATGAGCATGCATCGAGAATTGAACAGCAAAGAAGCTTGCAGGTTATTGTAGCCTGAAGAGTCACAGGTGGGTCACAGGCTGAATTAAATAACGGGTTTCCACTACAGTGTTGTTACTTCAGCAAAGTAAGAGGAAACACTAATACCTGCTGAAGGTGATGTCTTAAACCGAAGGGCAGGGGAGGTTAAACAGATCGCTGTGATTGGTCAAAAATACAATGTCAAAATAAGGAGTTATTGCTGCTTAACTCAAAGAAATGCCAGGATGACTTAGCATTAGAGTGGGGCTTGGGGAACAGGAACAGGCAGTGACGAAGGTTAGTGTGAACAAGGATTAGGTGAGGAATAAGCCACTGATCTTCTCACTTAATAAATATTTACCCGATGTAGTCCCCCAAATTATATCCATGGAGTATGTAGTAAAAGCGTTATTTGAGGTCAGTTCATGGATTCCTAAATAACTAATATTGGGAATATTAACTCCATTTAAAAAAGTCAGATCCCAAGACACATAATACACTACTCAGATAGAAATCTGCATGTGATAAAAAGCAATGTAAATAGAACTAAATATTTGAAAAAATATATAATCTTACACTTTCCATAAGCTGCAAGGAAAAAAATAAATAAATATTTTTTCACAATAGCTAAAAGATTTTGTAGGGCCAAAGAACAATAAACAAGATTAACAGCAAGTAACAAACCAAGATAAAACATATGCAGCCTATGTAACTGCACGCCTTAGCCTCCGTGCCTCCAGCCTCCCACCTTCAAGCCTTCCTGCCTCCCACCCTCCTGCCTCCCTGCCTCCCTGCCTCCAGCCTCCCACCCTCCAGCCTCCCTGCCTCCCATCATCCTGCCTCCCTGCCTCCCACCTTCCCGCCTCCTTGCCTCCCACCTTCCCGCCTCCCTGCCTCCCACTTTCCCACCTCTGTGACTCCCACCCTCCAGCCTGCCTGTCTCCCACCCTCCCCCCTCCCTGCCTCCCACCCTCCAGCCTCCCACCTTCCTGCCTCCCTGCCTCCCACCCTCCAGCCTCCCTGCCTCCCACTTTCCCACCTCTGTGACTCCCACCCTCCAACCTGCCTGCCTCCCACCCTCCCCCCTCCCTGCCTCCTACCCTCCAGCCTGTGGGCAGGCGGCCTCTCCTCTACACAGCCTCGCAGGAAGAGAAAAGAGGAGACAATACCTGATAATACTTGGAAGGTGATATTAGGTAAATAAGGGAAAATACATAAATTCACAATTCAAAAAAGCAGAGTGCTCAATAAGCACGAGATGATGTTCAGTCTCATAAAATATAAGAAACTAAACATAAAACCAATAATATCATGCCATCTTTTCTCTCCTAGGATTGGAAAATATTTTTTTAAGTGACAGTTACTTGAGCTGGTTGAGATGCGCACTGTTGGCACCAACATGGACAGACGACCGTTTGACAGTATCCGTGAAAGTAAAAAGGCATGTTTGTAACTGGACAAAAAATGCTCTATTTTAGAAATCTCTTCCTCAGAACCTGCTCTTACTGGACAAATCTGTACATTTATGACTCTTCACCTTATTATTTATCTTTTAAAAGTTTTGGCTCAGCCATATATACACAAGCTTAAAACGAAAAACAATGTATAATGTGCGCAGAAGAGACAGTTGCTTCGTTACCCCTATAATGGCTCATCTCTGCCAAGACCAAGATAACTCCTTTATTAGTTTTTGCAGAGTTTTTACACAACTACAGCAAATGAAAATATATAGTTAAAGGGTGGTTTAGAAATTGCAGACCGATGCTTCTGTAAAAAAACAAACCTGTGAAGTAAAGCACAGCATTCATTTGCAGTCCTCTAAGTGAAGCCTGATGGTCAAATGCCCCATCCTGAAGGTATTTGGTTAATCTCCCCGCAGGCCGCCCGCCCCAGTCCCAAAGGATGGTCGTCATTCATTCTAAATACAGGTTTGATCGTTTGCTTCTGTTTGCATCCCATTTGGGCATTTCCACCCACCTGCGTTGATTCTTTTACATAGTTCTAAAACAACAATACAAATGGTCTATTCAATGAAGTGATATATTTGTGGTATAGGTATGTGAAATTTAATGTGGTTCTCAAAGCACAAAAAACTCTACTGAGAAGCGTTCTGCAACCAAATTTTCCATTCCATTCCCAGCCCCATCCATGACAAGCTTGGCCTTCTGCCCTCTGTGTTTGTGTTCTACAGTTAAGCAGATACATGTATCTTATTTTCAATATTTTACACACATTGTGCCGTACTTTAGACATATTTTATACTATTTCCCACGTAGTAATATATCCTGGAAATCAGTTTTAGGCACTTCCTGTGGCCCTTTCTCTCCTCTTTATTTTACAGCTCTTTTCTATTCCACTGTGCAGATGCCACACAATTTCCTCACCCACTCTCCAAGGCATGGACGTTTAGGTCATTTTCAATAGTTTTCCATTTCAGTGAGGCAGCCAATAACCACGTGTTTGTGTTTTATATTTTCGCAGGTGTATCTTCAGAAAGAATTCCTATTGTTGCAGGTGTATCTTCAGAAAGAATTACTAGGTGAGGGATTGCTCATTCAAAACATACATGCATACTTTGACAGATATTGCCAAATGTTCATTCAAAGGGTTTTCCTAGTTTACATTCCCACTTGCAACCTATCACAGCATTTATTTCCCCACAGCCTCACCAGCACTGTGTGTTGTCACCATTTTTCCCAAATTAATTAGATAAGAAATGGTATCTCAGTGTAACTTCGATTTGCATTTCTCAAATTATGAGTGACCTTTGACTATCTTTTTATATATTTAAGGGACATCCCACCCCTTTGTTTTGAGATGGAGTCTTGCTCTGTCACCCAAGATGGAGTGCAATGGCACCATCTCAGCTCACTGCAACCTCTGCCTCCCAGGTTCAAGTGATTCTCCTGCGTCAGCCTCCTGAGTAGCTTGGATTACAGGTGCCCACCACCATGCCCGGCTAATTTTTGTATTTTTGGTAGAGACAGGGTTTCACCATGTTGGTCAGGCTGGTCTCGAACTCCTGACCTCGTGATCCCCCCACCTTGGCCTCCCAAAGTGCAGGGATTACAGGTGTGAGCCACCACGCCCAGCCCATCCCCCTTTTTAATAGCACCTTTGTTAAGACATAATTTACATATCATACAATTCGCCCTTTTTATTGTTTGCGTATTTATTTTCTTTCCAACTTTAATTTTAGGTTTGGGTGTACATGTGCAGTTTTGTTACATGGGTAAATTGCACATCACAGAGGTTTGGTGTATAGATGGTGTACAGATTATTTCGTGACTCGGGACATAAGCATAGCACCTGACAGGTTGTTTTTTAATCCTTGCCCTCCTCCCACCCTCCTCCTTCAAGTAGGACCCAGTGTCCTTCTTCATGTCCATGTGTTTTCAATATTTAGCTCTTAGTTATAAGTGAGAAGATGCAGTGTTTGGTTTTCTGTTTCTGTGTAAATTCGGTTAGAATAATGGCCTCCAGCTGCATCCATGTTGCTGCAAAAAAACATGATTTCATTCTTTTTTATGGCTGTGTGGTCTTCCGTGGTATATATGTTCCACATTTTCTTTAACCAGTCCGCTAATGATGAGCATTTGGGTTGATTTCATGTCTTCACTATTCTGAATAGTCTGCAGTGAACATACACATGCAGGGATCTTTATGTTAGAATGATTTCTATTCCTTTGAGTTTATCCCCAGTAATGGGATTGCTATGGTAGTTCTAAGTTCTTTGAGAAAACTACAAACTGATTTGCACAGTGGCTGAACAAGCTTACATTCCCACTAGCATTGCATAATAATTCCCTTTTCTCTGCAGCTTCACCAGCATCTATTATTTTTTGACTTTTTATTAATAGCTATTCTGACTGGTGTGAGATGATATCTCACTATAGTTTTGATTTGTATTTCTCTAATTATTATTGATGTCGAACATTTTTTCATATGTTTGTTGGCCATGTTTATGTCTTCTTTTTAGAAGTGTGTGTTCATGTCTTTTGTCTATTTATTAAAGGGGTTGTTTTTTGCTTATTAAGTTTCTTATAGATGCTAGGTATTAGACCATTGTCAGATGCATACTTTGCAAACATTTTCTCCCATTCCACAGGTTGTCTGTTAACTCTGTTGATAGTTTCTTCTGCTGTGCAGAAGTTCTAGTTTAATTAGGTCTCATTTGTCTATTTTTGGTATTGTTGCAATTGCTTTTGGTGACTTTGTCATGAAATCGTTGCCAAGGCTTACGTCCAGAATGGTATTTTCTAGGTTTTCTTCCAGGGTTTTTATAGTTTTAGATTTTATATTTAATTCTTTAATCAATCTGGAGTTGATTTTTGTATATGGTGAAAGGAAGAGGTCCAGTTTCAATTTTCGGCATATGGCTAGCTGGTTATCCCAGCACCATTTATTGAATAAAGAGTTATTTCCCCCTTGCTTGTATTTCTTTTCTTTTCTTTTCTTTCTTTCTTTTTTTTTTTGAATTTTGTTAAATATCAGATAGTTGTAGGTGTGCAGCTTTATTTCTGGGTTTTCAAACCTGTTCCATTGGTCTATGTGTCTCACTATGCTGTTTTGGTTACTGTAGCCTTGTAGTATAGTTTAGAGTCAGGTAACGTGATGCCATTGGCTTTGCTCTTTTTGCTTAGGACTGCTTTGGCTATTTGGGCTTTTTTTTTTATTCCACATGAACTTTAGAATTCTTTTTTCCAATTCTTTGAAAAATGTCATTAGTAGTTTGATAGGAGTAGCATTAAACCTGTAAATCACTTTGGGCAGTGTGGCCATTTTAACAATATTAATTCTTGCTATCCATGAGCATGGTATGTTTTTCCATTTGTGTTGTCTCTGTTTTCTTTCAGCAGTGTTTTGTAATTCTCATTGTAGAGATTTTTCACCTGCCCCTTCTTTCTAGCTGCTTCTAATGTGTTTTCTTTCATGCTGACCTTAGAGAATCTGATGACCCTGGGTCTTGGGGTTGGTTGTCTTTTATGGTATCTCACAGGGGTCCTCTACATTTCTTGAATGTCAACCTCTCTAGTGAGGTTGGGGAAATTTTCATGGATAATATCCTCAAATATGTTTTCCAAGTTGCTTGCTTTCTCTCTGTCTCTTTTGGGGATGCCAGTGAGTCACAGCATTGGTCCTTTTACATAATCCCATATTTCTCAGAGATTTTGTTCATTCTTTTTAAATTTCTTTTTTAAACTTTTGTCTGAGTTGATTTGAAAAACTGGTCTTTGAGCACTGAGATTCTTTTCTCAGCTTGATCTATTATGCTATTAACACTTCTGCTTGTGTTATGAAACTTTGGTAGTGAGCTTTCTAGCTCTGTCTAAATGTAGTTCTTTCTTAAAATGGCTATTTTGTCTTTTAGCTCTTGTATTATTTTCTTGGATTACTTACATTTCTTGGATTGGGTTTTGACTTTCTCCTGCATCTCCATGATTTCTGTTTCTATCCATATTCTGAATTACATATCTGTCATTTCAGCTGTTTCAACCTGATTAAGAACCATTGCTGGAAAGCCAATCCAGTCATTTGGAGGTGAGTAGACACTGGGTTTTAGAGTTACCAGAGTTCTTGTGCTGATTCTTTCTCATCTGTGTGGGCTGATGTTCCTTTCATCTTGGAAGTTGCTGTCCTTTAGTTGGGGTTTATTGCTTTTATCTTCTTTGATGCTCTTGAGGGTTTGACTGTAGTGTAAATTGTGTTCAGTCAACTGGCTTTATTTCTGGAAGATTTCAGGGAGCCAAGGCTCAGCTCAGCACTCCTGGGCTGCATGATCTCACCCTGGGGTCTGGTACCAGGACCACAGCTTTGTTCTCTGGCCACCTGAGGTTAAGCAACTGCTGTGCTGGAGGGGCTGAGCTGTTCCCAGTCTGTTGGCAACAATACTCCAAAGGGGGGTGCCAACCAAAGCATTTCATTGAGGCAGTGGCAGTGGGGTCTACACTTGCGTGTGTACGCCAGAGGCAGCAGCACCCTACTGTTTTAAAATGTGAAGTTAGAGGTTGGTTTCTGTGTGTGTGTTTGTTTAGTATGTTCAGAGTTGTGCAACCTTCACCAGTAACAACCTTTTAATCACCTAATGAACATGCACTGCTCATTTCTCCCTCAGTCAAGACACTGCCACAAGCAATGCACTTTCTATCTCTGTAGATTTGCCTGTTTAGGATGTTTTATACAAAGGGAATCACACAATCATTTGTGACTGGCTTTTTTCACTCAGCATATTGTTTTCAAGGTTCCTCTGTGTGGTAGCAGGAATAAGCCCTTTATTCCTGTCTATTTCAGAACAGTATCTCATGTGACTACAACATATTATATTTATCCATTTATTATCTGATGAACATTTGGTTTGTTTTTGCCTTTTGGATTTGTTCAATAAGACTTATATGTTTTTGTAAACATATGTTTTCAATTCTCTTGAATATATACCTAGAAGCGGAATTACTGGATTGTATTGTAACTCTATGTTTGTCATTTTAAGAAAATGTCAAAGCGAACTATTTTCCAAAATGGTCGCACACTTCTTGAGCACCAATTAACCACATATGTAAGGGATTATTTCAGAAATCTACATGTCCAGTGATTTATGTGTCTCTTTTGCCATTTCCATCCTGTCATGATAACTGAAGCTTTGTAGTAAATTTTGAAATCAAAAAGTATGAATCTGTCAAATGTATTTTTTTAGTATTGTTTTGGATATTCTGGATTCTTTGCATTTTCCTATAAATTTTAGAATTATAGCACAGTTAGTTAAAAGCCAGTTAGAATTTTGACAGCAATTACATTAAATTTGTAGATCAACTTACAGAATATTACCACATTAACAAGGTTAAGTCTTGCAATCAGTAGCATAGGGTGTCTTCCATGTATTTGATCCTCTGTAATTTCCTTTTACAATGTTTTATAGTTTTTTACTATACAAGTCTTACACTTATTTATGTTAAATTTAAACATAAATATTTTATTGTCTTTATACTATTTTTAAAGATTTCTAAATTTTATTTTGAAATTATTTTATTTCTAGTGTACAAAAGTGTAATTAATTTTTGCATATTGATCTTGTATCCTGGCACTCAGTTTTTTAAGTTCCTTTTTTTATGATTTTTCAAAAAAAAATTTTATGTACAAGACCATGTAATCTGCAAATAGATATAGTTTTATTTATTCCTTTCCAACCTTGATTAGTGTATTATCATAAAATGGTGTTGGATTTTGTTAAAAGATTATTTTACATCAATTAAAATGATCATGTGTATTTTGGCCTTTCTTCAATCAATATGGCGTGTTACTCTTAGCTTTTGTGTATTTGATAACAGTCATCCTTACAGGTGTGAGACAGTATCTCATGTGGTTTTAATTTGTATTTCCCTTATGATTCATGATGTTGAGCACCTTTTCATGTACCTCAAGGCCATTTTTATGTCTTCTTTGGAAAATTGTCTGTTCAGGTTCTTCACCCATTTTTTGAGTTGTTTTGTGACAAATTGTTGTTGTTTTCCTGCTATTGAGTTGTAGGAGTTCTTTATAAATTTTGAATAGTAACCCCTTATCAGGTACATGGTTTGCAATTATTTTTTTCCATAAGGTGACTTTAAATTTTATTGATTGTTTCCTTTGCTGTACAGAAGCTTTTTGATTCAATGTAGTGTTATTTATTTATTTTTGGTTTTATAGTATAAGTGTTTGATATAATATTTAAGAAAATATATTGCCAAGGCCAATGCCAAGAAATTTTTTTCTTCTCCTTTCTATACTAGAAGTTATGGTTTCAGGTCTTCCATTTAGGTCTTCCATTCATTTTGAATTAACTTTTGTATATGGTGTGAAATATGCATTCAATTTTATTCTGTTTCATGTGGAAATCCAGTTTCCCCAGCACCGTTTATTGAAGAGACTCTTTCCCATTGTGCCCTCTTGGAGCCTGTATTAGTTATGGCTTTCTAGAGGGACAGAACTAATGGAATATATATAAAGGGGAGGTTATTAAGTATTAACTCATATGATCACAGGGTCCCACAATAGGCTGTCTGCAGGCCAAGGAGCAAGGAGAGCCAGTCCGAGTTTCAAAACTGAAGAACTTGGAATCCAATGTTCAAGATCAGGAAGCATCCAGCACAGGAAAATGATGTAGGCTGAGAGGATAGGCCAGTCTCTGTTTTCACATTTTTATGCCTGCTTATATTCTAGCTGCGCTGGCAGCTGATTAGATTGTGCCCACCCGCATTAAGGGTGGGTCTGCCTTTCCCAGCCCACTGACTCAAATGTTAATCTCTTTTGGCAACACCCTCACAGGCATACTCAGGATCAATACTTTGTGTCCTTCAATACAATCAATTTGACACTCAGTATTAACCATCACAGAGCCCTTGTCATAAATTGGTTGATCATATATGTTTGAATTTATTTCTGGTCACTGAGTTCTGCTCCCTTGGTCTATGTTTCTGTTTTTATGCCAGTGCCATGCTGTTTTGTTTATTATAAGTTTGTAATATGATTTTAAATCAGGAAGTGTGACGATTCCAACTTTGTTTTACTTTTTGGAGGGGATTTTGTCTGGTGTTAGTGTAGCAAACTTCAGTTCTTTCGGTTGATGTTTTCATGGTGTTTGTTTTTCTATCCTTTTAATATCACCCTATTTGATTCTTTCAGTTTAAAGTGTTTTTCTTGCAGACAAGATACAGCTCAACTATTTTTAATTCATTCTGAAAATCTCTACCTTTTAAAATAAAGTGTTTAACCCATTTAAATTAATTTTAATTACTCATAAGGTAGGATTTATGTCTTTCATTTTGCTGGGTTGCTTTTGTACATTTCTGTCTTTTTTGTTATCCTGTTCCTTCATTGCTATTTACTTTTAAGTTAAGTAGATAGTTTCTAGTGTGCCATTTTAAGCTGTTTATTTTACTGTATTTTAAAAATTATTTTCTTAGTGACTTCCCTGGGGATTAAAATTAACATACTAACAAAAATAATATTGTTTATATTAATACCAACTTAATTTCAATAGTATTCAAAAATTTGTTCCAATAATGCTCTTTTTAATTTTTCTTCTTTTTGCTATTATTGTCAAACAACATTTTTATACAATAGAAATCCATCAACATAGTTTTATAATTATTAGTATTTATGCTTTATTTCAGAAGAGGATCATAAGCAAAATGATTATTTTGGCATTGATCAAACAAACATCATTAAACCCATCTGTTCTCATACGGGTCTTATATGAATCTGTATCTTTATACAAAGGACATATCTATGTCCATATCTATTGTATTATTCATCTTTCCTGGTGGATTCCACTTACTGCCTGCTGCTCTTTCATTTCAGACTGAAGGCCCCTCCTGGGTATTTATGGTAGTGCATGTTTGATAGCAACAATTGTTTTTTGTTCTGAGAATGATTTATTTCTCTTTCATATTTTAAAGAAAGCTCTGCCACATATAGAATTCTTGATATTTTGTTTTCAGTGTTTTAAATATGTTTTCTCACTGCCTTCCGGTGCCCGTGTTTTCTGATAAGCCAATTGTTAATCTTATTGATAATACTTTCACATGATGCATCCAGGTTGTCTTGGCACTCTCCACATTTTTTGTTTCTTTTGGGTGTTTACAGTTTGACTACAACGTGTGTAGGTGTGCATTTCTTTTAGTACATTCTGCTAGGAGTTCATTGAGATTCTTAAATGTGCAGATTAACCTTTTACGTCAAATTTTAAAAGTTTTAGCCATTATTTCTTCAAATGTTCTGTTTGATTATTTCTCTCTTTCTTTCCTCTCTTAATGGGACACCCATTGGTCAATGATATGTTAGGTATCAAATGTACTGAACTGAAATGCCTGTGTGCACAAGTCTGTGCTGAACTGAAATGCTTGTGTGCCTCCAAAATTTATGTATTGAATTCCTAATCCCAACAATGTGATAATATCTGGAGGTGAGGCCTTTGGGAGGTAATTAGGTCATGAAAATGGAGCCCTTGTAAATGACATTTGAGCCTTTATAAGACCAAGCTAGACAGCTAGCTGCTGTTCCTTCCACCATGTGAGAACACAGCAAGAAGGCACCATATGTGAGCCAGAAAGCAGGCCTTCTTCAGACACCAAATCTGCTGGTGTCTTGATCTCGGAATTCCCACCCTCCAGACTGTGGGAAATAAATTTCTTTTTTTTAAATGCTGTATAGTACATATTTTGTTATAACAGCCATAATGGACTAAGATTTTAAAAATGGTACCAAGAAGTGGGGGTGCTACTGTAAACAAATATCTAAAAATGTGGAAGTGGCTTGGCTTTAGAACTGGGTAATGGATAGAAGCTGGAAGAGTTTTTAGGTGCATGCTGAAAAAACCTACATTGCCATGAATGGACTATTAAAGGCAATTTGGTAAGAGCCCAGACAGGAAAAAGAAAGCCTGAAGAGAAACACCCAGTTGCCTTAGAGGACACCTATGCAATCCTGAACAAAGTCGTAGAAATATGGCTGGCAAACAGGCCATTCGATGAGGTCTCAGATGGAATGAGAAACATGTTATTAGAAACTGGAGGAAATGCCATCTTTGTTATAAAATGGCAAAGAACTTGGCACAACTGTGTTCATGTCCTAGTGTTTTGCGGAAGGTAGAAATTTCAAGGAATAAAGATGAATATTTAGCTGAGGAGATTTTCATACCAAGTGTTGCAGGGGTTGTTTGGTCCCTCTTGATGACTTACAGTAAAATTTAAAAAGAGAAATCACTTGAAGATGGAATTACTAAACAAAAAAGAACTAGAATATAAAGATTTAGAAAATTCTCAGCTGATCCATGTTGCAAAAAAAAAAAATGAGAAAGCATGTTTGAAAGAGAACACTAAAGGTGTGGCCCAAGTGCCCTTCTGATAGGGAAATTAGTAGCAGTGTAAACTATGAACTGCCTTAGCTACCTCAGCAGAAAAACTGTCAGTTTGATCTGACAATGAAGGAGATGAGAAGGAACAAAAGAAGGCTGTTGGATTTCTTGGATTTTACAGAATAGGACTATAGCACTATTCTTCAAGACAAAGGAAGAAAGACCCCAAAGGTAATTCAGAGATTATCAGGACTGCCTCCCCCATTTTGAAAAGGGGGACCATCACCTAATTTCCAACAGGCCAGATGATCTTTGCCCAAAGACATTGGGGTAGAGCCCTTAGGGTGCAATTCCTTCTCCTAGGGTGCAGAAAGGGTTGCCACTCCAGTAGGTCCATAAGGCAGGAAAACCATCTCACTGAGCAGGGCCGGGGGGAAGTGTACAAAATTAAGCCAAAAAGGATCTTTCTCCAGCCTTAGGATCTCATAAAGTTTGCCTTGTTGGATTTTGGACTTGCTTGGGACCCATCGCCACTTTTTTCTTCCTTTTGGGAGAAAAGGGTAACTATGTCTGTCCCATCATTGTATTTTGGAAGCACATACTTAATTTAATGAATTTATCACTGCAGAGAAATTTTGCCTCAGAATAAGTAGTGTACCTCAAATCTCACCTATATTTGACTTAAATAATATTTTAATAAAACTTTGGACATTAGATTGCAAACTTGATGCTGAAATAAGTTAAAACTTTTTGGGCTGTTGGAATGAAATGAATGTCTTTGGTATGTGAGAAGGACATACATTTTGTGGGGCAAGAAAGCAAAATGCAATTAACTGAATATTTCCATCCCCCCAAATTCATATGTTGATGGTATTCAGAGGTGGGGCTTTTGGGAGAATTAGGTGATGAGCATGAAACCTTCATGAACTGAATGAGTGCCCTTATAAAAAGAGTCCAGGGAGCTGGCCAGTGCACTTTTCACCATGTGGGGTTACAAAGAAGTCAGCAGCCTGCAACTAGGAAGATGACCCTCACCAGAATTCAACCACGATGTCACTCTGGTCTCAGACTTCCAGCCTTCAGAACTGTGGGAAATAAAATTGTTGTTGTTGTTCAGCCACGTAGTTTATTGTATTTCATTATAGCAGCTGAACTGACTAAGTGCCCCAAAGTCTGAGTCTATTTATGTATCTTCATTCTTTTATTTTCTCTTTCTTGGACTGAATAATCTCACTTGAAATATCTTCAAGGTTGCTGATTCTCTCTTCTTCCATCTCAAACATGATGTTAAATCACTTTAGCAAGATTTTATTTCAGTCATTAAACTTTTCAACTCTAGAGTTGGAATTTAAAAAATTTCTTTTTTTCATTGGTATTATATATGTGGTGAGCCATTTATCTCCATGCTTGTTTAATTCTTTGGACATGATATCCTTTAGTTCTTTTATTAGACTTATATCTCATTTAAAGTATGTGTCTAGTAAATCTAACATCTGGGCTTCCTCAGGACAGTTTCTTTCCACTGTCTGCTTTCCTGGGGATGGGCCATACTTTCCTGTGTTATATGCATGCCTCATAATTCTTTGTTAAAACTAAATACATATATTTTTTAAATTTGTCCACTCTGGAAACTAAAGCTCCCAATCTGTGTGGTGTTGTTGCTCTTTGTTGTGGTTGCCATCATTGCTGTTGTTGCTATTTGCTTGTCAGTGATATTCCTGGTCTAATTCTGTAAAGTGCGTGTTCCCCACTTTGTGTGAACACAGAAGTCATGCTCAGTTATCTTCATTGTTAGCAAATGATTCAACCAAGATTTCTTAAGCCTCTTTCATCAATGTTTCCCACCCTTTGCAAAGGGGCTTCCAATGTGAGATGGGACATGCTGTCATTCAACACAGTGACTGTACGTCTATGCCTTGGCCTTCCCCTTTTCCTTGTGAAGAGCTTCAGGATCAGCCTAAGGTAAGAAATGGGGACTTGTGTCTTTTCTGAGTTGTACGCAGCTCTGCAGTCACATAGCTGTCTATATTCCCTGGAGCGTGCAGATGATTCTCAATGCCCTGTGGACATCTTACTTCCCAGATCTTCCTAGTAAGATTCTTGGCCATCCTCTTGTTTGCAACACTGGTATCACCTCTTTAAGTAAGTGCAATTGTAACAATTTCCATTGATTATTTTCAATAGATTCCCTGGACATAAAATAAGGATTTTCTCACTGAGTAAGGTCAAATAATGACAATTTCTGAGAATGTCACAAATACTTTCTGGTTGTTTGCTAATATGTTTATAGTGTTTTGTCATGAACTTGTGAAAATATTTTGAATAATCCAATTTATCAACCTTTTATTACATCTCAATTTTTAGTTGTAGATACAAAATCTTCTCTTACCCATGTTAAAGGGAAATTTACTCATTTCTTTTTTCTAGTGCATGTATGGTTTTGCTTTTTTACATTTAGTTTCCTAATACATTTGTAGTTTATTCTTGTGTATGGCATAAAATAAAGATCCAAGTTTACCTTTGTCCAAATGGAAAATTAGTTTTCCAGTACATTTATTAAGAACTCCATCTTTGTTTCAGTGATAAGAGATAGGATCTTTATTGTACACTAAATTTTTGTATTTTGGGGTCTATTTCTGGAAATTTATTTCATCCCACTGTTCTATTTTCTATCTATGTACCTGTACCACACTATGTAAATCATAGAGGTTGCATGGCATGTTTTAATGTCTGGTAGAACTAATCCATTTCCACCACTACCACCATGAGTGACTTTTTTGGTTTTTCAGTGTTTCTCTGGCTTGTCTCATGTTTGTTTCTTCATATGAAATAGATTTTTACAGAGGCCTGCAAAATACTCTCTGACGGTTTATTTTTTAATAATTTCATTTCAATACTTATTTCTCTTTGTGCATGTGTATCTGTACATCTACATCTATATCTGTATCTATGTCTATAGCTCACTTCGTATGTGTATGTCCTTTATTCTTGTTTGAGTTAGGTAGTGATTTGTGTATTTTGTTCATTTGAAAAATACGGAATTATTATTTATTAATGAAGGCTACTACTTTTCTAATTTCTACTTTATTCATTTTTTATCTATATTATTTCTTCATTTGAGCTTTCTTTGTTTACTTTGCTGTCTTTTTTAAACATTTGAGCTGATAATTTAATTCATTTTATTGTTTTATTTGTATTGAAAAAACATTAAGAACTATGGATTTTCCTCTGATTGCTGCTTTAAATATATCCCATATAGTATGATTTTTTGAGAAATTAAATACTTTCATATGTATTCATTAATTTCCCATCTTTGTCCCTAGCTTTGTTGTAATCTTAGCTTTCTAATTAGATATGTAAACAATACACCATTGGCCATTGATTGACGTTTTTACAAATATTTGTTGGTGAATGAAGGTTATCCTTTAGTATGTTATTCAAGAAATTCCAAAGTATACAGAATTCCCTAAGTTCTTGTATGTTTAAAACTTGAAGAAAGTCTTGGCTGAATATAATTTTTTTGCTTTACATTTTCTTTTTTATTTTAATTATGCTTCATTATTATCTTACACATTATTATGCCATGTAAATTATTTGATCTTTTGACCTGAAGGCTTTGAAGACTTTTTTCCTTGAGATCTAAGAGTTTTGTTGGGATGTATTGTTGTTGATCTATCTGGGTCAATTTTTCCTATTAATCTAGTGTATCTTTAAATACATAGACTAATAGCTTCTTTTATTTTGGGAAGGTTTTCTCAGATTATAATTTTAAATATTCGTTATATTAAATAGCTTTGTTGTTTTTGCCTTCATGGATTCCAATTATATGTATGTTGTTTCAACCTTTTCTCCATAATCATTTTCGCTTCTTCATTTTCTCATTTTCATTGTATTTCCCTACATTTATTCAATACATCTTGGTAAATTTTCATTTTAGGCTATTTTCCATGGTGCACTTTACTTTGCTTTCTATTTCTGAGATAACTTTGTTTTCAGCATTTTCATCCTGTGTTCAATCAACTGTCATTTCATACTCATTGTGGTTTTTCCTCTTTTTTTTTCATTTTTGTTTTACAGTGTCTAGATGTTTTCATATCTCACAAATAATTGTTTAAGGATAATTAATGTAGTTTGAAATATTAGGTTAAAATTTTATTCTGCTTCATGTTTCTTTTGGGGGTTTGAAGAGCAAACTGAATATTGTTTTTGGACTACTAATTTTAATGTAGTAGCTTTATTGAAATTAACATATTTTTAAAATTAATTTTATAGATTTGAGGGTGGTTTATAAGATTCCTAGTTCAATAGCACCCTCTTCTGTTCATGCAGTTAAGCATGGTTTCATTAATGGATTTCTGCTGCTCCTACTGCTGGTGGTAGAGGGAGGGCTTGTGTTCTCTTTGACCACGTGGGACTTGAAACGTTGATTTTTTTTCTTCCCCTATATCAGCTCCCAAAGAGTGCCTCTCCCTTAGTGCTTTTGCTTTCTTCTCCCCCACAAGCAATGCATTTTGAAGACTGCCCTTCAAATTATACTCACCTTAAGGTTCTTCCACTGCAGTCACTTCTTTAAAATATCAGAATACCTTTTCATTATTTTCACATTTAGGATGATTTTTCTCTTTAGGACTGTGATTTTAAATCAATCTTTAGCCTGATGCTAGCTTCGTTCTTCTTTCTTCTCTGTAGTTGTTTGTAAGCCCCTTTGCTCACTGCAAAGACTCTTGGAAGAAGCATACAAAAATCTTCCTTTAAAAAATTTTTTTTCTTACTTAGAAGTGACTTTAAGTTTGAGATAATTCTGTGTCCAGTATGTTGAGTGTTTCCTTTTCTTTTTAGATTCATATTATTGTTTTGTATTTTTGGAGATTATTTGTGAAGGTGTAGATTTCAGAAACTACCATTATTCCTGTTAAATATTTTAACAAAACAATATTTTGCTTTTTAAATAAAATATTTAAAATTTTTATTAATTTTAAGAAAATTTCAAAGATCAGAACACACACTTTATTAAAGAAGAAATACAAATAAATAAACGTGAAAAACATTGTTCCATATTATCAGTAATCTTAGGTAGCAGATTAAAACAATGATAGACCATGAAACATTTGTAAAGTCATTAAAAATGCATTGCCAGTGTTGGCCTAACACTGTTGGTCTCAGGCACTCCTAAGTATGATAACTGGAAGTCTCAGTATATGGTATGAATGTCAAAGATGTTCTTATATTTCATTTTAGCCATTTAACTTCCAGAAATTTATTGTGATCAAATAATAAACAATGAACACAATATTTATCTGTAATGGTGTTCTGAAGAACTGTTTATTGGCCAGAGTTGGAAATAAGAGTTGGTTAAATAAATCATGGTTCATATAATGCAAACTATGTACAGATCATGTTTAGAAAAATATTTAGGTATGATAAATATTAATCATAGTCTGTTAATAAAAAGCGTACAAAACAGTGTGCATACAAGCATTCCGTTTTTCTTTAAAAATTGTGTGTGTGTGCATGTAGAAGAAAACAAAATATTACCAATAATTTTATCATGCTTGTACTATTACTGTTGGGTTTTGTTTCATTTTTCTTTGTACTTTTAAGTTTGGCATATACATTTTTCAATGAAAATGCATAATTTTTAAAACAGAAACATGAATGAAAAACAGAAAACTTTCTAAATTCACTAGTTCTGAACAAAGAATTCATATAATTGTGACTTAATAGCACTCCTAGGTTATCCTATAAAATTAACTCATGTGTCTCTGTTATCTACTGTAAAAATTAAAGGAATCTCATATTAATTTATTGATGCCAGAATATGTATAAGACAAATATTTCACATGTTTATCTACTTTTAAAGATATATATAAAATTATTGATATAGATGGATTCTAGGAAGTGTTTTATAAGAAACAACAAAATACCTATCACTACTGAAATGCTTTGGTCTGCATCTGTGCAGCGCGGCCTTTTTCCACGTCCCTCAGTGTCGTGGCTCTAAGGTCATCAGGCTCTGAGGGCCAGGTCTGTCTGCTCACACCAGTGCCACATTCAGCACCACTGCCGGTTCCTCCAGCCCTGCGGTGCCTTTCTTTGTCCCCTTTGACCAGGGCTCCCAGCTGCCTCCCGGTCAATTGCGCTTGAATCAGGGGGCTCCTACCCACCTGCTGAGCTCCTAACACCTGTGCAGCCTGAACCACACGCTTTCAGTCTTAACCCTCCCTGCCCTGTCCTCCCTCCCTTCTAAATCCCCACGGTGTGGCCTCCAGGCTGCACTTCAGGCTCGGAACTCTGACTTGACGTTAGCAAGAAGCTATTGGGGATGTTTCTCCATGGGCCCAAGTCGACCCAACATTTATCTAATTCACCTGGGCTGTGCAGTGCCATCAGGTCTCCTGAGTCTGTTACAAACATGCGTTCATGCTAATCTGTTAGACACACACCACACACAACACATATCACACACCATACACACCACACACACAACACACACCCCACACCATACACCACACATCTCACATAGCACACACCACATATATCACACACCACACACCCCACACACTACACACACCACACACACCACGCACACTACATACATCACACACCACACACTACACACACGACACATCACACTCACCACACACCACACACACCACACATCACACACACCACACACACCACATACATCACGTCACACATACCACACGCCACACACGCCACACACACTACACATCATATACTACATGCACACATCACACACTGTGCACACCACACGCACCACACTGCACATACCACACACACCAGAGATCACACAAACACATCACACACCACACACACACCACACATCACACATCACACACCAGACACCACACACATCACACACACCACACATCACACACACCAAACATCACACACAGCACACACTAGACATCACATGCCACACACACCACACATTACACCCATCACACATATCACACACTAACATTACACACACCAAACACCACACATATCACACACCACAAAAACCACACACACCACACAGCACACACACACCACACAGCACAAACCACACACACCACACATTACAAACATCACACACACTACACACACCCTACCACACACACCACACACCCCACACACCACACAGCACACACACTCACACTGAGCAACTATTAATATAGTAAGTCGGCTGCTGAGTGCCTCACTATGGGAAAGGAGGGAGCCCCCTGATTTACTTGCCCTCAGACACTGGCTTATGACCTTCACCTGCCTCTATTGCCTATAATGACCAAGTTTTGTGTGATTTCGGCACACTAGTTAGTGCTTAGAGAATCTTCCAAAAGGCTTAAAAACAGCTTGTTACCAACGGGAATTAGGTCCAGGCAAAATACAAAATAAAATAAAATCAGTCAGAAAACTATACAACTGTGAGAAGAAAACGGATTCCTATATATCTAGAACACTCAAGTTTAATACATATTTTCACTTTTTACATAGGGAATATTTTTACCTTTCTGAAAAGCATGGAGAATAATTTTATAGTAATTTGCCAACTACTTGGAAAAAGACAGAAACACCTGAAAATTTAACTTGTTTTCTTCTGATCTTTTTTAAAGAAAATAAAACAAAGCAACACTAGTATTCATATAAACTCCCCCAATTTCATTCCCAGCATCCCTTCCCCAGAGATAATCACTATAATGTGAAGTTGGTAAGTACCTGCTTTGTAAAGTGCTTTATGCTTTGACTATACATGCAAGAAGAAGTTGACTTAAAACTAAGAGTTACATATGTATACATACATCCGCATTGCTGTGGGTAAGTTTACATGCCCCCACATGCGAACGGGCACAGGCGAGTACAGGCCGTTCCTTGTTCACTGCTGTGTGATACTCCACTCTCTGTTGCTCACCGTTTTCATCTATGTCCCTGTCCATGGACACTGGCCTGCCCACGTTTTTGGTTCTGTGGCCCATGCTGCACCATGCACCCTTAGCCTGGGCTCCTTGTGCCTGACATGAGCCCCTGCAGGGAAGAGTGGCTGGGCCTTGGTCCTGCATAGGCACTCCTCCAGATTTCCCTTCCTGAAGCCCCCCGGCAGGTCAGAGCTCCTGCTGTTGAACAGGCAGGGCCCGTACGGGGGCTCAGGCGCGAGGTGTCTGGTCTCAGAGTATCTGTGTAGTCCCGGGCCAGCTCCTCGTGGAGGTCTTGGCCTCAGCTACCCTGGTGCAGTCCTGGGCCAGCTCCCTGTGGAAGTCTTGGCCTCAGTTTTCCCGGTGTGGTCTTCGGCCAGCTCCCCATGGAGGTCTTGGCCTCAGTTTCCCCTGTGCTGCTTTTCTCATCGTGACTGGTTGCTTTCATGGCAGGCACTGGCCTTGTCAGCGCTGTGTCACAGCCACACCTCCTCGTCATAAGCCGGGCTTCGGGGGAGCTCTGGGCTCTGTTCTTGGTTCCCTCTGAAATGTGCCCTGGCTCCTGTATTGGATCCGGCTCTTAATACATGGCCAAAAACTTGATTGCATATTTGATTTCAATGAGCTGCATACCACCCCGTGCTTCTATAGATCAGAGGGAGGCCTGGTCCCGTCCCATCTCGCTGCCTTTTGTACAGCAATCATGTCCTTTAGGTCAGGGGTTAGTGGGATTCTCTGTAAATGTCCAGATAGTGACTATTTTAGACTTGGTGCGTCATGCTGTCTCTGTCACAGCCATTTGCGGTTGCAGCACTGGGCAGCCTGGAAAGGAGGCAGGTCTGGGTCCCCACATGAGTGTGGCCTGGGGCACGGAGGCTGGACCAGCCCAGGGGCCACAGCTGTGGACCTCTGTCTCACACACACAATCTAAGGAATCAGTTTCTAAAAGCATATTGTAACTTCCTATATACTAAGAAATGCCTGCGTAAAATAAAAATCATGTAACTCAGCCGTCCTTTTCAGGAACAGAAATCTGTAGAACGACAGAAAGTTAGTGATTTCCTCGTCTTCACTTATTTTAACAAATTAAATCGTGTTTTCCCAATTATGTGCACCAAAGCTGATCAGCTTCTGTTGATTCAGCAATGTTGTGTGTGTGTGCATGTATGCTTGTGTGTGATTTGCGGTATAACTCTTGGAGCTGGTGAGGTGAAGGGAGTACCTTCATCTATGCTGGTTTTTTTTTGCCCCTGAATACAGGAGACAGGAGTGTTCATTTCTACAGGATTCCTGCTCAGGGCGTGCTGACTTTGGCTTAGGGTGAATGACTCTTCACATATCTGTATGGTTGTTCATGGCCTCTGGAGTCTGGCACAATTTGTAAGTTCATGAGAAAGCAGCCTCTTCCAACGTTTGCTGTGGCTCTGTTCACCAGGAATGTTAGACCAAGTCACTGCTATGCCATGTCCTGGTGGAAGGAACTCAGATTAGAGGAGAGTGTCTATATCCCAAATGATCTTTCTCAACTATTACCCAATACCTTTGCAGAGTCTATGAAAGGAAAACTCTCTTAAGCCCACATAGGTTTCATTAAAAGAAATACATTGTGGAGCTCTAAGAAATCATTTTTTTTCCCGAAAACTGGCATATGGTGAAGGTATTCATGACCTTGAGTGATGGGATTTCAGCTTAATTCCTCTTGAGAAAGACAGACGGTGTGATACAAAGATAATACGGTTTGTAAGGATGTGGACTCTGGCTTCACTTTGTCAAATACCTCCATGGTCTCAGGCAAGAAACTGAACCTCTCTGAACTCGTGTTCCTGCTGTAAAAATGTGTTTTGCTTCCTTGTCTCCCAGGGCCACTGGCCATGCCTGGAAAGTACTTTGAGAAATGCAAACTATGCAGTTTTTCTGGCTCTCTGGACCTGCACGGCGACATTGCTGCAAGCCTGGAGCCCCTCAGCCCACATGGGCACTGTGCATCCCCTGAGGTCGGGGTCCTAACATCCAGGAGCCATTTCACCCCCAGCTGTGTGGGGAGCAACAGAGCCAACACCTTCCAAAGGCGGCTTCTGCCATGCGGAGCCTTGGGTCTCAGCTTCTCCCAGGCCATCTGGAGCGAGAGATTCCAACAACCACTGTCATTCCCTGGCATCCTGGGAATCTCACCCTTCCGAGAGAAGAGGACACACTCTCAGCCTGCTGCCCCAGGACAGGAGGGCTTCCCACTTCACGTGCAACTCCCGCCCATGAGACCCTCAGCTGGCTTGTGGAACGTGAACCCAGGTGTCCTCCGGCA
The DNA here is from genome assembly GCF_000001405.40 of Homo sapiens. Taxonomy (NCBI): domain Eukaryota; kingdom Metazoa; phylum Chordata; class Mammalia; order Primates; family Hominidae; genus Homo; species Homo sapiens. Next base: position 523,709 of record NC_000002.12, on the reverse strand, counting down.
CAGCTCTCCTCACACAGACTCACACTTCTTCCCTGGCCCTGGTCTCTGGGGCTGTTGAGATCTCTACTCAGGATCAGGAAACTGCCTCTTCCCCCCAGTGCCTTCACAGCCCCTGCCCCGGCCTCTGCTCAGCCTTGATCACAGGAGCCCCGCATCCTCAGTGAATTCTGGGGCACAGAGTTCCCAAATTTCCCTCTTCCTCAGGGCCTGGCCTACATCTCTCAGTGCTGGTTTCTATTTCTAAACAATAATGTTCAAGGTCCTGGCCCCTTTGGGGCTCACCTTGAACACTATAGAGCCCTATCATCTTTCCATGGGAACAACTGATGTTTTCTCACACTTCCTTTCTGTGTAACTCCTGCTATTCTCATGAAAACATCAGGAGCCACACTCATGTCCTACTGGGCCTCCTAATCTTGTCTTTCTCAACTCCACTGCCATTGACTTTAATTTAGCGTTGGCCATCTCTGGAACATGAGCCCTAAAGCACTGACTTCTGATGGGAAGTGTCTGCCCTTCTAAGCATCCTCATTCACTCTGGTGGCTGCACTTGCTCTTTGAACCCTCAAATTTTCCACATTCTCCAACTCAACCCCTTGTTACAGCTCCAACACGCTACCTACTCGTTACGGATCCTCCTCCCACTCTTCGTGAAACACATCAAGCCATGCGTCTTCATATTCAGTGAGAAGCCCTGGAGAGTGCTGGCCGCGGTGTGGGCTTGGGACAGAGACCACATACGTGGCCGCCTGGCTCCCCTGATGGCAGAGGTGCAGGCTGGACTTTCCCTCACCTTTAATCCTCAGTTCCCTCATTTATAAGATCAGAATAATTATAGTACTTACCTCATTGGCATACTGAGAAGATTAAATCAATTAAGTTTCTATGCCTGTAACAGAGAATGTCCTCAGCAAATGTCAGCTAAGGGGTCATCTCTGGTCTTCCCCACCCACTCCTCATGCGATGGTCCCAGCCTTCACCACAACCCTCAAAACGCTCATTCCACCCAGCAGACAGCTACACCTCCTCATTCAGAGTCGAGTGGGCCTGGCACCCTAGGCTTCTCACTCCAAATGCTGGAGTTAAATCCACGTCTTTATCCGCAGGGAGAGAGAACGCCCTTGTCCAGGACCAGGTAGGTTCTCCTGCCTGAGTTCATGCTCCAGTCTCCTCCGGCATCTTCCAGGTTCCGTGCTGCCCTCAGGTTCTGTGCCATAGGGTTCTGAGCCGTCGGGTTCCATCTGTCAGGTTCCAGCTCTGTGCCGTCGAGTTCTGTGCCCTCAGGTTCTGTGCTGTCAGTTCTGGTTCCGTACTGTTGGTTCCGGTTGTGTACTGTTGGGTTCCATGCTGCCGTTGGGTTCCGAGCCGACATCAGGTTCCGTGCTGTCAGTTCCGGTTCCGTGCTTTCGGGTTCCATGCTGCCGTTGGGTTCCGAGCAGACATCAGGTTCTGTGCTGTCAGTTCCGGTTCCGTGCTGTTGGGTTCCATGCTGCCATTGGGTTCCAAGCCACCGTCAGGTTCCATGCTGTCGGGTTCTGGTTCTGTGCCATCAGGTTCCAGTTCCCTGTAGTTGGGTTCCATGCCATCGGGTTCCATGCTGTTGGGTTCTGAGCTGTCGGGTTCTGGTTCTGTGCCGTCAGGTTCCGGTTCGGTGCCATCGGTTCTGGTTCCATGCCATCGGGTTCCGTGGGTTCCATGCCATTGGGTTCCTTGTTGTCACCCCTTCTCCAGACCTCCTTCCACTTCCCACCCCTTTTCACGGACGGCTGCCCTGAGAGCTTCTCATCTCATCAAGTCTACCCAACTTAAAGCATAAAAGACAGAATCTGGGTCTTTCTGTCGCTATTTCTTATAGAATATCCCACAGCCAAACAACACAAATTTCACTAATTACTCTTACAGTATCCCATCCTATCAGGACATTCAAATTCCCAGAGAAAACTGATTCCTCTTTGAAATATGTAGAAAAAAATACAAATTAAAATATCAAAAACAGCCAAATACCCAAGGGAAGTGAAGCATTGGGTCTTCGAATGCAGCTTGCTAAGTGCCCGAGGGTGAAACGGAAGACACTCAGCCTCACAAGTGAAGGTCGTGGCCTCCGTCAGCACTTGGCACTGAGAACATGAACAAAACCACACATTGGAGATTCCCCGACAATCCAGGACTCTTTAGAAAAATTAAATTGAACCCAGCAGAATAGTCAAGTACTATAGGGCTCCTTTCTTAGGGAGGTAGGGGGATCGTTTGAAGGAATCTTCTGTCACCATCATGGATCTGTCTGGAGTCAGAAAGGTCAAGTTCACCCACTGCGAGGGGGGCACCCAAGATATGGATTCTACTTCATTCTGTAATCACCTCACCTCAGAAGACAAAGAGAAAAAGAAACAAAGTAAAGGATTGCAAAGTCAACCTGTGTATGCAACTCACCGGTAGAATATCCTAATGTATCCCATGAGGTTGAGGGGACATCCACGTGGCAGGCCCTGTTCTGAGTGCCTGAGAGGAAGCAGTGAACAAAAAGATCCTCATTCCTGCAGACCCTGGCCTCATCTCTAGGTCTGGCGCTGCGCCTCAGTTCAGATGCCCATCGTCTTTTGCCAGGCCCACAGCAACTGCTTCTGCAATTGGTTTTATATCATTCAAAGAACAGTTACCTACAATTTTCCAGGTGCCATTCTAGGTAATAGTGAATTAAACAGACAAAAACATCCACCCTCCACACTGCAGCCAGAATTATGTCTCCTAAGTGAAAGATGATCTTGTTCCTGTTTTCTCTTCGCTTAAAGCCCTCAGTAACTCCCCTTGAAGACAATGGGAGTCCAGGCCCTGCCCATGTCCCCTGCGCCCATCAGCCTGTGGTGCCAGGAGTCTCAGTGGATCCACAGGGGCCCCTCCGGGGCAGCACGTTGCTCACACTTCTTCCGTCCTTCCTGGTCCTGCCAGGTCCTCTCCTCCCTACGTTTCTTTTCATGTCACTCCTCCACCTCACTCATCTCCAAGATGCAGCTTGTGTCACTGTTTGTGAATCATTTACTGAAAGATTGGGTAGAACTGCCTACAGCTTCCTCTCTGTTTCTTGTACCATTGCTAACACTTTCCTCACTTGTTTCTTGTTTACTTGTGCATGTCTGCAGTCAGATAGACTCCCTGCTCTTTAAACGAAGAATCGTTCCTACGTTCAAAAGTGTCTTGCTCTGCAGCAAGGCCCAGGAGAGTGGGCACTGTTCTTAAGTTTAGACAATCAGAAAGTAGTAGAGTGAAAGTCTGACACCCAATCTGTTGACTCTAAAATTAGTGCTTCTGAAAGTTTAGATCTGGCTGGGTGAGGTGGCTCACACCTGTAATCCCAACACTTTGGGAGGCCAAGGCAGGCGGATCATGAGGTCAGGAGATTGAGACCAGCCTGGCCAACATGGCGAAACCCTGTCTCTACTAAAAATACAGAAATTAGCTGGGCGTGGTGGTGAGCACCTGTAATCCCAGCTACTCCGGAGGCTGAGGCAGGAGAATTGCTTGAACCCAGGAGGTGGAGGTTGCAGTGAGCTGTGATTGCACCATTGCACTCCAGCCTGGGTGACAAAGCGACACTCTGTCTCAATAAATAAATAAATAAATAAATAGAAGTTTAGATGGAGTCTTTGACTTCATGTCCAGCAAGTTGAGAAGCTTCAAGCCAAAGGGTCTTTCCCTGGAATTCCAACAGATAGACACGCTGCCCCTGGTGCTTCAGCTGCCATGCAGCTGACCTGCCTCCATCTTCACAGTCTAAGCATTCGGTTTCTCCCCAGAGTTTGCCTTTCATTTTTGTTCTCATTACATTCATCTATTTAGCTTAATATGTTTAACTAAATGAAGACATTAATAAATATTAAGTGCCTGTTTTCAATGAAAAGCATTGGGCTAGGTGTTTTGGGACATAAAAATGAAATTTATATTCAACTTATTAATAATCATATTTTTATGTTCTGCAAAACTGTCTTTGAATATGGAAAAGTCCTGAGTTTTGCAAAAAATGTAGAATTCCATTCATTTATTTATTGTGTAGAGATGTGGATCCCCTAAGTTGCACAGACTGGTTTCAAGCTCCTGGGCTCAAGCAATCCTCCTGCCTTGGCCTCCCAAAATGTTGGGATTACAGGCATGAGCCACTGCACCCTGCTGCATTCTATTATTTTAAACACAGAATGGAGAAGGTAGGGCTGTTCTATGATTCAATCCACACATCAACATGTTACGAAAAGTTTACTGAGTATGACAGAGCCTTTCTGAGGAATGTGGAGATCAACTGTCCTTCCTAAGCTTGGGTTCAGGCCAATCAATGGCATGGCACCTAGATCTTCAGGAAGTGGAATAATCTCTAGGATAAGAGCATCTGCCTAACAGAGAAAAATCTAGCATTTATTAGGTATTTTCATAAAAATATAGTATGAAGTATTTTTAACATTTAACATTTTAAAAGAATTTTAAATCTATAACAAATTGTTTACTTGGTTGGCAACTGTTGGCTTAGGTCACAGTAATGTCCAGTGACCCTGTCACCTACCACCTAGACTACAAGAAGAAAGAATTTCCAAATGTAAGTGCATTTGTGCACTGGAAGCTACATAGGCATGGCTACAATGGCCAGTGGGACCTCTTGAATGACTCCTGAAATCTACGAGCTTATTGGAATAAGGAGAGGGCAGATTGATAAATGGCTATAAGACAGGGTGGACAAGATGGGTGTCATTAAAAATAGACAGCAATCACATAAGTTGTTACTGTTCCTGGGGTCAGTGGGCAAAGAAGGGAGTGCTTTGCAGAAAAAGTGGCATCTGAAATAGAAAATGAAAGCAAGGACATGTCAAAGTCGGAATGGAGTGGCTGGGGTCAGGAAAGACCCAGGAATTAAGTGTTAATTGACCAGGTAGGATGTAGTGGAACTATAAAGAAAAGCTTAGCAATGTCAGTGGCATTGAGAAATGTCTTGGATATGTTGGTGGGATCCAGAGGTCCGGATGGCAGGGCTGAGAAGCTCAGCTAAGGAGTCTGGACTGTGTTCTGCTGCTGTGACCCTGGAATTTGCTGCTCTGAATTGCCTAGGTGTGGTGTGGTGCAGCTGGAAATCAATGTCTGCAATGTGGAAGGTCTGTGCTGGTGGCTTTCCACTTGGGGATGATATTGGAAAGTGCTTATTTTCTGTATTTATATCTTGCTGGTATGGCATGTCTTCCTGAGAGTGTGGGGACCACGTGCTTGTCCCAACCTCCCAGGAGGATGACTGGCAGGCTCTTTGTGGGGCATCCCACGCCTCTTCAGAGTGAGGCTGAGACTTAGACGTGGACGGCTTTTTTAGTCGTAACACCCAAAATTCACAATCCTAATTTAGCGAAAATCTACCCAGCTATTTCCATGTATTTTTAAATGTTAACTAACAGACGGAGATTTCATTTTATTTATATATGCATAGCAGATAGCAAAACTGTTAAAGAAAAATAGACTGCATTTAAATCAACAGTGTTATCAAGAGCAGTTCCAGAACTGGAACCAAGAGAGAGCCATTCCTTCCCTTGCCTGAACTCGAACACAGGACAGGACACATTTGTTTCTGTTCCAGTCTTTCATTCCGTGCATGGCCTGTGTGGGGCCAACCAGTGGGCAACGCTGAAACACTGTATCTGAGATCTTTCTTTCTGGATTATATTTGTTTGAAAAAATGCTTCCGTTCTTTGGTAATCTCAAATCAGGCAAGGCCAGTTTTTTTGGAAAATATAGTATTAGTTTCCAAGTTGGTTAAAAAAATACAGTCCTCATCTTTTATGTAGGTGAGAATTACCAATTAAACAGCTTTATTTCCTCTCAATCTTCCTAAATGGCAGACTAGTAGAAGGGAGGTCCTTCCTATAAGAAACAAGCTGGCAGCTGCAGAAGTTCAGTGGCAGAGAAGAGAGGGCCAAAATCCCAATGGGAGCAGGACAGTGGGCCGGGTCTGTGGCCTTCACCAAGGGCCGCCACTCCAGGGTTACTATTAGTGATTAAAATCTTACTACAGTTACTCAGAAACATTTAGATTTTGATCAAGATAGTATTTTTCCTAAAGCAAGAACACCAAGATTGATTTTATTTTAAAATGTTTAATGGAAAATGTTGCTTATACTTAAAGACTGTTACAATTATTTGAAAATTTTTACTCATCAGAAACACTTGATTCATTGAGAAATGCCAGATCAATGGAGTGCTGCTGTCCTTGAGAGAGATTTCTCATAAGGTGGGAGGCTGGATGGACACAGTCTATTCTGAGATAGCCTTTTGGGGCCTCTAGAAGCCAAAGTATTCCTTTCAAATGTGCTTGGTGACTATCATGTAGACACTCACAAAGAAACACAAAACTCTTTGAAAACTGGAAGATTTTGCATCTATTCACAGCCACATGCTCACATAGCCCAAAAATACCCACAGCATTAACTTGATTAAGAAGGCGGGGTAGAAGCAAAACAACTCTAAACAAAATCATTTGACGCAGGAAGTCCCAGTTCGTTAGGACTCTATTTAGATGCCTTTGATTGCACTTCTGAGCTGAGAATCCAGGCTCTGAGGAGCACACACTCCAGAGTTAGATGTGGCAGCTGCTCCCAGCTACGCTCCATTCATGGGAAACTACACTTAGTCTGATTGTCTCTCTGAATAACTATGATATCACTGTGGAACTAGCTTGAAAAAAAATAGCAAAGGGAAATTTAGCAAAAGTGTGCGGTAGATGTGTTTTGAATTTTGGAGGAATTTTATGTTATAACTAGAAATTTCACTATACTCATTATACAAGCCAAATGCTAGAATGCAAGCATAGTTTTTAACAGAAATTTAAAGCCTGAAAACTAAATCACCACTTTATTTTTAATCTTTTCAATTGCTTGAAATTTTTCTGGAAACTATTAATACTTTACCTATAAAGAAAAGAAAATTTGAGTTTCATAAAACCAGGTTCAGAATGAGACAAACGAAGTATCTAGAGAACAGCAAAGGCCTGCTGTTGGTCTGCTCTAAACAATTTTTTGGTGTGTGAGTCAGATGCAACACCTACATAAGAAATCTTTTATTCAACAAACATAAAAGTCAGAATAAAGGAATCTATTTCTTGCAGAGATTCAGTTATATCCTTTGACAATTAAGTTAATACTTTAAACCCAAATTGGAAATGACTTCTTGCTTGAAATTTGCCAATGTCTGCTCTCTGTTCAACCCTTGCATTGTGAAGAGGTTGAAACCTGCTAACATTTGTATTATTTAGGTCCATGAGCAGTGATGCTGAGTAACATGTTTGCTGAGATGTGCATCACCCGCTCAGCCATGCCTGTCATCACTGCGTGTCCTTGAGTATCAGCGAGGAAGAAACCAGCTGCAGGGCAGAGCGGGCAGCCACAGACCCGCAGCGCCCAAGCTCCCTAGAATCATCCCCAGCAAGTGTTCAGGGAGGCAGAGGCCGGACAGAGAGGGACAGAAGCCAGCCTGCCCATCACTCATCCTGTCTTCTCCCCTGAACTGTTCAGCTGTCCCAGATAACACTTTCTCATTTTATGATGGGGTGGTAGACAAGATGACTCCAGGATTTTTCTCACTATAAGACTTGACCATTTTGGTTATTGCTTTTCTAATTGCAGTCCTGGAGTTAGTCATTTGTTCTTCCTCCAGCACAGAGGGTCTTTTCCTTCCAAAGTGGACATCATTGACAAGGCTGATCTTCATAGTGAAATATCAGAGACCTCAATCACCAGAGGTCAGACAATGTGCCCTGCACCACTCCAGCGGGCCGTGAGTTCCCTGCAGCCACAGACAGACTCACCTGTGCACCTCCAGTACTTTACGGGGTCTTGGCACATGATCTCTACTTAAGTGAGTTAATCTACCCTCCCTTGTATGGAACCATTTTACACACATAAGCATTTTCCAAATAAGTATCTGGTTTTTATTAAATAAAAACTGAATGCTATTATTTTCTTAGAAAGTGCTCACTGTTTTGTTTCTTTGTGATCACCAGCAAGAGAGTCATGAAGAGCATTTGAAAGGATAATCTGGCTTGGAGAGACTTGGAAGAAAATGAGTCCACCCAGCCTCCCACATTATTCATTATTTTCAGGCTCAGAAACTGGATATATGTGCTTAAAAATGCTTCCATATGTTTGGCAATATTAAGACTGACAGATGTCTATAGGGAATAACCTAAAACTTAGTACATATACCTGAAGATGGTTAAGATCTTGAGGACAGTGCAAATATTTAGGAAATTCTAATGTCTACACTAATAAATTATGCAGTATAATGCACAAAGTCAATGATGGATCAACTAAACTATATCTTTCAAAAAACTGGAAGTGGAAAAACTAATATTGGTAAATACTTTTAAATGCATGTTTTGAAATGCAGGCTATAGAGGAATAGGAAAGCCAGCACATTCCTGGTTTCTGCTCCACATGCAGAGAGCTTGGCCATCACCATTCACATCATCAAAGAAGAAGCTGAACAGAGGGTCGGCAGCTCTTCTTGGATCCAGCAGAAAATTGAGGTCACAGGGCACACTGCTGCCCCCAAACTGGAGAGACAGGCCGGCTGATGCAGAGAGCAGAGCTCACAGCAGCAGAAGCCAGAGGTGGCAGGAGCACTTACAGGGTGATCACCTAGCTCCTGGGACCAACAGTGGCTGAGTGTATTAGTCTGTTCTCATGCTACTAATAAAGACATAGCAGAACCTGGGTAATTTATAAAGGAAAGAGATTTAATTGACTTACAGTTTGTCAGGGCTGGAGAGGCCTCAGGAAACTTACAATCATGGCAGAAGGGGAAGCAAACATATCCTTCTTCACATAGTAGCAGCAAGGAGAAGTGCCGAGCAAAAGGGGGAAAAGTCCCTTATAAAACTGCCAGATCTCCAAGAATTCATTCACTATCACCGGAATGGCATGAAGGTAACTGCCCCATGATTAAATTACCTCCCACCAGGTCCCTCCTACCACACATGGGTATTATGGAAACTACAATCCAAGATGAGATTTTGGTGAGGACATGGCCAAACCATATTAGTGAGCTTGAAAGATAAAATCCCTTTTCTGACCACAACTGTCCTGAGATTGACCTCAAGGAGCCACACCAGGTTCTTTGGGTGAAGATCAGAGAAAAAAATCCCTTGTGCTTCCAGCAGGCACTGGGGGTCAGGGCTCAGAGCACTCTGTCTCACAAGGCCTCTGCCCTCCAGGGAAACGATTTCACCAGAGTCCAACCTACCGGGGCCACATCAGAACCAAGCCCACTGGGTGAAGAAAAACACCCAACTCCAAATCCCATGGGCTTTCATCACCTAAAAGGAGAGGGTGCAAGAAGCACTGGCAAAGACCACAATCTAAGGACAGAGGCTCATTGGATGATGGAGACCTAATCAGAGGTCATGAACTGCCTCCCCTCCCCACTTCTCAGCACTGTATCAACAGGGCTTTTGTATTGCAACAGGGGATTACAATGGAAAGAACTGCACACCTCAGACCATATTAACAAGTCTCTAAGGAAACTCAAAGACAAAAGGGGAGATAAAGACAAGGGCACTGGGGGAAACTTTAGCTTCTGACCCCTGCAGCTACAACAAACAGCAAGCACAGCCTCACTGACTCCTCAGCAGATCAGCATGCAGCCTGACACCAAAGGCCTATTTACCTCTGTTAGTTCAATCCAGTACATCATGTCTAGCTTTCCAAAAATTTCCAAAGTATGCTACAAGGCAAAAGAAACACAGCCAGAACAGACAAAGCAAGCATCAGAACCAGATTCAGATGCTACAAAGATTTCCAAATTATCGAATTAGGAATTTATTTATTTATTTATTTATTTATTTATTTATTTATTGGGACAGAGCCCTGCTGTGTCACCCAGGCTGGAATGCAGTGGCTCGATCTCAGCTCACTGCAACCTCCGCCTCCTGGGTGCAAGTGATTCTCTTGCCTCAGCCTCCCAAGTAGCTGGGATTACAGGTACACACCACTATGCCTGGCTAATTTTTTTGTACTTTTAGTAGAGACGGGGTTTCGCCATGTTGGCCAGGCTGGTCTCAAACTCCTGACCTCTGGTGATCTGCCCACCTCAGCCTCCCAAAGTGCTGGGATTACAGGCGTGAGCCACTGCACCCAGCCATCAAATTAGGAATTTAAAACTAGTATAATTAATATGCTAAGAACTCTAATGGAAAATGTAAGAATGGACAGGTGATATAACCAGAGGAATGGAAACTCAAAGAAAGAATCAAAAGGTAATGCTAGAAATTAAAAATAGTATAACAGAAATTAATGCCTTTGATGGGCTCATCAGAAGACTGGACATGGCCAATGAAAGAATCAGTTCACCTAAGGAGTCAATAAAAATTTCCCAAACTGAAAACCAAGGAGAAAAGAAAAATAAAAACAACAGAATGTTGAAGAAATATCGGACAGTTAAAAAAGCTGTAACATATGCATAATAGGAATACCAGAAGGGGAAGAGAGAGATGATTAAACAGAAGAAATGTTTGAAGTAATAATGGTTGGCTGAGAATTGTCCAAAGTTAATGACAGATACGAAACCACCCATATAGGAAGCTCAGAGGACACCAAGCAGGATAAATACCAAAAAACTAAACCCAAGCATATCATAATCAAACTTCAGAAAGCCAAAGACAACGTCTTGAAAGGATCCAGAGGGGGAACATCCACCTAACCTGGAGAGGAACAGGAGAAGGACAGCACCAGACTTCTCTTCACAAGACACACGAGCAAGGTGAATAATGATATTTAAAATGTTGAAAGAAAAAAAAACCTCATTAACCTAGAATTCTGGCCAATGAAATTATCCTTCAATAATGAAGAAATAAAGACTTTCTCGGGAAAACAACTATTTATGAAATTTTTGGCCAGCAGATCTGCACTGTGAAAAATGTTAAAAGTTCTTCGAAGAGAAAGAAGTTACATAATTCTGAATTTCAGATCTACATAATGTATGCATATTAGAGAAGGGACAGGTTAAAGGGATATTTTAGGGCAGAGGATCAATTTGGTATGATGTTGTAATGGTGGATACATGACATTACCCATTTGTCAAAACTCACACACAACAGAATAATGAACTCTAATACAAACGGTGAACATTATTTAATAATAATATATCAGTATTGATTCATCTAACTATAATGCATTTGCCACCAATATCAGATGTTAATAACAACAGAAGAAACTGGCTGGGCATGGTGGCTCACGCCTGTAATCCCAGCACTTTGGAAGGCCGAGGTGGGTGGATCACAAGGTCAGAAGATCGAGACCATCCTGGCTAACACGGTGAAACCCTGTCTCTACTAAAAACACAAAAAATTAGTTGGGCGTGGTGGCGGGCGCCTGTAGTCCTAGCTACTCTGGAGGCTGAGGCAGGAGAATGGTGTGAACCTGGGAGGCGGAGCTTGCAGTGTCCCGAGATCGTGCCACTGCACTCCAGCCTGGGCGACAAAGTGAGACTCAGTCTCAAAATAATAATAATAGAAGAAACTGTAACTAAGGCAGAGATTACAGGGGATATATGGGAGCTCTGTACTTTCTGCTCAGTTTTCTGTAAACATACCACTGGTCTGAAAACACAGTCGATAAATGTTTAAAAACCTAAATGGCAAAAATTCAGGGCATCTCAGCTTTTCCCCAGACTAATTTATATCACCCTTATCTCCCCACCAATTACTACTAGAGCTAATACTAATATTACTGCACCTTCCAGAGGAATAACTTATAGTCTAGCATTAATTTGTCTATCTCTACTCGTAATGTGTATGTATGTTTTTCTGTCTGCTTGCATGTAGACATGCACGTGTGTGTTTGAAAGAGGTTTAGGATGTGAGGAAAGTGAATTGTGTGACATGTCAGTGAACTCTTTCTTGAGAATAAACACAGGACAAGTTGATTTTTGTTATGGCAATGTGGAAACCCTTCATATTTTCTGTTGAATTATATTTGCAAGTCTCTGCTGTAAGGGGACTAGCCAAGGGGTTCTGGTTGAACATTTGGTGATTATTAGACTTTAGAAACTATATTATAAATTTGGCCTCATCACTTGTTGAGAATGACAGATGGGGAATCATTGCTATCTACATTGAACTACTACTAACTTTAATTTTTTTTTAACTTCAAAAATTGCATTTAAAAGCATAAAGCATGATTACACTCATAAAAGAATCCAAGCTGCTTCATCTACAACTTGGAGTCAAGGCTAATTAAGGATAATTAATCTCTTTTTAAAGAAATGAGGAAAATCTGGGTTGAGGAGCTTCTCAGACTGCAAGGTGAAACAGCCAAAGTGAAACACAGAAGTCAAAACACAATGAGTCATGTGAAGCACTCCCTCCATTCTTGCAAACAACAGACTTTTCAGGACTATTCCCAGGAGCTTCCTGACCCACAGCAGAAACCTTAGAACACTGTCTACAAAAGGCTTCTAGCCCGAAGGGAACACCATGGACTCACTCATCAGAGTGAAGCTTTCCAGATTAAGATGGAAGAAAGGCAGTAGTAGCCTCTGAACTCACATCTACCCTGCTTTGTTGTTTTGGTATTAAACTCCATCACAGGCCCATGGGATCCCATGAAACTCAGCATACAAGGACCCAAGGACCACATAGACCACCTGGATCACATGACAACAAGACACAGGAACACATGGACCACAAAACATACAGATAACAAGACCACAGGACCCCATGAAACTCAAAATGTGAGGACTCAAGAACCACATGCACCACATGACCACAATATACAGGAATACATGGACCACAAAATATGAAGATCACAAGACCATAGGACCTGATGAACCTTAGGATGCAAAAACCCCAGGAACACAGTTCTTGAAGAAACAAGGAACTCAAAACCTGAGGAACACATGTATCTCAGGACACCAGGGCCTAAGGACCACAAGGACCATGCAGACCTCCAAAGCACATGGGCCACAGACCACAAGACAACGTGGACAATAGAACTACAGGGACTCAGGACAACATGGATCACAGGACCCCAAGACCACTTGGATAGCGTGGACCACATAGACACAGGACCATACTGGCCACATGGACCACAGGACCACATGAGCAATAGGGCCTTAGGAATTCCAGGACCACATGGATCACATGAACCACATGGACCACTAAACACAGGACCACATCAACCACATATATCACAGGGCCACATCAACCACAGGAACCACAGGAATCATAGCACCACATGGACCACACAGACTGCAGGAGCACATGAACCATGGTAACACAGAATCATAGCACCACAGGACCACATGGACCACAGGATCATAGAACCAATGGATCAGAAGGACCACAGGACCACATGGGCAATAGGACCCCAGGAACCCCAAGACCGCAGGACAACAGAACCACAGGAAAGCATGGGTCACATGACCACGAGGACCCTAGGACTACATAGACAACATGAACCACAGGACAACATGGACCACTAGACACAGGACCACATCGACTGCAGTAATCACAGGAATTATGGCACCACAGGGACCACACAGACAAAGGGACCACATGGACCACAGGATCATTGACCAATGGACCACAAGGACCACATGGACCACAGAATCACAGCACCACTAAGTCACATGGAGCACATAGACCACAGGACCACAGAATCACAGCACCACATAAACCACATGGAACACATAGACCACAGGACCACATAAACCACATGGCCCATAGGAACCACACGGTCACAGGATTATAGGACTCCTAAACTCATCAACTCTGGACCCACAACAGTCACGAACTCTAAATGCTTCCTTTTTATTTAGACAAGGATTCCTTCATAACTAATTAAGCCTAAAAGAAACAATAAAGACCATTGGTCTTCCCTAGAAAAGGAAACTCCATTCCACTAGGTCATGCCAAAGTCCATGTTCTGAAAAATTCTGTTAAAAATGTCTGTGATCTTTCCCTGTTGCCCATTCTGGCCTTTGGTCAGTAGCAGCCTCAGGATGGTGAGGCCTGGATGCCAGTGCCCGTGGCACTTGATTGAGGTGTTTTTGCAAAGTACAGACGAAGCATTTGCCTGAGGTGCCTGTCCACTGTGAAAGCTCCCCAGGGGCAAGTGGAAGTTACTAGGATGGAAGCCTCCCTGCCACCCTGGGCATCCCCTCTGGGCCAGGCCTTATGGCAGAAATCTGTGTCTCAGTTGAAATTCATTAAGACAATAACTGGAGGACAAATGTTCCCCTCAGAATTCTTATAGGTGACAAATAGGAGACAAAGCCCCTCCTGGAGGCGCACTGAGCTACCTCAGGGCTGGATTGTCGTGACAGTCTGTGTGATCTTGCTGCGATTGTCCTCTTCAAACACAGCCCCCGCCTCAGGTTCCCACCCCACACCAGCCTTCTTCCTGCGTCCTTGGCAGCATCTGTATGGCCCCTTGAGGTGCCGAGCATGCTTGTTGTTCTCTGTAGCCCTGAAGTTCTCAGGGTGCAGTGGCTACACAACTCTGGATGGATGGAGACAAAGGAAGTGGTGAGTCCTTGTCCTTTCACAGTTGCAGAGAGAGAACAACTGGAAATCCTCATATAAATCACCTCTTTGCTTAATTGGAAAACTATTAAGGGCCTTCTAACGTATGTCTTCTTTGTACCGTAGAAAGCTTTTTAGTTTAATGGAATCTTCACATCAGACTCCTTAGGAAATCCACATTTCCTTCATCATCGGCTGAACTGGGAGTAACTGAGCTAATTCAGTTTTATTCATCACACACACACACACTCAGATGCTAATCACTTAATAATCACAAGATACTAAGAATATATAGGAATTAAAAAAAAAAAACCTGGCCTGAAAATTGCAGTCATGTAACACAGGAAAAACTAGGCACATGAGTTCAGTGAAAACCAATATATTTAAAGTAGAAGAGATGCTCAAACAAAACAAAGCCATAGCAATGGAGAAGAGGATGAGGTCTTGCGCACAGGGGCCAACCAGGACAGCGTTGGGAGGGAGGCATGTCTTCCTGGGGGCTCCTGGGACAGGAATCACATAGACCTCAGGACCTGGGTCTCTCTGTGTGAACCCAAGTCTGTGCTCACCCTATTGGCTCTGCTCTTTGCCTTTGGCCATGAACCCATTGGGCCCTTTTGCCCTTTGGCTTCCAGGCTTGAGAATTGGGTTCCCAATAGGGAGCCCTAGCAAGAAAACAGTGTGCAGAGAAATCGAGGCTGGAGTGGGTTTTTGCCTTCCCCTTTCAGTCATGCCAAAGATTGTGCAGCATCTGAGGCCTTGCCTAGGTTGGCTCTCGCCAGGCTGCCACTGTGCCCCACGTCCCTTCCTATCCCTTCTGATGAGGGTGGTGACTGCTCCCACTGTCTGTAATGCTGGGGTGTCTTGCCACCCCTTGGGGCCTCCTTGAGTGGCCCCATAACTCTGCCTATCCCCCACATTGAGCCCTCTCAGTTATGCTCCTCTGCATGCCCTCTGACTGCTAACGGCACAGGGCTGCATCTCTGTAGCAAGTAGATTCCAACACAAGGCAAGACTTGTCCTGGGAAGACTCAAGGGCAGAAAGAGAGCTAATGACAGAAATTCACAGGACCACAGACTTCAGTTCACAGCAAGAAAGGACGTTCTGAGAGCCATGCACAGTGGAATGGCTTGCCTGGCTCCGTGGCCTCCTTGACTCCAGGGTGCATAGGACTTTCCTGGAAATCTGCTTACAAAGCAGGTGGTCAAATTTTCAGCCCAAGAAACTGGAGTGGGGGCAGAGGACATGCATTTTGACAAGATCCCAGGTGGTCTGTAAGCATGTGGATTGAGGGTCCTAATTTGAGAAACTCTGAGCCAGAAGAGTTAAGCCACTTCACTGACCTACCCCATTGCATTGTGAGACAGGTTGTCCATGCTGTCCCTTCTAATGGTGAGATTCCAGGATTCCACAACCAAAGATCTTCTTTGGAAAGATATGTTTGCTTTGTGCTTGCAAAGCAGGCAGGAATCATGGGAAGACCTACAAAGTTCCAACCTTGTCTAGGTGAGGATGTCCCTCCCTGCCCTGGGTCAATGGGAATAAAACAAATCCCTCTCCTTCTGTTCTCTGTTTCTGGCCCTAACCAAGCCACAGGCCTCAGTTACTGTCAGCTGCATCTTAGGCCTTGCCCAGATTCCGCATAGTTATCAGATTGCCCACTGGTGTTCTTTGCTGCAATGAACTAGCAAAAGTATCTAAGAAAAACATCAAATTGACAAAATAAATACTTAGTTATTGTTCTCTAAGAAATGATGATAGTGTAATAATAAAATAATAGAATAAAGGTTTTCAGGACTTAGACTAAAAGAAAATCGTCAATTCACCTGTGGGTGTTTAACTGACCAATATCATACGAATTGTAGATAGCCCTCTTCAAATGGAACACCCATTAAAATTATCCAACATATTACGGAAGTTAGAGTAGAATTCCATGCTATCTGGGAGAAGAATTAAAGAGATGTTCTCAGCTCAGAGGAACATGTGACTGCTGGACCAACAGAGAACCTCTCTCCTGTCTGGTTCCCTCAGCATGCCATCTCCCTGGAGGCTGCATCCGTCCCTCTTTGATGTCTTCCATGATTGTAGTGGCCACACCGGAAGCATCCTTTCTTCTGCCACATCGCCAGCCCCCACAGGTTATGACGGATAAAGGCAATACACTTCATACCATTCAATAGTCAATTTTTTTTTGGTGTATCCAAATATGCTTTCCCTACTGCCTTGGGCTTCCAGGAAAGCTAGAGGGCTGGCTTACTCTGAACTTAAACTATAGGCATCATCACTTTGTGAGAGCCTAGCTTTCAGTTCTTAACACTCCCAGGCTGCCTGTCTTTGCTGACATGCATCATCAGATCTCCAGCAAAGACTGTACTTATAGGCTTTGATTCTGAAAGCCATGTGGTTCTACATCTGGGCCCCATGAGAATTCCTTCTAGCCGCTCTTCTAATTTTCTGGGGTCAGCATTGTCATATGGACACTGGCCATAGGTCGTCTCAGCTATTCCAAGGGGACGGAAAATTGGAGGGTTTTTGAGAGAGTCAAGACCTTTAAAGCATATCCTAATTCTAATTGCGCTGGAAATTTTCCAGTTTCCCAACAAATACAGCATGCGGAATGTGGACAATTTGCCATTCCTTAGAGCAAAACTGAGTTTCAACAACTGATTTATCATTGCCATTTTTAAAGAAGTATCACATGAAGCTTGTGAGAATCGAAACAGAACACTGAGACCAGCACACAGCAACAAAACAGGCCAAGAACAAAGAAAGAAAAATGTCCACAAAAGGGTGACAGAATACACAGGGCTGAGGTGGGTTCTCATGCTCTCAACCAAAATGAGTTAATGACCAAGAAAAGGCATTTTGATCTCTTTGCCATTAAAACAAAACAAAACAAAACAAAACAAAACACAACTTCTCTCTGAAATGAGCTCCTCCACTCCAGGCAGTGATTTGACCTGCTGGTGTGGTTATTGTTCCGAGGGATTGAGGCAACGTTCACTTTGCAAATGTTTAACAAAGACCTGTTACGGGTCAAGCTCTGACCTAGAGGCTAGGGGAAGGAGGAGACGCTGTGCACCCTGGGGTCTTTCCATCCCCTCGGAGGAAGCTGAGACTTAGGTCAAAGCTGAGCATGCCGGCAGGGCTGGCCCTGGGAGCAGCTGACAGTGCCACCCGCCGTGAGGACATGAATCTGTTTCTAAATTCTTTTTTTTCCTAATTTAATTATTTTTGCAAGTACACAGAGCACCTTTCATTCTACACAATAAGGAATTACAAAGATTTAATTTCAAGTTGATTTGGAGTTTTAAATATGACTTCTTGTATAGAAATTGTGGGAAAAGATACAACTAATTATCTTTAGCATGCCATAGAAAACAGCATCGTTAGGGAGGTGGACTCCACTAAGGATTCCACGTGATAATTCTACATTAGGGAGTAGGCAGTGTGCATAAATAAAGCTGTGCTAAAGCTTGAAAATGATCTCAAACTGCCTACACCTAAAAACGTCATTTTTCTCAAATTGGCTATACAAAAGCCCTTACAGTGAAGGGAGGGCCAGGAGGAAACATGTATTTCAAACTCCAGGCCTTCGTTTACCTGCCCGTGCAATTGGTGGGCACCCTTTGTGAAGGCTACACCAGGAGAAGTGGCGTTGGCAAGTTTCAGGGCCGCCGCCTGACACCAGAATCCAGGCTGGCTCCAGCATGATTATCTCAGGAGAAGAATCGACTCTCTAAAGTGAGGGGCAAGGTGCCACGACACTTCCAATTAGGTTGATATGATTTTCATTTGGTGATTTTTTTAGGTCACTTCATGAAAAATGTGACATTTTGAACTGAAAATAATTTGAAAAGATTTAAAGATGAAACAGGTAAAGATTAAAGTTCCAGGTTAACATGAATAGAATAATGATAAAACTTATAATTTGATTGTAGTAATGCTCTGAGCATTATTTTAGTGGTTCCTTATAAGAATCCTACGAAGTAGAGGCTTCCACAGATATTTAATAGAAGAAGTTGGCTCGGAAGTTGCGACTCCCAGGAGTGCCCAGTGACAAGGAGGCGTCACCCAAACCTAGTTCTTTTGTCCCTAAAGGCAGGGTGAATTTTTTTTTCTACACAGGACAGTCTCTTTGGGAATAAAGGATGAAAACATAGCATTTGTGAAGAAAAAAAAGAATACTTCTAAGAAAGTCGTAAGAGGCATATGAATGTGGAAGGAATTGAAAAAGAGAGACACTGAAAGTTCTGAGGTGAAAATTTAACTGAAGATTTACAGCCAAGAAGAAAGGGATAAACCCATCCCTGGTGACAATCCCAGAGGCTCGCAGAAGAGCCGGTCAGCACAGCCTCCTCCGGATAGGTTCCATCTGTCGGGGGCTCCCGGCCTCACATCTAGCACCCAGCACAATGGCAAGCAAGTAATAGGATCAAATGCTTGTTAAATAGATCAATGAATGCAAGAATTAATTCACTTCATGGCTTAATCACCACAGATTGTCCTAGATAGGGCTGGATAGGGCTTGACCATTTCAGCAAAACTCTTATAGTACAATTATGTTTCATTGAATTCTATGAAAATCCAATTAAATATGTTCGGATAACAATGAAAGAAATAAGGGAAGGCAGAAAGGGAGGAAGAAAGGAACAAAGGAATTAAGGGAGGAAGAAAGGAAGGGAGGGAGAGAAGGAAGCGGGGAAAGGAGGAAGGGAAGAAGGGAGGAGGGGAGGAAGGGAGGGAAGGAGGGAAGGAGGAAGGGAGAGAAGGAAGGAAAGGAGAGAAGGGAACAGGGAATGTGCCAGGCAGTTCTACCACCTATCACTCTTCCAATTAATCAATTTGTGTTCTGGAGTGAGTGCAGGATGGTAGGAAAAAACCTGTAATATATATAAAAGAACAGGCAAGACTAAGGCATATGAATTATAGAGACACGTTTTAGAGAATTGTAAAAGCATTGTGATAATTTAGAACTGGCCTTATCCTGGGCCCACGCTGAGTTAGGTCACTCGTGGTGGCAAATGCTGGTGTGTTTATCGGGCTGGGTGTGCGCCCAGGGACCTGGTGCTGCCATATTGTGAAATCATAACAGAGTCTTCCACACCAAGAAGATTTTAGGATTCAGTGATGCCAGGCAGCCATTTTTGCAGACCTGTTGGATTTCTTTCACATTTTACCTTTCGCTTATTTGTTACGTTATTTTCATTGTAAGTGTTTACGGCAGCCAGTGTTTCTGATCTCATGCGTCCTCTCCTCCCTTTCCCAGGCGGCGCTCCATGCGAGTTGTGGCCACCGCAGTACCCCAGCAAAGGCGGGGATCTGATGGGTCAGGTCTCGGCGCTGGACGGAAGGCTGCTGCTCTGGTTTGATCTGGTGGGGCAGGCCGGTGGGGCGGGTGGGATCTGGTGGGGCAGGTCTTGGCGCGAGACCAAAGGCTGCTGCTGTGGGATCTGCGGGTCTGGGCGCAGCTTTTACACGCGTGTTCCTCGGGGCCTCCGCAGGCAGTGGACTGTGTCCTTCACCAATGTTGACTGAAAACCAGTATGAGGTTCTAGGTTCAGCATGGGGGTCGCAACATGTCTGTAATCTTGCCAGCGTCTCCTAATCCAAATGCTTAGCAGGAAGCAGTGTTCTCCTTTTCTGAAGAAGGACAAATTCCTGAAAAAACGTGGCGCAGCCGCTGGCGCCGCCTCCCCCGCTGGCGCCACGAATTGGGCATCTCCACAGCCGCAGCGCCGCCTCAGCGCAGCCTCATTTCCGTCAAAGCTCGGTGAAAAGCTGTTTGCGTGTGTTGAGCCCAACCCGTGTATGAGCTAAATTGTTGAGGGAGAGTAGTCACTGGACAACATTTACTGAAAAGACCACATACGAATTATTTGTCATTGTATTAAATACACCACTCAGAGAATTCTGGCATGTCTCCCCTGCGTCAGTCATTTATGGAGAAGCTTGATTCCCGCGCCCCGTGATTCTGGCGTCCCTTGATTCCGGCACCCTGTGATTCCCGCGTCCCGTGATTCCCGCGTCCCGTGATTCCCGCGTCCCGTGATTCCCGCGTCCCGTGATTCCCGCGTCCCGTGATTCCTGCGTCCCGTGATTCCCGCGTCCTGTGATTCTGGCACCTTGATTCTCGCGCCGTGGTTGGATGTGTGGCTGTGCTACCCCGAGCGCCCCGAGCCAGCTCTTCCTCTTCAGACGCCCCTGAGATCCCCAGCCCTGTGGTGGGCGCCTTACCCAGTCTCCTGGCGCCACAGTGGCAAGGGCCTCCTGCCCACCGCCCCAAACTTTTGCCATTTTGTGCTGAAATACCATCAACTTCGCCTCCCCAGAGATCTATTCCAGAAAAACATGTGCTATTGTAAATAACACAGGAAAGACATTTTTTGAAAAAAATATAAATAAAACAATTCCTACCATGAAGGCCTCCTACTGTAAGTTTAATCATTAGAAGACATCATCAAAACAACAACAAACAAAACTTGTTCCTTAGCCGATTTTCCCTTTCTTGAACTGGACATTAGCATAGACATCCAAACAGCTGGTTTTAACTTTTGTTATTTTTCCCAACTCATTTCCTGTTGAATAGTAAACTGAATATTTTAAAGAAGAAGAAAAACAAGAAGCCTGACCAATGAATGTATTTAAAAACTAATTGGCTATTTAGACTATTTTAGCTTTTGGTACATGAATTTCCTTATGGCATTTTGTATATATATATCTCCAAAGCAAAGAAAAATAGTAAGTTCTGTGTTTTTGCAAATGAGAACACTGGTGAACACTTTGCACATGCCTGAATAACCAGATTGTTATGATCACCCATACCTATTGTACTTTGCTTCTCTGTAAATCTCAGAAGACTGAATCAGAATTAATAGAAGAAAACCTGAGACGTCATCTTGACCAGATTCCCAGTTCTCAAAGGGACCGTGCCCAATTCCTCCATAAACATGATGATCAGCACACGCACACACACACAATACACAGGCACACACACATGTGCACATGCACACACACACAATACACAGATACACATGCACACATACTGAAACAGTGACACACAGGGACACACAGATACACACACATACCTAATCACACACATGCAGATACACAGATGAACAGAAACACAAACACTTTTATGATTCCAAGGCCTGTTTATCAAACATCCATGGGTGGCCCTGAGATGCCTCTGAGGCAGGTGCAGTATAGACCCCAAGCCTGGGAGCCTGCAGGCAGTGTGCACACCAGGAGACCCCAGGTGGACGTGGACAACGCGGGACCATGCTGAATCCTAGATGCTGTAATCACAGGTGGCAGAGAGGATCTGGCATCTCAGCACCTGGTCTCCCGCCAGGCACTATGCTGCAGACCTCTATTTTATTCCCAAACCTCTATGTCCGTCTGTGGAGAAGGGACGTGGTGTTGAAATGCTGCTGTGACAGTGAATGTCCAGTTAGAAAGCGCTGTCTTCACCAGCCTCTGAGGGCAGGGAGGAGGGCTCCGAATTACCCCAGAAATTCAGTCACCAGTGCACTGGGGGAGGTATGTTCAGCAGACGTTGAAACCTGGAAACATAATTTTTTTCCATGACTCTGGGAATATGATTAATAATCAAATGAGTTCCTTCTACACATAAGACTTCAACTCTATCCCCGGGAATACTGTGGGAATTCAGCGAAGGGGAAAAGTACTTTGATTGTTTGAAAGCATCTGAGGAGCTGCAGTTCCCAGCACTTTGTCCATCTCCAGCCTGAGTTTAAGAAGGGGGACTTGTCAGGCTCTGAGCTTCACGCATCTTCCGGACATCTGACTCGGTTGTAGTTCCCTCCATGGCCACACAGCATCAGCTCTCTGGATAAAGGAAAAAGGTCTTCAGGGAAGCAAAAGCTCCATGACCTTTTGAAGTCCTTTGCAACTGAGGGAACTTAAACCTCTAAAGGGGACATTATTGGAACAGAACCAGCCACAATCAAAAACTACCATCTCCAGAGAAAATAGACTTTTTTTTTGCACTAAGAATACATCTCTGGTTTAAACAGGTTGGACAATTGTGAGGCATTCTTCACTGAGACCAGAGTAGTTTATTTCTATTTCGGCTCAATAGCAAAATGCTACAAAGTAGCAAAGTGATCCCACCTTGTCGTACCAGTATTTTAGAAATGGGACTACAAAAGTAATCTGTGGGTGACTTTCTTAGGAAAATTAGGATTTTATATCTTATATTACGAACGCTTATTTATAGATTTTATTTCCATAAGATTGTAACTCCTTGAGGGTTTGAAACTTGCTTTGACCAGCTCTGAATTTCTAGAATCTGGCATTATGCTAAAACATGAAGGGCAGCTTCAGTAACTGTGCCACACATACAGGAGTCATTCTTCTTGGCTGACCAGGGTGTTTTCCATTATGTTCTTTGCAAGATTGCAAGTATCAGACTTAATAAAAGTGGGATACTGCTGGCTTAGGCAAAGACTGGCATGGGTGGAAGAGGAAGCCCCCGTCACAGCCCCGCTCCCCTCCACTAGGCAGCTGGCCCTCAGGGGTCAGGTCAGCCTCCAAATTCAGTCCATTGTTTTCTGGCCAGTGACCATGGGCACATTATTTAAGCTCTCTGTGCCCCAAGTGTCCAGCTATGATGAAAAGGTGACAGAGTAGCTCACAGGATTCAGGGGACAAGAAGAAAGGGTGAGCAAGGCTTGGCGAAGATTGGATGCAGCCATGGCCCTTGGCACAGCAGCAGCCCTAAAATCCACCCACAATGTGAACGGCTTTTGTGTTTGTTTTTGACGGAGTTTCGCTTTTGTCGCCTATGCTGGAGTGCAATGGTGCAGTCTCGGCTCACTGCAACCTCTGCCTCCTGGGTTCAAGCAATTCTCCTGCCTCAACCTCCCGAGTAGCTGGGATTACAGGCATCCGCCACCAAGCCCGGCTAATTTTTGTAATTTTAATGGAGATGGGGTTTCATCATGTTGGCCAGGCTGGTCTCAAACTCCTAACTTTAGGTGATCTGCCCGCCTCAACCTCCCAAAGTGCTGGGATTACAGATGTGAGCCAACGCGCCTGCCTGTCAACAGCTTTAAATGCCATTGTTATTGCGTCAGTCCCCACACATCACACACATAGCAAACTCAACCCGCCAACATCCTGAGCATCAATCAGGTGAACCCGTTGGTGCTGACCCTGTGAGGCATTTGGAGATAAAGATAAGTGTAACACAGGAAACCTGGTCGGTCACAGGGATAAATGCCAGTGCTGGAGGTGGACACATATGTGGGGCACCAAGGGGGGTCCTGCACAGGCAGCCAGTAGATGGTGCATGGCGACTCTAGTGCTTGAGCAGGGCTTAAACGCTGAGGCATCTAAGCAGGTGTAGAAGAGCCAGGTAAGGGCAGTTGTGCCAGAGGAAACAATGCAAGGGAACAGTATAGGGCAGGAAAGCTGAGTTTTTGGTTGTTTCATTACGACATGTTCAGCTGTAGAATGCCCAGGTAATAATAACTACTATTCTTAATGCCTAGTATGAGCCATGCAAGTCTCACACTCTCTTCTTTAATCCTGATGACAACCTTAAGCAAGGGTATTTATTTTTATTTTTATCTTTCAGATGAGTTAAATCAGGTGCAGAGAGAGTAAAGGATATCTTTAAGCAAAGGTCAAGCGTGGACTCCCACCTGGCTTTGCTTGCTCTCTCCTCTGTCTACCCAAATCCTCTGCAGGGTCCAGTCCTTCCCCTACAACCTCCCATCTGCTGGCAGTGGAGATCCCCTCCTGAGTCTCCTCCCATTGGTGCAGAATAAGTCTACACTTGGTCATAACTCATGTGCAGATGGATTGATTTTTATTTCGTGTATAAAGTGTACACGTATAGGATTAAATGCTGACTCTGGAACATGGCAAGTTACGTAAACTTTAGGAGTCTCTGTTTAGTTTTTTTCCATGATGTTAATTCCACAAGGCTTTCATAAGGAGCGTATGGACACATACGGCACACCTGCACGCACCCACACATGCTCACACACACAAATGCAGACATGTACACTCATGCACGCACCCACAGATGCTCACACACACAAATGCAGACATGTACACACATGCATGCACCCACGCATGCTCACACACACACATGCAGACATGTACACACATGCATGCACCCACACATGCTCACACACACAAATGCCAACATGTACATGCATGCACGCACCCACACATGTTCACACACAGGCACACGTGCATGCACGTACACAAGTGTGCATCACACACACACATGCAGGCACACACATGCCCATGCACTTTAATGCCGTCAGTCAACACCAGGCCATTTCTCTCTTCTTCCCCAGGCAAAATAACTTGATGATTAGCCAATTAGCAGAAATTGAAGACCTAGCAGGATTATCTCTGGCTTAATTTGACCTATAGGAATTTGTCCCTACACCTTGTGTGAACACACCTGGCTTTTAGAAAGGATTTGCTGAGGGAACAAGCTCAGCCTGACACCCCTTCCTGTTGCCCTGGCATGGTTTCCAGGTCTTCCTTCTCGTGAGCCCCAGGCCGACGGAGCAGCAGCAGCTGAAATTGTGATCAGATGACAGAACTGCTAGGTGAACTGACCTGGGAACATCTTTCTTATTATGCAGTTGTCAGGTTGAGCAATTTCAGGACCCAAGTCTTCCAACACAGGCCTCATTAGTTGGAGAGTTTGCCTCATGGAACTACTTAAAAAAACACATGCGAGCTGCTGTGAGCCCCCAAGTAGGTATCACATCCAGCCACACTCCCCGAGTTACTGCAGCCTTTCTGGACGTGGGGCAGCCCTCTGCAAGCAGATCTGATGGTTAATTGGGGGATTGTGGCCATAGGCACCATTGAGCCAGGGGTTTGCACATGAGCCTTCGTCAAGTCAAGAAGCAACATTTTCATTTCACAGAGCGGCTGCCCCATGGATGGACCTCAGAGACTGTGGGCATTTGGTACCCAGATGTTTGGCAATTTTCCCATTTACAAGGAAAAAAAAAAAACAGATGAAAGCCTCTCTAAGGAAAATGTCCAGCCTTATTACAGAAAAAGATGAGCATTTTTCTTAGCAAGCTCATCATTAGAAAGAATTTTTGAAAGCAGCTGTGTGCCCATAGAATGAAGCTCAATGGAATCCTGTTTCTCCACAGATCACAGCAGCGGGGCTGACGGGCCAAGTCAGTCTCCTGATCCCTCTCCTCTCAAATCCTCACTGAAACAAGCTCCAGATCTAATCTTGTTGCTCATAATTCATGAATAATATTATGGCTTTGAGTTCGAATTCTTCTTGCCAAATCTTTGCTTACCTTGTTTCCTCATGCAAATGCTGATGACTCACGTTTGGAACCTTGTGCTTATGGGATGCCAGTGTAGGTGTGAAGCAGGACCCTGAGCCACGCGGAGCAGGAGGATGGACGTCCATCAGGGGAAGCGGGGGGCGCGAGAAGAGGCAGCCACACTTTGAAAATATCAAACCTGATGAAGGCAGGCAGTGGTTTTTTAAAAATTGACAAAACTCCACTTTCATCAACGTTCATTGAAACAGGAAGCAGGTGGTGCAAGCCACAGCCAGAAACCGGGGGCTCCTGTGTGATTTCACCTCTCATTAAAACTATACTCCATCACCTCTGCAAAAAAAAGGTGGGTGCTCTTCTCGCTATTAAAAATCAGAAAGTCAACTTACGGAATTCTTTAAGAGGTGGCAAAGACGAAACCTCTGTTTTGTAAAATCCTTTAGTCCTGCGCCCCCTCCCTGGCCCCGTGTCCTGAGTCCGGCCCTCGGCATCTCTCCATGCTCTCACTCTTGGCAAGGCCACGCTCATCCACACAGTTCACTTCTAATTCTAAGAACTTGACACACTGACGTGAACCAAACGGAGGAACCTGTCTCCCCTGACTGAACTGGCACCAACCAAAAGAGACACAAAGAATTTGACCGATACAAAAATGTAGGTGCATTAGCGACACGCACGCACAAGCAGGAATATAAACCAAGAAAGGGCACAGTGGGGAGGGCGGCTTCTGAGAGGCTGCGGGATGGAGGGGCTATGAGGACAGACAGGCTGGGACGTGATCTCAAGGCACAAGGTCAAGGGGCTGCCAGTGCTGCTGGGAGTCAGAAACGCGAGTTCGGAGCCAGCACGAGGGGTCAGGACTGAAGACGTCCTTCTGGGATCAGCAGAGCTCGGGTGAGGCCAGACGCTGGGCAGGAGAAGAGGGGAAGCGTGGGTCTGAGCGCCGGGCCTCAAACGCTACCCCGGGAGGCCAGGACCACGACGAGACGCGGGGCAGGAGATGCATGAATCGGGGCAGGCAGGACCGTTTCCAGGGCAGGGCGTCCACCCGTCAGATAAACACCGAAGTTTCCTGTGGGATTTGGCATCATGCGGCTCTTCATGAAACTGACAAGAGCAGTTTCAGGGGAGCTCTGGGGTCAAAGGCTCCTGCGAAGGGCAGGAGAGAGAATAGGGGCAGCATTTTTTCCTTGGTGCAGCTTTTGCCATAAGCAGCAGGAAAACGGGGAGTGGTTGGATAAAAAGCAAAAATTTTATTTTTCTTTTAAAGACAAGAAACATAATGGTAAGTTTGTGGATGGGAATCAAGCAGGAAGGAGAAACTGAAGATTCAGGAAACAGGGAGCCTGTTGACATCCCCAAGCAGATGGGGGGTGGTTTGCTGCCCTGGGCATGGAAGGTGGGGATGTGGAGGAGGAGCGGGTACAGGGGAGGGCTGCGTCTGGGGAAGTCCTCTCAGGAGGCTGTGATTTCTTCAGTGAAAACAGAAGCCAGTCCTCCGCTGAGAGCGGGGATGGGGAAGAGCTGGAGGCCTGGAGAGAGGAGAGAAGGCCTGAACTCTTCTTCTGGGAGACCGGAGGAAGCCGGTTTCCCCCTGCAAGGTGCTGCCCACGGTCCTGGGCGTCAACAGCCGCTCGGCCTCCTGTAGCTTCTCACCATCGATGCTCAGGATGCTCAGGTGACTGGGAACAGTCGCAAAATAGAGAGAGTGAATTTCCTCAGGAGGAGGATTAGCCATCCGGATGTGCGAGGGGCTGAGGGCGCAGGAAGGAAAGCAGTGCTGAGAGGCGTTCAACCGGGTGGGGAGGGTGGCAAGGTCATGGTAGCCGAGACATGGGGGAAGGGACCAGGGATAGGAGGCCCAGGACTCCATGTGGAGTGGCCTCTGGGGCCGGGCATCGCCAGGGGCCTCTGTCTTGCTTCCCCACCTTCTGCCCTCCAGCCTGGGGATCCCGGTGGCTGCCGCCACCTCCTGCCACCTCTGCCATCACTTTTCACGGACCCCCAGCTCCAGCCTTTCAGTTCCTGTGTCCGTGTGGGACGGTGCAATAGTTCCTGTGTCCGCGTGGGACGGTGCCATAGTTCCTGTGTCCGCGTGGGACGGTGCCATAGTTCCTGTGTCCGCGTGGGACGGTGCCATAGTTCCTGTGTCCGCGTGGGACGGTGCCATAGTTCCTGTGTCCGCGTGGGACGGTGCCATAGTTCCTGTGTCCGCGTGGGACGGTGCCATAGTTCCTGTGTCCGCGTGGGACGGTGCCATAGTTCCTGTGTCCGCGTGGGACGGTGCCATAGTTCCTGTGTCCGCGTGGGACGGTGCCATAGTTCCTGTGTCCGCGTGGGACGGTGCCATAGTTCCTGTGTCCGCGTGGGACGGTGCCATAGTTCCTGTGTCCGCGTGGGACGGTGCCATAGTTCCTGTGTCCGCGTGGGACGGTGCCATAGTTCCTGTGTCCGCGTGGGACGGTGCCATAGTTCCTGTGTCCGCGTGGGACGGTGCCATAGTTCCTGTGTCCGCGTGGGACGGTGCCATAGTTCCTGTGTCCGCGTGGGACGGTGCCATAGTTCCTGTGTCCGCGTGGGACGGTGCCATAGTTCCTGTGTCCGCGTGGGACGGTGCCATAGTTCCTGTGTCCGCGTGGGACGGTGGAATAGTTCCTGTGTCCGCGTGGGACGGTGGAATAGTTCCTGTGTCTGTATGGGATGGTGTAATAGTTCCTGTGTCCGTGTGGGATGGTAGAATAGTTCCTGTGTCCGTGTGGGATGGTATAATAATCCTCACAATCTTCCTGGTTAACATTCTCACCCTTTGCTTTTTCCGCGTGAGAACTTTCACGTACCACGTGTTTAACCAGTTTTTAAATGTTCCACATTGTATTTATCTGAAATGCAATCATTGCTCTAGGGTTTCTTGAGGCCCAGTGTGAGATATCAGCATTTTAATTCCCATGAAGAGAAAAGCCCTCCTTCTCTGAGAAAGAGGGAGAGGTGGAGGAAGAGGCGAGGAGAAGAGAAAGGGGGAGCAGGGACGGAGGAGGCCGGAAGGCCGGTGCACCCCCGTCCAGCACACACAGCGGCTCCCTGGTTAATTCAGGACACGCTGCTGCCAGGGATCAATTATCATCACAGCTACTTTAACATTTATTGATTCTTTATAAAGCAACTGACTGACTCAAGAAACATAAAAGTTTTACCAACTTAATGTTCCAGAGATGAAACCATATCACCCCAGGATGAAATTCAGGCATAGAGAAGCTTGTCTTGGCCACGTTACCCGGGAGGCCACCAGGCATGCCATGAAACTTTGTTGTCATTTAAAAGAATGTAAATCAGAGCACCCCTGCGAGGCACATGCTGTGCTGGGGGAAGGAAATATAAGGCAGGTAGTATTCCTGCCCTCAGAGGATACAGTATCTCATTAATTTCCCATTATTGTAAGTGTAGTCAAAGAATCTCCTCATGCCAACAGTGTATGAGCATTCCTTTTTCTCCACAACCTCGCCACCATCTGTTAGTTTTTGACTTTTTAATAATAGCCATTGTGATTGGTGATAGATGGTATCTCATTATGGTTTTGATTGGAAGTGTTTTGATTGGAGTGTGGCGATTCCTCAAAGACCTAAACACAGAACTACCATTCAACCCAGCAATCCCATTACTGGATATATATCCAAAGAAATATTAATCATTCTATTGTAAAGACATACACATGAGTACGTTCATTGCAGCACTATTCACAATAGCAAAGACATGCAATTAACCTAAATGCCCATCAATGGTAGACTGGGTAAAGAAAATGTGGTACATATGCACCATGGAATACTCTACAGCCATAAAAAGAGAATGAGATCATGTCCTTTGCAGGGACATAGATGGAGCTGGAGGCTATTATCCTCAGCAAACTAATGCAGGAACAGAAAACCAAACACTGCATGTTCTCACTTATAAGTGAGAGCTAAGTGATGAAAACACACGGACACATAGAGGGGAACAACACACACTGGAGCCTATTGGAGGTTGGAGGGTGGGAGGAGGGAGAGGATCAGGAAAAATAATTAATGGGTAATAGGCTCAATACCTGGGTGATGAAATAACCAGTACAACAAACCTCCATGATACATGTTTATTTATGTAACAAACCCTATCCCTGAACTGAAAATAACAGTTAAAAAAAAAAAAAAAAAGAATGTCCTTGGGTCACTCTGGTAAGCAATGGTGCCTTCCGTGCTGAGCCCAAGCTACGTGGCCTCCCATTGGTGACCCAGGCTCTCTGGGGCCTTTCCTACCACTGCCCCTTGTCTTTCCTGAACTCTTATCCTGATGTGATGATGACATTGCCTCTGGGTCTGAGCTCCGTCCTGACGTGATGATGTCATTGCCTCTGGGTCTGAGCTCTATCCTGACATGATGATGTCATTGCCTCTGGGTCTGAGCCTTACTTCAGCAGTTCCTTCTCTAACCCTGTAATGGCTTCTCTTTGCCTAGACTTTAAATGCCCCTCTTCAGAAAGGATCAATCTATCATGTTCTTTGCTTCAACCTCTATAATTGCCCCTGGATGACTCATCTTGGGATGAATAATATTATTAAATTTTTAGCTCAGGCCTCCCTCCTGAGTCCCGCTCTGTGCAGCAGTCACTGCGTATTTGCGCATTCATCATTGTCATCATCACCACTGACGTCAGCACCATCACTGACACTTTACACGGCTTAAAGCATTTTAAGTTTTAAACTCATGTGTGGCCATTACCTCATTGTATCCACCTAAAACTTCCATGAGTTAGATACTCTT
Source organism: Homo sapiens (assembly GCF_000001405.40). NCBI lineage: Eukaryota > Metazoa > Chordata > Mammalia > Primates > Hominidae > Homo > Homo sapiens. Next base: position 493,078 of record NC_000002.12, on the reverse strand, counting down.
TCCACTTGACTTTTCCAATCAGCAAATGTTTATTTAGGGTGCTCTGTGATGGGGATGGAAAATATTAAATGACTATCCTGGGACACAGGGGATTCAATCTAGTTGAGAAGACAAACACACTTGCAGATAATTTTAATAGAGTGAAATATGTAGAAAGAGATTTCCAAAATGTTAGAACGTGGGTCCAGTGCAACTTGGTAGCAGGATACAAGGTGAGCCCTTCTGGGGACAAGCCTTAAAGCAATCAGGCATTACCCACGTGTGTAAACGGAGAAAGAAGTCATTCCACACAGATGCCAGCTCAGCGGCTTGGGGTGAGAAATGCCAAGTCGGGGCATTCTAGGTCGTCTGAAGTTCACAGAACATAAAGTTCAAGGCATGGACGGCCATTTGTGGGGCTGGACAGAGGAGCATGGGGTATGTCAGGAAAGTTCGTGCTGCTAGGCAGAGGAACTGCAGCTTGTTGGCAGGTGAAGGGAGCCTGTTTAGCTGTGTCCAGCAACAACTTACGTGGTCCTGCTTGTGTTCCAGGTGAAGCGTCTGGCCGCCGAGCAGAGGGTGAGTTTTATCAGAACAAACCTGAAAGCCTAGAGTGCAGACAGAGGCTGCTGTGTAGCAGGAGATGATATCAGCTTGAGCCTGGGAGAGGGTGGAGGCAGCAAGGAGCGGGCGTCCCTGAGGCTCAGGAAGTGAGGCAGGAGGCTGTGATGACTGCACCGCAGAAGGTCCAGGGTGTGATGGGGAGCAGGGATGCAGGTGCTGAGAAGCCTCGACCGCACCGTGCGGGAGCACCAAGAGGTGCCCTGTGGGACGTCCGCTGGAAACTGGTCACTCATATGGGAGCCTCAGGGAGATGCCCAAGCCAGAATGAGGACATGAGAGTCCTCGGAGCAGGGCTGATGACTGAAACCCAGAGAGCTACAAGAGACATCAAAATCATTCACAGATGCAGCACAAAATCTAGAGTTAGGAAATCAGAAACCAGGTAAAAAATGGGCTTAATGAGGTTAAAAACAGAGGCAGGCATAAAGATATCGGAAGTGTCATTTCAGTGAGACAAATGGTATGAGCAAAGGTGGAAAGGGAAAAACCCAAGGAATGTCTGGGAGATAATAAGAAATTTAGACTGGATTAAAGATCTATAAAATATTATAAGGTAAAATATAAAGAATAATTAAACAGGACTTGATTAGACTTTACTATGTGAAAAGAGTAAACTGGTTTTAAGGAAATTAGTTACTTGTTCAAATTAGCATTTTAGACATAAAATATCCTGCACACATAGAAAATATATTTCAGAAGGGGAAGGGCAGAAGTCAGAACCCAATAAGGAGCCACGAGTGGAGGGGATCAGGTAGACGGGATCCACATCTGCAGAATCAGGGAATTAACTCAGATCCCACGGCCTCTCTCTCTATAGATACATGATAGAGAGATAGATAGATAGATATTTTAGATGGATATTTTAGATAGATGATAAGATAGATAGATGGATAGATAAATAGACAAGTAGATGATAGATAATACAGAAAGATTGATAGATGATTGATAGATGATAGATAGATGAAAGATAAATAGATAACAGTAGGCATATTACAGATGGATGACTGAATGGATGGGTGGATGGATACATACACAGACATGAATATAAATGTGAATGCAGCTATAAATATCAATAATGGAATGCGATACTGGCCTATGTATAATATATGTTATTTATTTGGAATAAACATGCAGTTGTTGCTGCTTCACATTCGTAGAATCAAGACCTGCTCATTCTTTCCTCGGGGGATCCATCCAGCAATGACATCATCTCATGCTGCCACAAGGACCCCAAGTCTGGGCTGCTGGGGACCAGCCACGCTCCCCACTGCTCATTCCTTCATCCTAGAGACATTCTGACTCTCCTCCGACTGCGCTGTGCACAGGTGTGACAAGCTCTTTTACATCTCAGTCTGCACAACTTCAGGCACTTAGCAGATTGATATGCATCCAACAAATATTGATTGAATATCTGCTAAATACCCAGTAATGTTTCATGAGTGATTGGGTGAATAAAGGAATGCTGGTTCCTTCTGGCCATATTAACTCCTGCACAATACTAAGAAAAATAAATTGCACTAGCTGTGGAATAATGTGAATCCCAATGTCATCTATTGAAATATTACCTGACTATTAAGAGGTATTTATTTTTGTATCTTTTCTAGCAAAGTAAATAAAATTCTTAATACAGCATATCCCCTTATTCACGGGGGGTATGTTCCAAGACCCCCGGTGGATGCCTGAAACTATGGATAATACCAGATCCTACATATACCGTGTGTTTCGTATGCATTCTTACATATGATAAAGTTTAATTTCCAAATCTGGCACCGTAAGAGCTTAATAACAATAACCAATAGTAAAATAGAATTATCGTGACAATGTGCTGTAATGAAAGCCATGTGACTCTGGCCTTCCTCTCTCTCAGCATATCCTATTGCACTGTGCTCACCCTTCTTCGTGGGGTGACATAAGGGGTTGTGATGCCCACGTGACGAGGTTCAGTGCGGTGAGTATTGCTGGCACTGTGACCTGGCTTGGCTGCAGCTGTCTCCCAAGGAGGCACAGAAGGAGGGTCCCTGCTTCCATCATACAGCCCTGGCGGTGCTGGTGGCTGACGTCAGGAGCAGGCGACGTGGATACCAGGTAGGAGCACAGACCGTGGGTCTGCTGGAGATGGGAGATCACGACCCGGGCAGAATGGAGCGAGATTTCATCATGCTACTCAGAACAGCACACAACTTAAAACTCGTGAATTGTTTATTTCTGGAATTTTTTATTTAATATTTTCCAACTGAACACAGAAGGGGAAACTGGATAAGAGGGGACGACTATAACTGCAAAGCCACCGTACACACTCAGCTGCAGCTCCTCAGCACCCGGGGGGCCACTGAGCTACATGGTAACCACCACGCAGCAGCCTCTTTAATTTGCACAGGCATGTGTGTGCACACACACATGCACACACAGATGCGCATACACACACGTGCACACACGGATCCACACGTGCCCACGCACACACACAGACACATACACACACATGCGCACACACACATTGTCTTTTCTTTGACAAATTGGTCAGTGTGAACTTGTGGACACTTAGCTGCACCAACCTGGAGTTACCCGTGAACCTGCAGATGCTGATGTCACCCGTTGGGGAAAAACATTTGGAATGGTCTGAATGTGGCAGGCCCTGCTGTGTTGGAGACAGAAGCCTTTCCACAAGGACCTTTCATGGACCGTTCCTTTAAAGTCACTTAGTCCTCACAACCACTTCATGCTGAACAACCTTCCCAATCTAACAGGGAGGAAACCCAGGCCAAATGTGTTTCCGTGATGTGTGCATAGATCCCCAGGGAGCAGTCACAATACGGGGTTCGGCCTCATCTGATTCCAGGGCTCACACTCTGTCCAGCACCCACGGTTTCTGCCCTTGAGGAGTTTCTTGTCTGAAATAAATATTACATTATGGACTGGAAAGCCACGTGACAGCATTAAATAAGAAAACTATGGGAGTCCTGAACCTCAGAAAAGGATTTTCATCGCAAAGATAATTTAAGTTGAATTGCGAGAGCATTGGAATGCACAGCTGATGGGTGTGATGAGGTCAGTGTGTGCAAAGTGGAGAAAGCGCTCGAGATGGGAAGGAAAGGAGGTCAGAGACCTCACAAATCGCGTCCCACCTAAGGGAAGGGGATGCATTCGCTGAGGCACGACTTGAAAGGCAGGTAGAACCACGTGACCTCACACTTGCAATCCACCAAACCTGACATGCGCCCTCCCTCTCTGCTGGACTCTGCCTGCCGCACTCTGCGTCCTCTTGCCGGCTTCCTCTCTCCCTCTCTAGAAACTAAGTGGTATGAGCACAGGCATCCTGAGGCCTGGCTCCTAGGAATACTCGGACACAGCGACACTTGCCCAATCTTTGGTGAATCAATGGATTTAAACTGCAGCAAATCCGGGGGAGGTCAGAGGAATTTTTTAAAGCAGGAGCAAAATATGAAAACATATGTTTTGCCTCAGTGAGGAGGGTGCCCGGAGCAGGGAGAGCCGCAGAGAGCAAGGGCATGTGAACAGCATGAGGGTCCTGGCTGAGGGACTCCAAGCTCAGTCCAGAGCCGCCCTCCCCCCGTTCCTAGCCTGCCCTCGGCACACAAGAGAGGCCTGAGGACTGCAGGTGTGTTTGCTACACCATTTTCCTGAGCTTGGAACCCTGGGGGATAATGAGAGAACTGAGACAGTGGATATTATTCTGTTTCCCTGTTCAGGCCATTTCTGGGTCAAAGACATTGTATTAGAAGGATTGCTTAAAAGTGTTTAACAAGCACTGAACCCAGGTCACCTAGCCCCAGCGTGTTCTCTGGGAACTGCGAGGGCAGGGTGGGTGGTGCTGCAGAGAGAATGAGTGTGGGGTCTGCAGAGGGAACGGGTGTGGGGTCTGCGGAGGGAACGGGTGTGGGGTCTGCGGAGGGAACGGGCGTGGGGTCTTCGGAGGGAACGGGCGTGGGGTCTGCGGAGGGAACGGGCGTGGGGTCTGCGGAGGGAACGGGCGTGGGGTCTTCGGAGGGAACGGGCGTGGGGTCTTCGGAGGGAACGGGCGTGGGGTCTGCGGAGGGAACGGGCGTGGGGTCTGCGGAGGGAACGGGCGTGCGGTCTGCGGAGGGAACGGGCGTGGGGTCTGCGGAGGGAACGGGCGTGGGGTCTGCGGAGGGAACGGGCGTGGGGTCTGCGGAGGGAACGGGCGTGGGGTCTTCGGAGGGAACGGGCGTGGGGTCTGCGGAGGGAACGGGCGTGGGGTCTGCGGAGGGAACGGGCGTGGGGTCTGCGGAGGGAACGGGCGTGCGGTCTGCGGAGGGAACGGGCGTGGGGTCTGCGGAGGGAACGGGCGTGGGGTCTTCGGAGGGAACGGGCGTGGGGTCTGCGGAGGGAACGGGCGTGGGGTCTGCGGAGGGAACGGGCGTGGGGTCTGCGGAGGGAACGGGCGTGGGGTCTGCGGAGGGAACGGGCGTGGGGTCTTCGGAGGGAACGGGCGTGGGGTCTGCGGAGGGAACGGGCGTGGGGTCTGCGGAGGGAACGGGTGTGGGGTCTTCGGAGGGAACGGGTGTGGGGTCTGCGGAGGGAACGGGTGTGGGGTCTGCGGAGGGAACCGGCGTGGGGTCTGCAGGTCTGGGCTCCTCCTCACTCCCTGTCAGTGGCTTTGCCCCCGGGGAGAGTCGCCTCAGGACCACTGCTGGTGGCATCTGCCCCACAGGGAGCTTTTGAACATCAAACGCACGGTGAAGGTTGGCAAACGCAGGGTGAGCGCCACGGTCATTGTCATCATACAGCAGAACCAGAACGAATGCGGTTCCACGTGCGCTCACACAGACACACTTACTGGTCTTCCAGGGTGAGGGGAGGTTGCATGTGCCTGGTCCACAGCCCCAATCACAGTGGCTTGAAACCACAGGTGCATATTTCTTGCTGTCCTGACAGTCAGGATGCATGTCCCACGTATGCTAGGAGCTACAGGCTTACCCCAGATCATGCCTGTGTGACCAGCAGGAAGAGAAAAGGAGAGACCATAAGGAAGCCACAGCTGCTTCTCAACTCTTCTGAACTGGATATAACAGACGTCACTCCTTTCTTCAGAGAGCATCAGTCTCATGGATCGCTGGATGCAAGCAGGGCTGTGAACGGTGGCCCCGGCTGGGCAGCTGCTCCCAGAAGAACAGGCTGCAGGGAGGCGGCCCACAGAGCTCTGTAAATAGGGCCCCACTGCTGCGATTCTGTCATTCCAAAAAAGATGAAGATGCATGAGCCACATTGTAGTGCATTAGGCAATCTCATAACTGAGTTACAATATTCAAAAACATTGCTGCAAATTAATTGATGTAATTATAAATTAAAAGTTTCTCAGTAGAAAATAAAAGTCTTTGCCATTTCTTCACATACTTCATGTCTTGCTGAAGTCTTATCATGTTCCCGCTGACCTAATGACTAAATTTAGACAATGCCTCCAAAAAGGTAAGTTCTCTGTCCAGATGCCTGCCATGTATTTGTTTATGAATGAGTGCCTTGAATGAGGAAATGATGACACTCATCAAATCTGAAACTTACAGAAATTTAGGAAAAGTAAGAATCTAAGTGGCAGAACCGAGACCTGACCGACCTGAACCAGCGGGCACAGTGGGGTGCGCCTAGGAAGATGGCAGTTAATATGGGGCAGCAGAAACCCTGCCATTTGGTTTCTAAAAACTGCTGCTGAATAGGTCTCCCACTCTCATTGGACTTGAGACAGGCACAGCAGGGCCACACAGCACCTGTTGGTGTCCAGCACAGCCAGCAAAACGCCACCCACACATTACCTGTCAGTGCCCAGCACAGTCGATGAGATGTGGGCCGCACAGCACCTATGGGTGTCCAGCACAGTCGGTGAGATGCCGGCTGCACACAGCACCTGTCGGTTTCCGGCACAGCTGGTGAGATGTTGGCCGCACACAGCACCTGTTGGTGTCCAGCACAGCCGGTGAGATGCCGGCTGCACACAGAGCACCTGTTGGTGTCCAGCACTGCTGGTGAGATGCCGTACCCAGCTGCCAACAGGGCAGTGTCTTAAGCCTCAGCAGCTGAAGTGCAGGCTCCAAGAAAGAAACCTCATGGCTTTATCATCATTTTTACTTTCCAGACATGAAATGTTCTATTCAGAAGGACTTTCCTGAAATCACACTGGCAAAAGAGGAGGCTGGGGGCAGGCGGGCCAGAGACCGAAGGTGGTGTCTCTGGATGAAGCCTCCACGCCTGCCTGGAGGGGACAGTGAAACTTCCATCAGCTTCCAGATTTTGCAAGATGTACCGTGGAAGAGAACTTGACCTGCTGTGCGTGGACCTAATAAATGGTGACACTGATGACCCAAATGAGTGACAGCTGTACGTCTCAAATCACCAAGGTTCATTGAGCCAGCGGGAGAGTGTGCCCAGGAAATCTGCATCACAGAAGCATCCACTGCCGTTTTTGCAGAGAGGTTCTTAGGAGACTTGGTATTCATACATTTTCCTCAGAAAAAGAAGTGGGGGCAACAGTGAAACAAATGAGTACATACTTGTGAGTCTTTAGCTAGTGCCCGCCAGTCTACGTTTGACCTAAGAGAAGGTGAACATTTGAGGAAAAGGGGAATAGAGGAAGCCCAGGTCTCGGGGCAGAAGGAGGGTTAACCTTGTTTCCTTTGCTCTGTATCTGGGAAGATCAGCCAGACTTGAAAAGGCTGTTTCTGCTCAGCCCTTGGGGAAGAAAATCTAAGGACTGTTAGTGAGGGATGGATATAATGGGGTGTGTCCTGTTGCCCCTGCCTTATGGCTCTGAGTTCAGCTGCCAGGGTTGCTTGGGGATCCCTGGCCCAAGAGGAAATCTGTTCAGTCAGCTGGGGGCTTAGGATTTCGGTTTTATTTCTCAATATAAAGGGTGAAGTTACTCAAAGCAAAGCATGACAGTGAACTTATCAGCAAATTCCCAATTGAGAAGATCTTAGTGTCACCTCCATTTTGGGAGACTTTGTTTTAAACTTCCTCTCTCCTACTCTCGCTGGACTTGATGTAGACTCTGATCATATTTTATTAATTTGCATTACATTATCATAATTCCGAGAGGCCCTCAGAAATGAAATATTCATAGAGAAAAATAACAGATCTAGACAAATAAATTAACACATTAAATTTTCGGTTAGTAGCTTTGCACTTTCTTTGTTATTATTCATCATTAGCTAATGTCCAAATATTAGGTTCTGTAGGCACGGGAATGTCAACGGCTCTGGTCAATTCCTTCCGGGAATATTGTCACTCCTTATTTTACTATTATGATGATGATGATGATTAGGACTAGTTACACTGAGCTTTTCACTTCTAACACATTCTCAAACCCATGAAAATTTAGTTCTTTAAAACTCTCCAGTCATAGAGACTTATTTTCTCCATCTTTAGTTCTCCATAACTTTGAGCTCAATATCTTATATCTGCTTTATAGAAAATTCATGTTTTGAAAGCATAATGAGTGCTCCCAAGTGGAAACCACCCTTCGGGTTCGCACTGTGAACCCCCAGGACACGCGCCATGAAGCGCCTGCAGTCTCAGCAGATGTGGTGCCAAGTCGGGCTCATTACCAGATTCCGAGAGCAGGCCGCCGCTGCCTTGTGCACGCAGACTTCACGCGAACTCTCCCACACACATTCCTCACACGGTTCACTTCCGTGTATGGTCCTACGTGTGGCTCGATTGAACTTGCAAATACCTCTTCTATCCACAAAACCAGGACATGAGTGGTTAGAGCAGTGTGAGAAAGGTCTGCCCCAGCCCCACGTCCTCACCCTGATGCACTGGGACATGGTCTGTGGGGCCTTTGCACATTGAGCCCCTTCCCAGAAAGCTTGTGCATCTTCATGGTCACAAAAATGACACAGTGACCACGTCTTTTTCCATTTCTATGAAAAATCAAGTTACAGGAACTTTGAATCAGTATCTGTTCCCCTCTGCCACGCATGGGAAGCGTGTCTCTGGGTGGCTGTGATTTGATTTTAGTCTCTGTGATGTAGGCCCCGGAGACTTGCTCATTCCTGGTGGGGGACCGGCATTAACGCAGGTGAGAAGTCCTCCTGGAACCCGGGGCAGACATCCACACCAGCTCCAGTGCCTGACCCAGGAAACGGCATCCCCTCTTCCAAGACATGTTCACATTATTCCACCACCTCTTCAATGCATGCATAGAAGGTATAAAACTTTTTCTGGCCTCACTGGACCTTACAAAAATAAAGCGACACACACTCATGCGTGTGTGACCTGTATCCACAAGATTGGCTCTCATTCAGCCCCCAGTTGCCACGGTCCACTTGCTATCTGGGTAGTTTTTGGTGCAGGTTTTCATAATAATGAAACAAAAATAATAAACCCATCATAACTGAAGTTTGCTCATGCCAATAAACTGTTCTAATATTGACACAACGTTCCTTTTTATCACTTGAAATCATTGAATATCTTGGGAACTGATAATGATGCATTATCCTCCTGTTTAATTCAGATAAACTAAGTTTTTAAGGTTAAGAGTTGGTGGCAAAGTGGCCAACACTAACTTCCAGGCCATTTCTCACTGCGCCACTATATATTTTCTCTCAGGTGTAAATTATGGTTGGTTTATGCCCTGACATGGTTTGGTTCTGTGTCCCCACCCAAATCTCATGTTGAATTGTTATCCCCAGTGTTGGAGGCAGGGCCTGGTGGGAGGTGATTGGATCATGGGTGTGGACATCCCCCTTGCTGTTCTGCTGACAATCAGTGAGTTCTCACAAGATCTGCTTCTTTCAAAATGTGTAGCACCTCTCGCTTTGCTCTCTTCCTCCTGCCCCACCATGTGAGATGTTCCTGCTTCCCTCGCCTTCTGCCATGATTGTAAGTTTCCCGAGGCCTCCCCAGCCATGCTTCCTGTGCAGCCTGTGGAACTGTGAGTCAATTAAACCTCTTTTCCTTCTAAATTACCCAGTCTCAGGTAGTACTTTATAGCAGTGCGAGAACAGACTAATGCATGCCCCCACCCCATAATGCATGCCTATGTAGTGAAAAATAAACTAAGTTGATTATAAAGATGGTATAAAAAGTGGACCTGATGCAATTAGTTGTGTCAAAATTCCTAAATGTGTGACATGTTGCATTACTTGAAACGAGTGTAAAACATCATAATAAACTTTATGTTTTTCACATTTTCTAATAGTTCAATTGAGTTATACTACTTTTTTCAGGTTTGTATGATTTCCTTATTTGGTATTTGTAATTCTCTTTGTTTTATAAAGTTGTTAAGTTAAACTAAATCTTATTCAATGGCATCTATCTTTCCCACACAGAAAATCTCAAAATCTTAAAACTAGAAGCAGCAATTACCCTTGAAATCACAATGTAAAGTCAGGCAAAAAATAGAAATAATGGTTGAATCTTCAAAAGCAGAATAGAGACTCCTGTCTCTTCTCTATTCCAACCGATGTCAGGAAGTTTCCTTTGGAGAGACTCAACCAGAGAGATTCCAGTCAAATGCTTGGCATGGCTAAGGGCTGAGGCGATCTGCAGTGCACAAACTTTGGGAACAGGTAAAGTCCTAAATTCAGAATGCTAAGGTCATGGGTTCCTCTCCTATTCTCTGCATCTAGAAAGCTATCAGCCAGAGAGGTAGCCAACCTGGCCCCCAGCACCCACACACAGCAACAGGAGAGTGAGAGTATCTGGAGTGGGAACGTTTCTCGAAAACATACTGACTATTAGGGTTCTCAAAAAAAAGGTGGGTCCCACAGGAGCATCTAAGCGTATAGTGCACAAACCCCACAGTGAGCTGGTGGTCATAATTTTCATAGCCTTACTCTGTAACATGATAACCAGGTGTTAGAAAAATACCTCTAAAATAAACAAAATAGATCAACAGAAAAAAATTTTCAGCAGAAATAGGAAGAGTAAAGAGAGCAGGAACAAAAAGGCTTCAAAAAGTGAAATCATAATAATATCCTCATCTAGATAGAAATGAACATTGCACATCTGAAACAAGAAGTCTGAGGAAACAACAAAAAGTCATTTTAAAAGTAAACCGACTTAAAACTAAAACTAACCAACTTAAAACTTCATAAAACTAAACCAAGTTGAATTTGTGCCTTTAATCAACAGATAATTTTTATAGTATAAGTATGCCCCATACAATAATTGGCCGTACTTACGCAAAAGCTAAGAATTATTTGTTGATTTTCTGAAATTCAGATTTAAGTGGGCATTCTGTATTTTTATTTGCTAAATCTGGCAACTCTACCTAAAACTAAAAACATAATAGTAGAAATGAAATAAAAATCAACAAAAAGATTAGAAAATAAAGTTGACGAGTTCTTCTGGAAATAGGAAAAATAGGTAAAGAAATAAAAACTGTAAGAGAAAAAAATAAGAAAATTAGATACCTGTTCAGGAAGCTCAATATTTAAATAACAGAATCCAGAAGGAAAGAACACAGGAAGCCCAGGATGGGAAGGGAACTGTTTTTACAGAAAACTTAAAAGCAAAAAGGTTCCCAGGACTAAAGGCCACACATTTCCAGATTTAAAAGACCCTCCAATGCCTTCAATAAAGAATAAAAAGGACTCGGATTGAAACAATCAGGGAATTTCAGGACATAAAGGAAAAAATAAGTAAGTTTTTTAACTTCCGAAGGAAAGCAGCAGGTAGCAGGTAAATGCTGGGAGGCAGAGGGCCTGGGATTCCAGCAGCAGGGGTGGGAGCTGAAGGGGCTGGAGCAGAGCCCCCACTTCCAGGAGGAACCCAGGGTTCTTCCTGCCAGTGGCTGGGCCATCTTTCAGCACCAGCTCCCTGCCCCGCGCTCCTCCCTCCCCTGCTCCAGGACGTGGGGCTCCGCCATTTCCCAGCCGGGCTCCTCAGAGGTGCTTCCGTGCAGGCACCGGAAGGAGGTGAGGAGGAACGCCCTGGTGTCCCCGTCAGATTTGTCCATAAAGGCTCCGACTCAGAGAACCGCTGGCTTCAGGTGTACCCGGCCGCCCTCCCTCCTTGCGGGTCTGAGCCCCTGCTCTGAATGATTCCCCGCTGAGCCTCTAGGCTCTGCAAGGCTCTGTGTCTGTTTGCCTGCATCGAATCCTTTCTGTGGAAATACCTGTTTCTATTTTCCTAACGGGAATCCAACATACTTAGTACTAACAGTTGATAGGTTTATGTGACTGTCTTGGCTATCTTCTTGTGGTTTGTGATACCTCATAATTTATTAACATATGAAGATAATTTTTAAAAAATTGGTGATCTGGTTTTGGAAATGTATTCTGTATAGTCCTTGAGTATCCGCTGGCTATGGGAACTGTTCTGGCTTTTCACATATGCTGTGTTCTCTATTTTTTACAAGATAATTTTCTTATACTAAATTTTTAGGTGAAAAATGCTAAGAATCCACAAAACTGGTCATTATGGGAAACATCAGATTGTTACAGCTGCTCTCAAGCTTCAAGGTGGATGTCTTATAGTTTTAGAAATAATAGCATACATTTAACAGGAACAAAAAAATCAGACCAAAGAGATACATAAAAGGGAAAAATAAGATTGGAAATGTTAATTTAAGTTTAAAAAAATAACCAGAGTTAATCAGCAAAAGATGTATCGTGAGATAGAGTCCTAACGGCAGGGCCGATTCAGGGTCTTCGGTAAAGTCTCGGAATGCCGTGGACTCATCAGCAAGACTTTCTTCATCATGGCATTAAACTCATCAGCCTATATTGACCTGATGCTGATAAATAATTTAAAGGATAATACCTCGTACTAGCTGTATATGAGTTCAATAAACTCAGGATTTAAACTTAGTGTCTCCAGGGAGAGACCGTGGTGACCCTCACATTGCATGTGTCTTGGCTGTGTGACTATTTTTATTGCAAATGTAGAAGAATACATTCTGAGCTCCGGAGGCAAAGTCCTGACCTGAGCTCATCTGTGGGTGCTTTGAGCTGCCTCCCCTCATTGCAGGTGCCAATGGGCTTTGAGACAACGTGGTGGAGGGACAGACCCAGAGCACTCTGGAAGGTCAGAGATGGTCACCCCAGAAAGTTCCCTCCTTGCTCCACCTGGGAGCAGGGAGCACCCTTTCATTTATGTGAAAACATTATTGTCTACACTTGTGCATATTTCACATAAATTTTAGAATCAAGTTTCATTAAAAAATCCTATTGGAGAATTGAAATTTTTAATGAATAGATTTGATAGTTTCAATTTAATTGATTTAGTAGTGCAATCTGGAAAGAATTGACAGCTTTAAAATGGTGAATTCATCTACCTAGTAAGGTTGTCTCTTTAGTTAGGCTTGACTTTTATGTTCTGAAGCTTATAATTTTACACAATCATGAACCTTGCATACTTCTTGATTCCCAGATATTTGGGGGGATTTTCTGGAAACAATTATATCTAACCTTTACAATTTCTAACTAAAAATTAATTGCCTGGTTAATGTTTTACTTTACCAATTTGTGCGCATGCCCAGATGGAGCGCATTGCCTGACCAGGTTGGAACGCAAGTACTGTGTGCTATTTCTTTTCGTTTGGACAAGTTCGCCCTGCAGAGTAATCATATTAGCTTCTGCCTGGAAGCTGAGTGGGGAAAGGAGAGTGCAGGTTTCACTTTTCAGTTTATAAACTTTCCCTCGTTCTCCACTTTCAGTTCGGAATGTTCACCTTCAGCTGTGCCGGAGTCCATCTCCTTCAGAGGTCCACAACCTCCACAGCCCATTGAAATCACACAGGAGCTTTAAAAATCTCAACACTCAGGCCACACACCAAGCCAATTAAGGGGAACCTCCAGGGTGGGATGCAGGCCCAGGCGGATTGTACAGCTCGCCAGGTGACCCACTGTCCTGACCCTTGATACTGGAAGTGTGAGACTCAGACGGATGCAGGGGTGTCCCCGGGGAGCTTATTAACCATGCATGTCTCTAGTTTCACAGACCTGTTAGATTGGAAGCTGCATTTTAACAAGCATCTCAATGCTCGTGAAAGTTTGAGAAGCACTTCTGGGCCTCCAGGCTTCTGCTGAGGTGGGCAGGGCTGGTGGCCAGGCTTTTGTGGTGGGAAAGGAACTCTGGGACATGAACATTTTCTCACACAGCAGCAGGTCCCAGACTTGAGGGAGCTTCAGAAGCACGTGCAAAGCTTTGGGCTCTACCCTCTGGAGTTTCTGACTCGGGGTTTAGCACGGGACCCATGCTGTGCATTGCTAAGGATTCCCAGGTGATGCCCTGCTGCTAGTTGGAGACTATACTTGGAGATACAGCATTCCACAGACTCGAGCAGCCTCCACTGCATTTTCAGCGGCATTCTCTGCTGTATTCAGCTTCAGCTGCATTCTCGGGTGCATTGACCTGCTCCCAGGCCTTTCTTGAGATGCCTTTGGGGAGACGCTGATTCCAGCCTTCCCTGCCGGTAGCCTGGCTTTTGGCTCTGCCTGGAGTGTTTCGTCCGCCATCACGCTTCCATCCATCTCCCTGCCTCCTGTATTTTGTTGTTTACATTTCATCTCTCTCATCTTCTTCTTTATCGTGGGTTTTATTTCTTTATTGTCATTTCAGTGGGATTTGGTCACAAAACAAAGACAAATCTGTTAAATTGCCTACAATGATTTTGAAATCCCTATTAGTTACTTTTTAACATTTGTGACAGCCATTAAATTCTGAGGTTATTCATTATATTGTCAAGCCCTGTTGTTTGCTGTATTCACTTTCCTTGGGTTTTAGCTCCTTTTCTAGTTAAATTTGATGCATTTTTTGTAAATAAAAGTTTATATTAAGATCATTGTAGATTTGCATGCTATTATATGTATAGAAAGAACTGGTGGACGCTTTATCAGTTTCTGCCATAGTTACATCCTGCAAAATTAAAGTACAAAATCACAACAAGGATAATGACATTGATAGAATTAAGAACAGCTCCGTCGCCACAAAGATCTCTCCTTTGGCAACCACCAATCACACTTCATCTCAATAATTTTGTTATATAATGCTATATAGCATTACATATTATATATGTATATGTGTATATGTATATGTATATGTATATCTTCTGTTTCAAGAGTGTTATATCAATGCAGTCATATGGTATGTGACTCTTGGGATTGGCTTTTTTTACTCAGGACAATTCCCTGCAGATTCGCCTAGGCTTTTGCAGCGTTAGGAGTCTGTTCTTGGTTTGCTGAGGAATCCACCGTGCAGTTACACCACAATTTAACCATCCTCCTATTAAAGGATGTCAGGGCTGTTTCCAGTCTGGGGCTATGAAGAACAAACCTGCTACAAGCATTCATTCACGTACAGGTTCTATGTGAACATGCTGTTTTATTTCTCTGTGATAAGTGCCAATTCTGGGTCCCATGGTAGTTCTAAGAAACTGCCAATCTACTTCCATGGTGGCTGCAACACTGAGACTCGTACCCGCCGTGGGTAAGCCATCGGTTCACCACACCCTCTGCAGATTGACTGTTGGCACTCTCTTCTTTTGGGCTTTCAGATGGGTGGACAGTAGCATCTGATTCATTATGGTTCTTTCTCTTTGTGTTTCTCTGGTGGCTGATGGACTTGAACATCACCGCACGTGTTTATTTGCCATCTGTCTGTCCTGCTCCATGAAATATCTGTTCATGTTTTTGGCCCATTCTCTAATTAGATCATGTGTTACCTTTCTGTTGGGTTTTGACAGCCCTTTTCTATTGCAGATTTGAGACCTTTGTTGGGTATGTGGTTTGCAAACATTCAGTCTGCAGCTTATTTTTCATCCTCCTAACAAGGGCTTTTGTAGAGAAAAAGTTTCAATTTGGAGTCCAATTTACCAATTTCTCTTTTTTTATGAATTGTGTTTCTCACGTCAAGTCTAAGAACTCGTTGCCTACCCCTAGATATTAAAGATTTCCTCCTATTTTTTTCTAAAAGTTTTACAATCTTACCTGTTACATAAGAGTCCATGATTCATTTTGAGTTAATTTTTAAAGTGTGAGATTTAGATTTATTTTCAACTCTCTGCGTTGTAAAGGCGAGTCTTCCTCTGATGCATGGCTTTTGCCCCTTGTTGAAAAGCATTGAGCATATTTGTGTGGTCACTTCTAGTTTCTCTGTTCTATTCCTTTGAGGTGCATGGGTAGTCCTGCACCAATACTATGCTGTCTTCATTAATGCAGCTACATGGTAGGACTTGAAATCTGAGAAAGTGATTTCTCCCACCTTGTTCTTCCTTTCAAATACCATTTCAGTCAACTCGGGGTCTGTGCCCTTCCATATTATGGTAGAATTAGCTTGTCTATATGTACAAAAACCCTGCTGGGATTTTGACAGGAATTGCATTAAACATAGAGAAACATTTTAGGATAATTGACATATTTATGCTATTGAACTTTCCTATCCATAAACAATATGTTTTTCACTTATTTAGGTCATTGATTTCTTTCAGCAGGAGTTTGTAATTCCGCATTCAGATGTTGTGCATGTTTTATTAAATTTACACCAATTATACCACTTTTGTAGTGATTGTGTAAATGTTCTTGTATTTTTAATTTCACTTCCATATGTTCATTGTTACTGTATAGAAATGTGATTGATTTTAGTGTGTTGAACTTGTATCTGTGACCTTACCAAAATCCCTTATGGGTTCTAGCAGGTTTTTTGTAGATTCTTAGGGATTTCACACATAGACAGTCATGCCATCTGCAAGTAGAAAGTTTTAATTTTTCCTTCCTGCATTAGTTTGCGAGGGCTGTCATACACAAGTACTACATTCTAGACAGCTTAGACAACAGAAATTTATTTTCTCAGAGTTATGGAGGTTGGAGGTCCTAGATCAAGGCCTCAGCAGGCATGGTCCTTCTGCAGGCTGCAATGGAAGGACCTGTTTCAGGACTTGCTCCTTGACTTGTGACCCCGTCTTTTCCCTGTGTCCTCACATCTTCCTTCCTCTGTGTCTGTCTGCATCCTAATCTCTTCACATAAGGACACCAGTCTACTGGGTTAGTGCCCACCCTGATGACCTCCATCTAAATTACTTACTGCAGTAAAGTCCCCCTTATTCTCAGTTTTGCTTTCTCAGAATTCATTTACCTGTGGCCAACCATGGTTGGAAAATATTAAATGAACAATTCCAGAATAAACAATTCCTAAGCTTTAGGTTGTGCGCTGTTCTGAGCAGTGTGATGAAATCTCCCACAGTCCCTCTCTGCTCCTCCCGAGATAGGCATTGTGTCTTTGTCTGGCATGTCCATGTGGTATACACCTCCCTCCCAGAAGTCACTTAGTAGCCATCATGGATCAAATAGAAAAATGGCAGTGTATATACGGTGTGGCTCCATCTGTGGTTCCAGACCTCCACTAGGAGTCTTGCAACACAGTCCTCCCTTGTGAGTGTGGGGGTGGAGGGAAGTGGTAGAGGGAGGTCAGTGTACCTCTGACAAGCCCCATCTCCAAATACAATCACATGCTGAGGTACTGGGGGTAGGAGTACAATGTGAATTTTGGGGGCACATAATTCAGCCCATGACACTTTCCAATCTGTGTGTTTTTATTTTTTTTTTCTTGACTAATTGCAGAGGCCAGGACTTTCAGCAAGTTGTGGACAGTGGTGAGAACCAATGGCCGTGCCACAATCTTGGTCTTGGAGGGGATGCGTTGGGTTCTCATGATCACATGCGATGCCAGCCCTGGATTTCTCAGATGCTCTTCACCAACCTGAGGGATCGTCATTGCCTGAGAAATTTTATAATGAATGGGTGTTGGGATTTGTCAAATGCTTTTTCTAAATCACTCCATAGAGCCACATATTTTCTTCAGTCTGTTTATATGGTGGATTACCTGGATTGATTTTTGAGTGTTGAACCAGCCTTGCATACCTGGGAAATGTACGATTTGATTGTAGTGTGCAGTAATTTTATGCATGGGTAGATTTGCTTTGCTAATATATTGTATGGAGTCTTTGCATCTAAGTTCATGAGTGATATCAGACTGTTGTTTTCATAAGTGAGGCTCATAAGAAGAATTAGAAAGTGTGCTTCTTTTATATTCTGAAAGAGATTATATAAAATTTACATTAATTCTTCTTTAAACATTTGCTAGTGTTTTTCAGGAACTCCATCTAGGTCTGAAGATTTTTGGGTGGGAGTTGTTAAATACAAATTAAATTTAAGAGGTTAAAGCTGTTCAGGTTATCTATTTCACCAGAAGTGAACTGCAGTAGTTTCTGTTTTTCAAGGAATGAGCCCACTTTATTTCAGTTGTTGAGTTTCTGTGTGTTTTTAAAATCCCTTATGATTCCTTTAACAGCTGCAGTACATTTATTGATTTCTCACTTTCATCACGATATTGATGATTTGGGTCTTTTTAAAAAAATATTTACTTGCTAAAGGTTTATCAATTTTACTGGTAATTTTCATCAGCTTTTTGGTTCACTGATTTCTCCATTTCCTATATTCAGTTTCATAGCTCTTTATTCTTATCTTTTTATCCTACCTATTGCTTGCTTTGGGTTTATTTTGCTCGTCTTTTCTGGTTGCTTTAAGTAAGAATTTAGATTATTGATTTAAAACCTTCCCACTTTCTAAAGCGAACACTTAGTGTTATACATCTCCCTCTCAGAACTGGCTTGCCTGCATATCCCCAATTTTGATATGTTGTATTTTAATTTTTACTTATTTTTACTTCCTTTGAGATTTTCTCTTTGACCCATGGATTATATGTAAGTAGATTGTTTAATTTTCAATTGTTTAAAGAGCTTCCTATTGTGTATCTCTTATTGACTTACAGTTTTATTCCATATTGGTCAAATAGTATACTCTGTCATTTCAATTCTCACAGGATATGGCCTACCATGGTTTATGTTCCGTGACCACTTGACAAACATGTGTATTCTTCTGTTGTTGAGTAGAAGGTTGATGTGGTTTGGATCTGTGTCCCCACCCAAATCTCATATTGAATTGTAATCCCCAGTGTTGGAGGTGGGGCCTGGTGAGAGGTGATTGGATCATAGAGACGGTTTCTCATGAATGGTTTAGCACCATCCCCTTGGTACTGTTCTGTTGATAGTGAGTTTTCAGGAGATCTGATTGTTTAAAAGTGTGTGGCACCTCCCCCGTCCCTCTCTCTCTTCATCTTTCTCTGGCTATGTGAAGTGCTGGCTCACCCTTCACCTTCCCTGCATTAGTCAAGATTCTCTAGAGGGACAGGACTAATAGGATATATACATATATATATATATATATATATATATATATATATATATATATATATATATATGCTTATTAAGACATATTAAACTCACACAGTCACAAGGTCCCACAAAAGGCTGTCTGCAGGCTGAAGAGCAAGGAAGCCAGTCCAAGTCCCAAAGCTGAAGAACTGATGTTCAAGGGTGGGAAGCATCAAGCACAGGAGAAAGATGTGGGCTGGGAGGCTAGGCCAGTCTAGCCTCTTCATGTTTTCCTGCCTGCTTTATATCCTGGCCGTGCTGGCAGCTGATTAGATCTTGCCCACCCAGATTAAGGGTGGGTCTGCCTTTCCCAGCCCACTGACTCAAATGTCAGTTTCCTTTGGCAATACCCTCACAGACACACCTTGGATCAATACTTTGCATCCTTCAATCCAATCAAGTTGACACTCTGTATAGACCATCACATTCTCCATGACTATAAGTTTCCTGAGGCCTCCCCAGAGGCCAAGTTGATACTAGCATTACACTTCCTGTAAAGGCTGCAGAACTGTGAGCCAATTAAACCTCTTTTCTTTGCAAATTGTTCAGTCTCAGGCTTTTCTCTATAGCCATGTGAGAATTGACTAATACAAAGGTTCTATATTATGCCAAGTAAATTCTGTTGAACAACTATGGTATTCAGTTCTTCTATCTCCTTACCAGTTTTCTGTTTAGTAGTTCTATCATTGCTGAGAGTGGAATGCTGAAGTCCTCAACTATAATTGTGGATATGCCAATTTCTCCTCTCAGGTTTATAACATTTTAATTGTGGTTAAAAAAACATAAAATTAATCATCTCTACCATTTTCAATTGTACAACTCAGTAATATTAAGTGTATTTACATTGTTATGCAACAAATCTCCAGAACTTTTCCATCTTGCAAAAGTAAAATTCTATATGCATTAAACAACAACAGCTCTATTAGTTTTTGCTTTATATATTTTGAAGCTCTATTGTTTGGTGCTTACATGTTTGTTGCGTATATCTTACAGGTGGACTAATACTTTTATAATAATGTAATGTTCCTCTTTGTCTCTAGTAATTTTCTTTGCTCTAAAGTATACCTTATCTAATATCAATTTAGCCACTTCTGCATTTTTAAAAAATTAACATTCCCTTTTCCATACTTTTACTTTCAACCTACCTATATTGTTGTATTTGAAGTGAGTTGCTTATAGACTGCCTATTGTTGGAACATATGTTTTTATCCACTCTGATAACTTCTCTTTTGATTGGTGTATTTAGGCCATTCACAATATGGGTATTTAGGATATTTTTAGGGCTTAATTCTACTATTTATCATTTGTCTGCTATTTATCATTTTCCTCTATTCTCCCTTTCTATATTTTTCTTTTCTTACCTTCCTTTTAGATAGTTGAGTCCCTTTGTGGGATTCTATTTTTAATTATTTATAGATTTTTGAGTATACAACTTGGTATAATTTTCTTTGTTGTTGCTGTAGGTATTACAATATACATACACAACTTATCACAGTTTAGAACACATGTTTAGGATGTTGAGTGAAGTATAGAAATCTTATTTCCACCTAAATCCCATTACTCTCCCCAAGTTTAAAATATAATTGTCCTAAACATTTCTTCCACATACATTAAACACCACCTTAGATAGTATAACATCTTACTTTAATTGTTAAAAGTGATTAAGAAACCCTTGAGAAACAGAGCAGTCTATTACATTTACTGGATTTAGAATTCTGGACAGACAGGTTTTTTTTCTCTTTTTATCTTTTTTAAATTTTTTTATTTTTTGAGACAGGGTCTCACTTTGTCACCCAGGCTGGAGTATTTTTCTTTTCAGCACTTGGAAACTGTCTCCCCAGAATTCTATATTCTGTGAAAAAAAAATTTCAAGGGAAAATAAAAATATTTCAAGTAAAAGAAAATCTAAGTTAACGTATCAATAGCAAGCCTGAGCCTGCCCTTAAAAATTGCTACAGGACATTCTCCATACAGAAAGGATATGATAACTGGAAAAGGGAACTTCAGAAAGGAAAGAAAAAAACATTGGAATGGATAAAAATAGGGGTAAATATATAGACTATTATGCTTCTGAAGAGCCTCTTAAATTATATTTGATAGTTAAAGAAAAAAATTATCACAGCATGTCATGTGATGCTCAATGTATAGTTTTTAGATTTTCCTGAAGCTTTCTATTTGTTAATTTGTTTCAAGGTAATTCATAAATGTTTGTTGAAGCATATTTATATTGCTGCTTGAGAGCCCTTGCTAGATAACTCCAGCATCCAGCCATCTCACTATTAGTATTTGTTGTCTTTCCTCATTTATGTTATAATTTTGCTGCTTTTAATGTGGTAAGTGATTTTACTGCATCCTGGACAATAAGTGGGAGACTATCTATTATACGTAGGAGATTATCAATTTACTATATGAGTAGAGTCTGCACCTTCTTATCTGCTTTGCTGGCAGGCAGTTTTCCTGCTGAGGCATAGCTTGGCCAGGTGGGGATCTATGTCCAGCTTCCCACTGGGACCCTGTGACGTCATCACAAAAGGCCACTGACCACATCCCCTTGGTGCCTCCAAGTGGGGCGTGAAATCATTTTCCTTCCGGGCTTCGCTGACACCAAAGAGAAGAGGGAGGTCAGCAGAGAGCCAGCTACCACCTCTTACCACCACCTTCTGCCTTGTAGACACCAGGTGGGGTGGGAGCTCGGCTCCGTGCTCGGACCCACTACCTCACACTGCCTGTTAGATCCCACTGTTGCTGGGAGAGGATGGACCCCACTGACACTACTCTGGGGGAGGAACCAAAGCACTGCTGCCTCCATGTGAAGGGGATGGGAGACCAGGCCGTCCTCGCTTCTGCAGTACAGACCCCGGGAGGCATCAGAGCTTTCTGCTTCTGCTCAAGGTGGGATGCAGACTCGGGCCCCACTCTGCCCAACTCCACCCCACCAGAGGCAAAGAGAGAAGTGGAAGATCAGCTTTCTCTTCTACCCTCTAAAACCAATGTTTTATGTTTTCTGAAGTAGAACAATACTGCCTTTTGTTTTCTATGGTTAGGCAACCTTGGCCCAAGCCTTTGACAAAGGAAGGAGGCTTTCCTTGAAGCTTTTGTGCCTGTGGGCACTAGTAGTTTGGTTAGAGTTTCTGCAGCTCCTGTCTGGAATCTATGATAACAAATAGGCAGTCAGGGAACTCACCTGTTTTGGATAGAACGAGTTGCAAGGATGTCAGAGACTCACCTGTCCTGGGTGAATGGGAGTTTCAGGGGACCAGGGACTCACCTGTCCTGGGGGGATTGGGACCTGCAAGGGGGCCAGAGACTCACCTGTTCTAAGTGGATTGGGAGCTGCAGGAGAGCAGGGACTCACTTGTTCTGGGTGGATGGGAGCTCCAGGGTCAGGGGGCAACTCTGTTTTTCCTCAGCTTCTGAGGTCCCGAGGCTGCCTGTTTTCTTCTCCCCTTTGGGAGAAGTGCTTGTGGTTATGTCTAAGGTGTTTCAGTTTAAGGGGCACCCCGGCGAGGAATGCGGCAGCTCCATCTCAGAGAAGTGGACATCCTGGTGCGCCTTTCTTCAGTGCTGATAGTTTTAAATGTAACTTTATATTTATAATTTTCCATTGTCCTCTTGCAGATAGGCAGTCAGAATGCAAGGGCTTGTCTTTGTGATTGTGGAGCTTGAGAAAGATGTGGCATTGCCTGCTTCTGGCACTTCCCAGGCATTCATTTATTTTTAGCTTTGATCCTTTCCTGATATCTGTTTGGGATCAGAGACTGAAAGAGGAAGTGTGTATGCTCAATAAATTGTATTGTTCCACAAACTTTTATTTGAAGACAGCTATAAATTTGATCTATAAAAGAGATTATAATAAGCCCACATTCCAGCTCTTTTGAACATATAGGAAACACTCATGTTCATAAAACAACTAATATAATAAACAAAAATATATCCTAACTGCCCAGTTTTTGTGTTCCCGAAGGATTTTCCCATGCTACAGGTAAATAATAAAGTAACACTGTCATTCTTAAAATGCATACCTGCACCCCAGCAAACTCTAATGCTGAGTCATTTAGTAACGGAAATAGTTTATTAAGATGTGCAGTGTAATTTTATGTGTCTTTCCTACCAAGGCCATTTTTTAAAGGAAAGCACAAGGAGAAAAATTAACTCATCAGATTGTCAAATCACACCGCTGGATTTGAAAAAGTCAAACACGGTGAGGTGTGCAGGTATATTTTTACAATCCGGACAAAGCCAAATGAGTGTACACCTCATTTTCGTGAGCCGTTTTGGAAACCTGGGAAGACATTGGTAGACATCATTATACAATTGGGCACATTGATAGCAGATTGAACAAGACAGAGAATTTATCATGATCATGTCTATTCTGGTTAATTTACCTTAAAAACTCTGCTAGCCTAGCTGTGCTATGAGAATTAAACACCTGCGGGATAAACATTATTGTAGATGGGACCCGCAGTAAAGAGCGCTGCGTATCGCATGAATGCCCAGACGGGCTCAGCGTCACCGAGGGAGCTGCACAGTCCTCCCCAGCTCAGGGACTCCATCCGCCGCCCGCATCCCACCTGCTGCACCAGTGGACTCTGGCCCCAGATTATCAGGGAAAATTTATAGTCGTCAGGGGAAAAATAAACGCCATTGCATATGAGTTCCACCTTCAGCACGAAGAACAGAGCATTGAACTCACCCATGCGGAGGCTCCCCAATGTGCACACAGAGCCCGCAGTTACAGTCCCTGAAATCCAGGCTCACAATCAGTAATACCAGGTGAGAGTTATCATTAAAACGGTCCACTGCGGTAAAGATAAGAGTTTAAACGCCCCCAATTTTCTTCTTTTAGATAATAGGTGCAAGGCTTACAGCACCATCATGATATTAATTTCAATTTATGAGATTAAAATTTATATTTAAATTTATATTGATGATGATGATGATTTAAATTTATGTTTGAGGCTTAAAAAAAATAACTGTTTTCAATACAATATTCACCTTTACAGAAAAGTTACCTATAAAATAAGAATAAGCGGCATAGTTAAAGCCTGAGAATTTGGGAATTCACAAAGCATGCCGACTTCCAGGCAGGCCGAGGCTCAGGGTCAAGGGATCCCTCCCAGGCCCCAGCTCCGCCCGCGATGCCCAGGGCTGCACCTCGCAGGCGGGTCTGACGGAAACGGCTCCGAGACACGTGCCTGGCCTTTCTGCGCGATTGCAGGTTTAAAGAAATTACCTGGGATACAAAGCCTGCTCACACTGAACTGAAGCATAATAACGAAACGTTGAAATTTCTTCCTTCCGCAGCTCCTGATTTGAGGCATCAAACTCCCACAGTGAGTTCCCCGCTTCAGGGCCGCAGGACAGCGTCTGGCTTCCTCACTTCCTGCCTAATGGATCTTGCTGCGCAAATTGGACTTTTCGGGTTTTATTACTCCCTAAGGGGATTGCTGCTGGATTACGCTCATTTACTTTTTTATTCTTTATCTATTATTTACACAAGAAAATATTCCTGTTTTTCTTTCTGAATATCCTCCGTTATTCCTGGCATTAGCGGAATAATTTTTGTCAGTTTTATAAATTGCCTATGACTGTACATTTCCGAGCCAATGTGTTGAGGAGTTCCTATGAATCGGCGGTAACCGATGATGAACAGCCCAGGCGCCCAGTGGCGGTGCAGGACGAGGCCCCTTCACCTCCGCTCTAAACCCTGGAGAAGGCGCTGGGGGTCTCGGGGAGGCAGGAGGTGGGAGTGCGCCCCGCAGCCTCCTAAGACCGCCCCCCGCCCCCCGCTGCGTCCTGCACAGGGAGCTCCAGGCTGTTGCAGGAGGATGCGGGAGGCGGGGTTCAAGGGGCGCGCAGGAGCCCCGGAGGCGCGCGCTGCTTTGCAGCTCCTAAGGCTGTGCCGACGTAGGGGACCTCACCCGGGGCTTGGGAAGCGCACCCCTGATTTATAAGCAGCGCGTGCTGAGCGGTCGCGGCTCAGTCCGGTGCAGCTGAGGGACCAGGGCTCCCTGGACGGCCTCGCCCGCGCGTCCTCGGTCATTGCGTTTGTCCGGGGAGCTTGCGCGGCGTCTCCCGGCTCCCTGGGCGGGCTCTGCGCCCCAGGCCCCGCGCTCACTCTGGCTCGGTGTCGACCCCCTCGCTGGCCCATGCAGCCTCGTCCTGCCCCTCGCGGCTCCTCCGCCCTGGTTTCTGCGTCCTTCCCTCATCCGCTCGCCACAACCCGGCGGAGCTGCCCAGCCCAAGGTGCAGTGTGCGCCCCTGGGACGCGCCTCTGAGAGCCACGAGGGCCCTGAATGCACAGCGCGGGAGTTTCAGGCCCAGGAGTGACCGCCTGCACTTGCGCGCTCATTAACTCTTCTCTGCCTGCCTGGGCCCCCGGCGTGAGTGGGAATCACGGCCCACGGACGCCTGGGATGACTCGGCCTTGCGCCCCGGCGTGCAGCAGGTCTCTGGGCAGGTCTCTGGGCGCAGCGAACCCTGGTCTGCCGGGAGCTCCTTCTTGACCTTCCTTCCTCCACAAGAAGGGAGCGCCTCCCGACAGGCCACAGGCTACATCATTTTGGATTATGCAATAAAATGCTTGGTTTGTGCGCGTACAAGGGCACCAGCTAATGCCCCAGGGCAGGGCTTACTGTGGCCACTGCTGAACCAAATAAAAGCCCACGTGATGTGGAAACTGCATGGAATAATACGTTGTCTGGACAGGCGTCACTTACAAATCTCGAGACCGGGTTCTTTGTGTAAATGGTACTTTACTTTTAAACAGTTTAGGAAAAGCCCAGTTATCTTTCATTCACACGCCTGTTCTCTGTCCCGGGTGGGTGCCCCTGCTGAGCGGACAGAGCACCACCCCCACCCATGCAGGGGCCACAGAGCCAGCTCCGGGCGGGGCGGGGAGGGCCTCTCCACTCCCCATAGCTCAGGAGCTGCTCTCCCTGGCAGGTGGGCTGCCAGGAAGGGTGAACAGGAGGAGGCTTTGGGGCCAGGCCCGCGGGGACCCTAGAGGAGCCTGTGCAGTCCCAGGAAGAGAAGAAGCTGGAGAGGGATTTCTCCCTGCCGGCTCCAGACGCATCTGCACAGCCTCCCAGGGCCCAGGTGGGAGGGAGGACGGGTTCCTGCAGCTGCCTGATGGGGACACTGGGGCGCCTGCCGATCGCAGACCAGACCTGGACACGTGGGTTCAACTCTCTGCATTTCGAATTCAGTTTTTCTAAGACGAAATAATGCCAGGATCCCTCTGCGGGATCGTTTCGAGGATTAAAGGAATTTATTAAGGGGCAAGTGCAGAAGGGAGCCGGGCAGCCAGTACATCTGATGTCATTGGTGGTTCTGAATAGTTTCTGGTATTTTATTCAAAATGTTAAAATATTTCATTTAAAACGTAGGCTTTGGTTTGTAGTGTGAGTTAGGGATCCAATAACAGGCAGAAAAAAAAATCCTTGCCAGAAAAATAAATAGACGGTGAAATAGTCACACAGTAAAGGGTTGGTTAACAGTGAAGAAGGATGAAGGCAAGATGCTCACGGTCCCGTGAACGAACCTTCGGAACTCGGAGGAGACTGGAAATTCCTAGCGAGTGAAACGCTACCTTAGAGGCCCTCAGGGCCGGGTGCTGTGGCTCACGCCTGTAATTCCAGCACTTTGGGAGGTCGAGGCG
Source organism: Homo sapiens (assembly GCF_000001405.40). Classification (NCBI taxonomy): domain Eukaryota; kingdom Metazoa; phylum Chordata; class Mammalia; order Primates; family Hominidae; genus Homo; species Homo sapiens. Next base: position 466,629 of record NC_000002.12, on the reverse strand, counting down.
AGTGGATCACAAGGTCAGGGGATCGAGACCATCCTGGCTAACACAGTGAAACCCCATCTCTACTATCAGTACAAAAAATTAGCTGGGCGTGGTGGCGGGCACCTGTAGTCCCAGCTACTCGGGAGGCTGGGGCAGGAGAATGGCGTGAACCCGGGAGGCGGAGCTTGCAGTGAACCGAGATCGCGCCACTGCACTCCAGCCTGGGCGACAGAGCCAGACTCCGTCTCAAAAAAAAAAAAAAAAAAAGAAAAAAAGAAAAAAAAAGAAGTCCTCAGGTCCCCCTTAACAGATGAGGAATGAAGATCAGGGGCTACAGTCATCAGAGATAACCTCCATGGTGAAAAATAGACAGCTGGGTGTTGGAAGGCCTGAGCGTGATGAGATTCCCGTCTATCTGGTGACTGGAAGGCGCCGTTTCTTCCATGACTGAAATGGACACATTCATTTTTTTGTCTACTTCTCAAGGGAAATGTGTGGCTCGGCTGAAACAGCAGGAAATCTGTGAAATCCTTCGCAAACACCAGCTATTCAAGCTATTTTTAACCCTGAACTAGAAAACAGGTGTCTCGCCTATTGCCAGCCCTTAAGAGAATAATTAAAACAGTTGCTTCAAAATGTGGAAACTTCAGGATTGATTAAAATGTTTCTCAGTGTCAGGATTGATTAAAATGTTTCTCAGCGTCCTAGGGGCAGGGATGTGGCGTGATGGGCCCACCTTGTGTACATGCTGTGGTGGGACAGCGTTGTAAAAACACGTTTATTTGTAGAAAAGTACTAAAGTCAGGACGGCTTTTTATAGAATGACCTCAAGTTTTACAATTTTTCGTCATATATAACACAAGCGCCATTTTCTTTGTTTTAAATAAATTTCCTGGTTGTATGCATCCTCAAATATTCTGAAACAGCCTTCCGCAGAACCACAGACCTGGATGTAGCTAGTCGATCAAACAGACCCTGAGCCCAGTGGAGGCTTACGCATCTGGAAATCCTGGTTTCCAAATTATGTGACCTTTTTCTGCCTTATGTCATAATTAGAATTGTTATGAAACAGATTAAATTCTTTATTGAGCATATAGACGGCTGAGAAAGATAAGCAGAGCCCAGGTTTTTCAAGTGGGCAAAGTCACAGGCATCCACACGGCCAGCTACTTCTCATTCGCTCTTCAGCCCCTATGTTTGATGACCTACCACCACAGAGCGTCTCTGAGAAGGGCCAGGAGCTCTGAGAACAAAACAGACACCGTCCCTGAACCTTCGACGCTTTCACATAAAAATAAACTCTCCTTTCAGATTTGGATTAGTCAGGACCCAATAGAAGTCGGGAATAATAGTGCAATTAGAGAGGTGGCTGTCTCATGATGATAGACTCCACATTCCAGGGCTAGGAATGGACTAAGTAAGTGCCAGCCAGGCGGGTCCCGCTCACCGCCCCTCGCTGAGCCCAAAACCAGCTGCACGAGTTAGCTCTATGGCCCCTGCTGCCCTGTGGCCGCTGCCAGTTGGGGGCTCTGAGACCTGCTGGGCCAGAAGAAACCCCCAGGCAGGAAATGAAACCCAGCGGATGCCCTCTGTCTGTGGATTGAGGAAGCGAGCCTGCTCAGGCTTCGCTGAGCAATTTTGACTGAATGTCCGGTTCTGTGTATTATCTGAGCACCACCAATTTAGGCACTGCCAGTCCATACAATCTTCTTTCAGCCACTCACAAATGTGCTGCCAGTTAGGCAGGTATGTAAAAATAAACACATTGGGTCCGCCCAGAATAAGCACAGGTGTGTTCACGGGGAGTGCCCCTGGGACACGGGCAGCCTCTATGAGGCTCTGAAGCAAGATGGCGGCCCCCATATTCCTGCTCCTGGAGTTCCACAGAAGCAGAGCGCCGGGGCTTAGCTCCCTGTCTGCCTGATGAGGCACGGAGGCTACCCAGGGGCTGAGGTGCTGGCCAGGTACTGACCCAGGAAACAAAGGCTCTAGCAGCCCAGACCTGCCCCTCCAGCCTCTCCAGCGGGTTTGGAAGCACCTCAAATACTGGCCAAAAGTCCTAGCTTCACTTCCGAGATCTGCTAGTGAATCCTGACACCATAGGGAATACGATCATAAAATATCAGCCATGGGAAGAAAAGAACCGTCCCATGGGCAGCCGAGGGTCAGGCGTCTTTCAGTAGCGGTTGCTCGTGAAGGACACACCTGGGAGATGGTGGTGGAAGATGCGCGGCCTGAGGAGGGAAGGGGGACACATCCCAGCATCTGGGAGCTCAGGCCCGACCCAGGGAAGAGAGTGAAGGGAACAGGAAGTGGAGGAACCGGTGAAGACAGACACGTTTCCTCATCAATGGAGGAACGCCGGGTGTTCCTGTGACCAAGCTACTTTTCACGCAAAGTCAGACAAAAATTTCCAAATAAAAAAAAAAGGACATGGTTGGCTCCATCCTCACATTAACTTATAATCATAAAGTCTTGGACTAGAATATAGAGATAACCTAGATAAATTTCAACTTTTTGCTGACAAGAACTGTGCCCAACTAAAGTTCAGTGACTTATTTACGCTTAGGACAGTTGGGATAAGAAATTCAGCCTCTGAAATCTGGACCAAAGGTCTTCCTTTCATGGCATATCCTAGCACAAAATACTTCTCATATATGGTTTTGAAACTACTCTGTTTTGTAGAATAGAAATATTTGGTTTTGTTTGTGGTATGCCGTAACCTTCCAGTAAATTATATAATATTTAAGTGATTTTACCTAAGAGAAATGGTTAGTAGTTATCTTGTCAAATAAATAGTAATTTTATTTCAGGTAAATAAAGAAAAGGGAAATACATTAATGTACTTTTGGAAAAGTAGATGACTAAAGGTTGATATGCATTTTGATTTTGTTGAAACTCTGTCTCAAATTTCCATAAACCCTTGTTCACAAGGCCAGCAGGAGAATTTGAAATGAGAAGATGGAGCTGCAAGACACCTTAAATACAAAAGAGGTTTCAACGCTACAGAAATCCCCACTCTCCCATTGCAGAACAGCTGTGTCGCTAGGATTTCATGTAATTTACATGAGGAAATAACTTCACATCGCCTTCTCATTTTAATTGGGTCGGTTGTAAACAAACTGCCATGACCCTTTCTTTGAGACCATAAACTGGGGAATTTTTCATTATTGCTTTTACAACCTTTGGAAGTGGTTTGTACACATTTCAGGGAACAATTCTGGGCATTGAAGTATTTAGTTTCTAAAAAATCACTCATTCATTAAAATGTTAGAATCCAAACGCCTTTTCCCTGATATAATTAAAAAGAAAAACAAAAACACACATACCATTAAACATTAAAGAAAATTCATGAAGCCATTTGAAAGAAAACTGCAATTTTCCAACTCCCTGCCGTCCCTACAGGAGGATATTTTCAGGAGCACCTGGAAAATGCTCTGTAATGATGATCTGCATTTGCCAAAACAGCTTCCATCATTCCAGTATCAAAGGATTTACTCTCTTCCACAATAAATTCTGGATTTATTAATACCCAAACTGCACTTAAGGGGAGAGTCTATAATTGAAACAGTAAAGGAAGGACATTTAATAAATAAACATGAAAATATACAAAGATCACCAGATATCTGTGAATTCATATAATTATTGTAGTATTTTCATCTCATTAGTCTTAAATTATAACATGTATAAGTATAAATTCATGTAATAAACTCTGATACATTATTTATAGTTGTTTAACTATTATTAAATATTGTTAAAATTCCTTCTGAAAATCAATCTTATAAGAACATTTCAATAAACCAGAATTAAATAAACAAGTAACTGAAAACCTAGATTGTTGTTATATTCTATCGGAAAATAACAAAATTAAAGATACCACCTCAGATAACTATGACTAGATTGACCAGCCAAGCTTTGTCATGTTTATTTATCTCGATCTGAAATATCAAGAACTATATGGAACCAAGATTAGCCTTAGTGTGAAAATTGCAAGTAGTTCAAGAAATCTCTATTATCAAACACACAGGGCCTCCAGTTCGCTGCAGCTGAGGAGAAAATTTGACTAAAACTTTTTACAGGAGGGGCTTCAGGGAGTTGGATGCCTTTCACAAGGACATGGAGTGAAAGAAGTTAGTTAGAGAACGGGATATAGTTGGTATATGATTCAATTTACACACGCAAACACACACACAAGCCAAAAATAGGCACAACCAAAATGTTTGTTTTTAGAGCTGCAGCTTCAATAGATAAAATATGAAATTGAAGAAAAGAACCTTTTTTAAATTTAAACAAAAACATTCATGTTACAACTTTAGGACAATAATTCCCAACACGAGGTCACTGGACCACCTGCTGCAGAGTAACACCAGGCAGTTGTCACAAATGCTGACCTGGACTGGCCAAGACTCTGAACCACGAATTCATGGGCTGGCCAGGGAGTGCCCATCTTGATCAGTTCGCTATGTATTTATTAAACTCATCAAAATTATATGTTCTGAGAATCCTCTTTTATTTGTACTTTTGAAAAATTATAAAATTTTGTAATTTTTCTTACAGTGATAACATTTTTTAACATAGGAAAGTTGAAAAGAAAGAATTCTAAGCCTGCTGAAGAGTTGGAAATTTGAAGAATACAGAGTGGAGGTGAAGGACAGTTTCCTACAGGAGGGCGGGTATGAGGGAGAGAAGGTGTTTCCTGAGTCCCTGCAGGAAGCCACAGCAGTGAGGGCAGGCTGGAGGCAGAGCCTGGCCAGGGAGGCTTATCCCCCAACACCAGGGAGAGGCAGGGCAGGCAGGTGGGAGGCTCTGCAGATTGCAGGGAGAATTCATCATTATGAATGTCATAAAATTTATCTTATGACAGATAAATAGATTTTTTTAATTTTTCATGCCAACTATGAGTGGTAAAGAATGACAAGTTTTCTTCAGTTTGGCACTTACCAATATTCGTGACTAAAGTCAGTAAATCACATGCTTAGACAAGATATGAAAAAGACTCACAATTCCTTAATTAGTGAGCAGATTTTCTTTTCTTTGAGACAAAGCTCTGGGAAGGAAAACTCTCATTCCCAATGGCCCTAAACCAGCCTATTTGTTCCTCTATGTCTGTCCGCAGCCTCTTCCCCTCCATATCTCGGGGACTGCCCAGGCCATCCTGAGCTCAGCCAGGCTCCATCCCACCAACTCTCCATTCGATCCAATGGTCCGCAGGTCCTGAGGGTTCAGGAATACCCCTCTGTTCTGCCCTGTCCTCTTTCTTACCTCTCTCCTGGATTTTGTCAACCTAAACAACAAACAGAGAAAGGACATCCAAATGAGAATAACTTTTATTCTGGAATGGGCATTGCAGTAGGAACCCAAGTGCCATGCCAACCTGCACGTACTCGGAGGGGTCAGTGACAACAAAGGTTTTTGAAGGAAAATGAGGAGAACCACACGATTGTTTTGAGATGATTTATTATTCTTGGCTACAAGGATCAATAACAAGGGTGGCCCCAGTCCAGGCTGCGCAAGCAGTTGCTGGGCAGATGACCTCACAGAAGTATTTTTTGGGTAAGGTTGTGGTGGCCTTTGTGCACAGTTGTGGTTTCCTGCCGTCTTTTGTGGTAGTTCTTGTTGCCAGGCATTCATCTGTGAGTCTCCTCCCTTCCCTGGCTCCGTTTTTCAGGGTTTTGACATAAGCGTCTCCAGTCTGATTCTGACAAATGTCACAACTGGACACGTTCTCCCCTCAGTGACCTCACAGTCCTCCTATTAAAACAAACTGCCTAGAATTGATCAGATAATTTAATTCACACAAGCTCTATGTGGATGAGTAACATGAACAGAGAAATCTTGCTCAGAGAAATATTGTATTTTATTAACAATTGAAACTGCAAACCAAAAAAGTAAAATATATTCATGGTCTTCACTTTGGAGCCCAAAGATGTAAAGACAGCCCTGACATCACCTCAGCAGAGAGAAAGCAAAATTCCGTTTTCAGGTCTGGGAAATGCAGGCACAGGCAGCGAACATCAGGATCTTCTCAGATCAAACCTACTTCTCAAAGCCTGGACCCTCAGGGACAACACTCTGGGCTTAAAAATAAACAGAAACAATAATGCCTCTAACTTCAAACTATGGCGAGGAAAACTGCCTTATTCAAACCTTCATATTGAGGTTCTGAAAAGTAATTTCCTCTGGGGTTTCTAGCCCCAGTGTGGAATCCAGGTGCATTTACAGAGGCAAATCACATGGGAAGTTTAATGGAGAATTAATCCTAAAGTGGCCCTGAACTTATTTTACCTGAACATACAGGACAGTGGCAAAAATAAGTCTACTCTTAAGCTAACTTGACTTAAATCTGAACTCAAAGAAATTCCACAGATAAACTTTCAGGAAAAACGAACTAACCATCCAAAATCAAGAAACACATTAGCAACAAGTTTCAGTGCAGCAGGTCGGCAGGATCAGAGCCACAGAGGCTCCAGCCACAGAAGTCATCCGAGACTCTGGCAAGCCTGCGGCTGAAGGATTTTTAAATAAGGAAAGAACAGACTGCAGATGGACCAAGAGCAACTGTCTAAAAATGTGCAAACAAAGTTGGAAATGAACCAAATTCAAAGTCTAGGCAAGCAAAACATAACATTTAAAATTCAAAGCCTGATGTATGTATTAAAAATCAGATTAGACATTGTTGAGTAAAAAAGCAGTGAACCCCCAAAATGGATCCAGTGAAAATTCAGGGAGAGAAGGGTATAAAAGAGAGATTAGGATCCACTGCTGATTGCATGCGAAGGTCCAATGTTTTTGTATAGATATGAAATATTTTTAATCTTATTTCTAGGCACAATATCTTTTTAATTTCTGTTCATTTGTTTTATATATTTGCCATTATAAATTGGTCTCATTGTATTTTCTATCTGGTTGCAGTTCACATATTTAAACATGTTGTTTTACATATAGAATATACAGCTGACCCTTGAACAACACGGGTTTGACCTGTGCGGATCCACTCATATACCGAATTTTTTCAGTAGAAGTTGCCCTGAGGGAGCCTCCCTCTGCTGTGCCCTCATCCGCCTCCTCTGCCTCCTGCACCTCTGCCACCAGGACAGCAAGACCAAAGCTTTCTCCTCTTCCACCTGCTCAGCCAGCTCAACGTGAAGACAAGGATGAAGACCTGTACGACAGTCAACTTACGCTTAGTGAATGATAAATATACTTTCCCTTCCTTATGACTTCTTTTTTTTTTTTTTTTGAGACGGAGTCTCGCTCTGTCCCCCAGGCTGGAGTGCAGTGGTGCGATCTTGGCTCACTGCCAGCTCTGCCTCCCAGATTCACGCCATTCTCCTGCCTCAGCCTCCCAAGTAGCTGGGACTACAGGCGCTGGCCACCACGCCTGGCTAATTTTTTTGTATTTTTAGTAGAGACGGGATTTCACCGTGTTAGCCAGGACGGTCTCAATCTCCTGACCTCGTGATCCACCTGCCTTGGCCTCCCAAAGTGCTGGGATTACAGGCGTGAGCCACCGCGCCCGGCCGCCTTATGATTTCTTAATAACATTTTATTTTCTCTATCTTACTTTATTGTAAGAATACAGTCTATGACATACAACGTATACAGTATGTATTAATCGACTGTTTATGTTATCAGTAAGGGTTCCCGTCCACAGTAGGCTGTTAGTAGTTAAGTTTTGGGAGAATCGAAAGTTATATGCTGATTTTTCACTGCTCAGGGATCAGTGCCCTTAAATTCCATATTGTTTAAGGGCCAACTGAACATACACATATTTACCAGCCAGCCAATTGATTCTATTCTTTCTCAGTTGATTCTTCTGAGTTTTCTTATAGAAAGCCATATCATACTCAATAATAATAATTTTGCCTCCTCCTTAATTAGACCTCATTTCTTTCTGTGGTCTAATTGCACAGAAAAAAACCTCCAGAACAGTGTTAGATAAAGTTGGCAGAACTGTAATCCATGCGGTGTCAGTTTTCAATGGGAGCTCTTTTATCCCCCAAGCCATCCTCCTCTGCTCCCTCCCCCCAGCCCCTGGGAGAGACTTGAGAACACACTGAAGCCTGCAGCTCCTGGTCTGTCATCTTCAAACAGACTTTCAGCTTTCCAGTATGTAAGACTGAGTGGACATACGAAGTTCTCAAAGCTTCTCATCCCCAGTGGTTTCCGACTTTGACTATCATCTTTAACTGTGGCCTGGTAAATTTGAATAATATTCTCTAAATTTTTATTCATGAATTTTAGATTTATGTATAAAAATTCTACCTGACAAATGGCAAAATTGGCATGCCAACACATTTCATCACGTTTTGTTTCCTCCTTGATACCATCATCCATTTGTCTGTTTTTTATGTCTCTGCTTTGTAGCAAGTGTGTTCAGTTATCGGCTGCAATCACCGCAGGTGCTCAGCTGCCATCTGTGTGTGAGTGAATCGGCCTCAGGCCCCACCATGACTTCTCAATCTCTCGCCATCCTAGCTCTCCTGATTCGTTGGTTACTTTAATTTTGTTAAATGATGATTTTTCAAGAGACTTTCTTGGTTGCTTCATTTAGTTCTTGAGGATTGAGACTGTCTTCCCTGCTTTTATTTTTTAAATGACAAATCGGTCAGGTGTAAGCCTACTGACTCACATTTCTTTTTCTGAAGGCCTGAACAGCTCAACTGTTACTCATCCTTTACAGAAAAGTTTGGTACAAGCACGACTGTCCCTCTAGTATGGGAATGACTGGGATGCTGGGGTTTTTTTCTGCCTGGTTCCCAGAAGGATCCTTTATCTTAAAATCTAAGTTCACTACTTTTTCTGGTACAATCATCTTGCTATACTCTTCCAGAATATTGATTAAGTGTATGCTGGACTCCCTTTCTCCATATCTCTCATTTTCTAATTAAATTAATTTCTTCATCATTTCCCTTTTTGACTGGTTTTCTCAGATCTCACCTCTGTATCTCTGATTGCAGAAATTTTCCTTAAGAACCAATTTTGAAGAACCACACCAAGCAATCATAGTGTGATCTTTCTTCTAATGTAAATGTGTGTCTTGAGTTTTTTAATTACTTTCCTTTGATTTTATTTTGTTGTTTCTAGTAATTGTTTCCTGTGTTAGAGGCATGCAGCACAGGCTCTGCTGTTTTCTCAGGAGGGTGGCAGGTGTGGAGGTCTGAGGGTGGCTTCCATGCAGTTCAGATGAGTCAGCTGTGAACTCCAGCTTCAGTGAGTCCATGCTTTCTACATGTGGCTGCATCGGCTGCAGAGAAGTCTCATGTTATGCATGCTTTCTGTTTATGGTGTTGCTTTATTTTATTTTTCTGCACCAATACTGTAAAGCTCCAATTTTTCCCAGATGCTGCTCTCTGCCCCACCCCTCCTCTGGACTGCTCCACAGGGATGACAGGGGCGGTGAGGTTTCCCCTCTGGGTCCCACTCACCTGAAACTTAGGCAACAGAACCACATGGTTAGGGACAGTTTTACAGCAAGAGAAGCCTCTAATTCTCTCTCTCCTGAAGAAAACATCAGCATTGGCCTTTTCACTCTGCGAATGCATTCAATGTTTCTTTCTGCTCTTGGCATCTTCCCTGGTTTGGTCTAAACTTCACTGTGTTTGCCGGCTGTTCTTTGAGTTGGAATATACATGGACTAGTCGATGTCTTGTAATTCCATTAAATGGTGATTTTGCTACATTAGTCCCTGCAGCATGAAGGGACGATGGAGAGGATGGTAGCAGAGACTTCAGCCCCTGCTGTGTTCTCAGCTGAATCTATGGCCCCCAGCCCCAGTAGGCTGTTTGGCTTCTGGACTGGATAGGCAATGTGTCTTCTGTAGGATTTTAAACAAGCATTGATATGGTTTGACTGTCTCCTCACCCAAATCTCATCTTGAATTGTAGTTCTCATAATTCTCACGTGTTGTGGGAGGGACCTGGTGGGAGGTATTTGAATCATGGGGGTGGCTACCTCCATGCTGTTTCCATGATAGTGAGTGAGTTCTCACCAGATCTGATGGTTTTATAAGGGGCTTTTCCCCCTTAGCTCTGCCACTATGTGAAGAAGGACATGTTTGCTTCCCCTTCTGCCATGATGTTACATTTCCTGAGGCCTCCCAGCCCTGTGGAACTATAAGCCAATTAAATCTCTTTGCTTTATAAATTTCTCAGTCTTGGGTATGTCTTTATTAGCTGCATGAGAACGGATTAATCCAAGCATTTATAAAGGACATTAAATATTTGTATAAAGTGTTATTTCCTGAGTCTTTTAACAATGCTGCTCAAACTCCCTGTTTAGGATGGCATGTTCAGCAGCTGTGCTGAGCCCACGTCTCCCAGGTAGGATGCTGGCCTCTCTGTCCAACCTTCTGGTGACTTCTGGGTGGGATAGTGGCCTTTCTGTCCACCCTCCTACTCCACACTCCCTCCCTCCTAATACATTCAATTCCATGTTCCCCAACTCTTGGGAAATCCATGCCCACAGCAATGAGGTAGGACTAATGGGTCTTTCTGTTCAGTGAGGTAACACGGAGCCCAGGCTCAAGGTTTCTGCAATTATTGTGCTATTGTGCTCTGTTCACCAGCACACCCCTTTCCAGGGTGTAATTATTAAGCAAATTCCGCAGCCTGAAAAGAATGATTATTCTCATTGAAGCATGTTTTTACAAGGCTTACAACAGAATTGCTCCAGGATACATGCAAGATATGTTTGTTTGTCACTTGAATTTCTTTTGCCAACATTTCAGGCTCTACCTAGAAATATAAGCAATTTGATGCTTTAGAAATCCTGTGGGTAATTTAAACTTATATTCACATGGTATATTAAACATAGATTAAGCTTTGTTTTAAACTTGTAATTGTACTGTGTTTTCTAATCTCAGAAATTAAAAGATCAAATGATCAAATTAGTGGTTTTGAAGTGAGTTATTGACAGAGAGCATCCCCACAACTAGGATAGAAGGGCTGTCATGTCACAGCTCATTCGGAAAAGGCAGCCATGGAGAAGGAGAGTAAAGAGGAGTGGCAGAAATCCTGAGCTTGTAACTCACTTTCTGGAAACTGTCTCCAAGATAAATTCCGTTAAACACTTTCTTTAAAGGCAGTATTTCACAGCCCACCACTGCTCTATGGTTTTGCTTCTCTTTTTCAGTCCTAACCCTGGATCCCTCTTATCTGCCACAGACGTGACTGCAAGAAACCTGCGTCCACAGACACGGCTCTCCCAAGTGAGTGGACATCCCAGCGGGGAAGCACCACACATGTGATGGACAGCTCAACTTCCTCCTGGGTTTTAGGTGTCCTCCGCATGTGGAGGTGTTGAGTGCAGGTTCCTGGCACCACGCGCATGGCTGACCCAATGTCGCCCAAACCACAAAAGTCACACAAGCAGGTTCTGCAGGGCGATGGGTTCCCTCTCATAGCAGCCGTGCACACGGGCCTTTCATGAGAAACTCTTACAGGAAATGCTGGCCCACCCCTGACTGAACCATGAAATCACAAAGTTACAGGATGAAACAGAAGAATCAACACACTGCCATGCAGAGTCCAGAGACCCCGCAGTCTAGAAAACAGGGCGGAGCAAAGGGAAAGCCAGCAGCTGCCAGCAGCTTCTGAGGACGGCAGAAAGTGCTGCGTGAAAGGCCTCTGCACACCCCACGGAGTGGCCTGGGCATCCTTAGACGCCGGATCCTTTGCAAGTCAAAGAAAGCGTTCAGTCCTGAATAAGATTTTGGTTTTGATGGCACTTATTGATCATGTTGTACTTTTTGCCATTTGGGACTTGGTATCTCTGGGGATCTCCGTCATACTTTAATCCAATGCTAGACAAAGCTTTATGCAGAATCTTTTCATTACAAATACAGTTCTGCCGGACTAGAAAGCTGCACTGTTCTGGGTACCTGCCACCTGTTCAGCATTGCTCTGGGCGTTGAGGACACAGCGTGACCACACCAGCCCTTGCCTGGCCTCCCGCAGGCCTGACAACACAGACATGGGTTTGGTTAGGGGGAAATCAGGGTCTTCTATCGGTTACATTTCTGTGCAGAAAAAAACTATTTTTAGCTAAACATCTACTCTACTACAATAATTTAAAAATAATTATCGACTTAAATCGTTATTGAGTGTGATATTGTTTCTAAATTTATTTGGTCATATTATACTGATTAAACAAGATTTTTCACATTTGTGTGTGCAGTTATGGCTCGTTATATTTTATGAGAATGTTGTTTGCTAAGCCTCTCGAGAATAATTGGACCAGGCACGGTGGTTCACACCTGTAATCCCAGCACTTTGGGAGGCCAAGGTGAGAGGACTGCTTGAGGCCAGGAGTTCAAGGCCAGTCTGAGCAACATAAGGAGATCCTGCCTCTACGAACTGCGCTGGGCATGGTGGCATGTGTCTATGGTCCCAGCTACTTGGAAGGCTGAGGCAGGGGGATCATTTGAGCCTGGGAGGCCAAGGCTGCAGTGAGCTGTGATAGGTTCATTGTACTCCAGGCTGGGCAACAGAGCCAGACCCTACCTCGAAAAAAAAAGAATAGAATAAAAAAGAAAAGAAGAGAAGAGGGGATGGGAGTTTTTACCACATTTTAAAAGTCCCTTACCTCCTAAGTAGGATTATTTAGAATGACATAACAGAAAATTCTGATCTCTGGGATATCTTTCTCTTAGTTCCAGCATAAGTATAAATTAGGGCAAGTTCTGAGCATTTTCATAATTTTTTAAAAACCTCCTTAATTTCCTTATTTATCAAGCAGGATAATTGAACATACATCAAAGTATTTCATGTGAAATTAAGACATACATCAAATACTTAGAAGTATGTAGACATTCCCTGGCTTCCCTGAGCATTTGCATAATTTTCTCCTCCTGTGATCTGCAAGCACTTTGAGTCCTACGACCCCCATCACTGAGAATAGCGGTTGGCTCATAAGAGGTCCTTAGTAAATGAACGATTGGATGATTCCTGTTCATTAGATCTGCACTGAACATGCAAGTTATGACACGTTTACCCAATTATCTTACCCCTGGAATTAGGTTAGGCAGTAATATCATAGCCTCATCCTCAGACAAAAACCTAAAAGTGATTATATATTAATGCATGTCGTTTCTAAGGCCACAGGTTGTCAGCAACACCAGGGCTGGCACTTGTCCCTTGCACGTGCACGAAGGGCGACCCCCTGACATTTCACTGCTTGGCACAGGCAGCCTGCACCGAAGGCCCATGGCATTTAGTTCCCTTAAGGATGTGCGAGCTCTTACCACCCCCTCAACCCACAAATTCAGCTGAGTAATTTTACCAAGTTGACCTTAAACTCACTGAGGTATGAAGAGATGTAAGGAATGAAGAGGCTGTGAAAGATTTACTCAGCCCCATAACTGAACACATCCTAACCCAACAAGCAAGTCACCTGGGTGGTGAGGCAGCTAAGGACGCATGGCTTTTTACTTACTGTGCCTCACAGGACTGCAGAACCAAGTCAATTCTGTGGCGGCCGAGGGCGCTGCTCGTGGGTTTGCAGGCTGTCGTGGGCAGTGCCACCCACTCCCAGGCTGTCCTATTTTCCAAGGCCTTTGGGTCAAGAAACTCTAACAGGGATCAACCTTTCCTTGCAGCACTTCACAGCTCCGTGTTGCAGTTTAGCTCTTAATGTATAGGAGACACTGTGACATCAGCTGTCCACACCTCAATTTGCTGGTATCCTAGATGGGAAATAAGAAGAAAATCACACATTGACCAAGGCTGTGCATTTGGTAGCCTCTATGTGAACACAGCTGTGGAAGAGAGCAATGGGTGGCAGGGGGCCCAAAGCGTGGCCTGGAGACACTGCGTCTGAGCCCCACCCTCCCCGACTGTATGACATGAAGGCACTCTGTCTACCTGTGAGTCAGAGATGCCATCGCTACAAGCCATCTCCTAAAAGATCTGCAAGGAGAAAATATTATAAACTATGTTTAAAAGTCATTCTCAACTGCACCATTTCAGGTTTTTTTCTTTATGTGAGTTTTATAATGAAAATAATATTGGAAACCACTCCAAAACAAAGTCCTTTAAAGGCATTTAAAAATAATAGAGCATGCAATCCAAAAATATTTGGTAACAGCTGATCTATTTGATGGAAATTAGTAATAAATATCTACCCTAACTTAGCTTGCAGAGTGTTAGGATCAAATAAAAATAGTATTAAGCCATAAGCTTGCTACCAGAGGTCAGATACATAGTTGAAAGCAGTTCTATAACAAGCACAGGTGGATACTCTGTGGCAGGGGACCCCAGCCCCAGGGCTCGGGATGGTACTGGTCCGTGGACTGTCAGGAACTGGGCTGCAGAGCAGGAGGTGAACGACTGGCAGGTGAGCAAAGCTTCATCTGTATTTACAGCCGCTCCCCATTGCCCGCGTCACCGCCTGAGCCCCACCTCCTGTCAGGTGAGCAGCCGCATTAGATTCTCACAGGAGCGTGAACCCTGATGTGAACTCTGTGTGCCAGGAATCTCGGCTGCGCACTCCTTACGAGAATCTAATGCCTGATGATCTGTCCTTCTCTCCCATCATCCTCAGATGGGACTGTCTAGCTGCAGAAAAACAAGCTCAGGGCTCCCACCGATTCCACAGTATGGAGTTGTATAATTATTTCATTACATATTACGATGCAATAATAACAGAAATAAAGTGCACAATAAATGGAATACACTTGAATCATCCCGAAACCATCCCCCCACCACCCCCATCCCATCCGTGGAAAAACTGTCTTCCGTTGAACCGATCCCTGGTGCCAGCGAGGCCGGGGACCGCGGCTCCACGGCACTCTGTTATTTCTCATCTAAAGCAAGGCCATTGTCGCCACAACGGTCTTAAGGCAAACATGAAGACTTGTCTCCATGCGTCCCCTCTGGTCTTCGCCTGTCTTGGGCGTTTCCACTGGGGAGGCTGCCGATGTGTCCTGGGGTGCCAGGCGGCCTCCTCTTTTGGTCAGACGTGCAGTTCCCTCTCTCTCCTCCTGGGCCCTCTGTTTCCAGGACACTTTATTTCTTCTGCCAGTTACATTCAGTCTTCCTACTCCCAGTTTTAAGTCTGCCTTTCCTGCCCTGAGTCTCCTGGTGGGAGCGTCTGTGGCCACACGGTCACACTGTGCGCTCTCCTTTTGCATGCCTGTGTCACTCCTCCCTGAGGCCAGGCATCTGTCCTCAGAGATGGTGGCCAAGGATATTTCACGGACCTTCCCGTTCTGCAGTCCTGACCTCCCCTCCCCTACATTATTTTATGTTTAGATATCCAGGTATGTAAAATCATTCCCTGTACATCGTATGTGCCAACACAGTGTAAAACTAATTTTATTTTAGTACAAAAATTATGTGTGAATATAGATAGATAGAAAGAGATATAAAAACATACACCAAAATTGTAAAAAAAAAGCAGTTACCTTTGGGCTATGATAATTTTTTCCGTCTTTGGGATGATTTTCTAGTTTTTAAAATAATTTTTAATAAATATGCTAATTGATCATCAATAATCATAACAACATATATTATCAAAAAGGTAAAAAGAAAAATAATGCATGGGGTACTATTTTGGGTGGCTATTACAAAGCAAAAATCATTATGGAGGGTGACGGTTCAAGAGTCACTAGCAAGGAAAATTAGTACAAATTCTCACTTTTCAGACTAATTTCAGAGCTCAATTTAATGAATGAAAAGACTAGATAAAACACTAAATGTAAAGAATACGAACTAGAGTTGAATTTAGTGGCCACCTAGCACAGTGGCCTTTGATTGCACACGAGGCCAACAGCGTTTGCCTGACTTGGGAGATCGATCATGGAGTCCCCAGCCAGCACATGGAGTCCCCAGGTGTCCCAGCTCCACGTCTGGTGCCCGTGCAGTTACACCTGGGTGCTCCGGGCAGCCTGACCACCAGTCTCAGCCCAGATTGCAACCACAGCCATCGCAGACTCCCAGAATCGGAATAGCAAGAAGTTGCAGGCCCCAGGACAGTTCTGTCACTGAGTGGGGGTGTTTGCTGAGAAGCATGCTCAGGCTGTATCTGTGCCAACAGGAGAGCTCCAGGTGTGCAGTGTCTATGAAATCTGCAGTTTTCTGGAACGACATGAACCAAATGTATTTTAAAAGAAAGTCCCGCCTTTGAAATTATTGAAAACATATGGTACTTAAAGTTAAGTGCATTCAGCAGTAGAAAGAAATGTGACAAATATTTTCACAATAAAAGCAATTGAAAATGTTTTATAAGTTTTTAATCTATAGTTAAAGTGTTAAGGTAGTAATAGTCTGATTTGTAGTAATATATTATTTTCAGGCCTCCATCACTCTTTACGAAATGTATGCCAAGAACAAAATAAAATTATGTTTTGAACTACCAATACAAATAAAAATAATTCTATGTAGAAAGGAAACTCTAAAGGGGGCAGTTTTTCTTAACCGACTGTTTCACAACTGGACACCCTAGATTCTATGTTGTCGATGGTGACCGCCTTGGAGGGGCCACCGCTGAAGTGGAGCCTCAGAGGCAAAGCCACCTGCTCTGTGTCATCCTCCAGCACCCAGATTCAACAGCAATCCTCCCCACTCTTCTAGTGGGAAGCAGGCAGAGAATAGAGACCTGGAATGTCTGTCTTCATTAGCAGTGAAGACCTGCCCTCCAATCATAAGATTTGGAAGACTTGAAGTTACCTAGGAGCACAGTCACTTTAGCAGAGGCTTTGGACCACCAATGGGAATGCTAGCACTGCTCCAAGTTTGCTTTTCCACCTAGAGCTGATTACACACACCTCAGCCATCCACACATTCATGCACTGAACAAATACTTACCAAATGCCAAATTTATGCCAAGCATTGCTGATATGCAAGTAAAGAAAGCAAATTTTTTTCCCTACACAAATGGAGAAGGCCAACAGCCCATAATGAATAAGGCAGTGGCAGTGCAGCCTCCATGGGCTGCAAGGTGTCGGGTGTCATCAGCCGGAAGCCGCCTGGCCTTCCCTCTCCCGCAGACTGCTGCCAATGACAAACAGAAATACTGTAAATGTGGAGATTCACTCATGGGGAAGTGTTCAAGAGTAATTTTAAGGCTATCCTTTCAGTTCTATAGAAACTGTACATCTGATCAAAACAAAAATGTTGGCAGTACCAGGAGAACCATCAGTGGGCATGTTTCCTTGCCAAGGACTGGCTCAGACCCAAAGCCAGGGCAGTCTGGCCCTCAGGGTCTTGCAATTTGCTCTTGCACAAGCTAGAGGGACCTCTGCTGATGACGGTGTCCCCTCCCATGATAAGAATCATGACCATTCAGACGAACAAGTCTCATTATTTAAGCACAGAGGGCTAGTGTTGCTTTTTTTTTTTTAATTATACTTTTAAGTTTTAGGGTACATGTGCACAACCTGCAGGTTTTACCTTCAGCAAAGGAAATGGACACCATTTGGCCTATGGGCTATGAACCAGACACCATTTGGCCTATAGGCTATGAACCGAGACACCCAGCTGTAGGCTGTGAAATGATTGAGGGTAACAACCACTGATCCCTGTGTTGCTAGTACTGGGCATGATCATTATATATAGAAATATCACAATAAATGTTTTATATGAATAAATTAATATGCAAATCCCAAATCACATGTCCAGTTACACCAGATCAAAATTCAGTGTGTTAACATTTATTCCCAAATGGGGTATTTGGCCATGAAAATATATTTCTTTGAAAAATAATTGCAAGCTTTGGCTTTCAACACGGACCCATTATATAAATGGAGAAAAACGAGGGTATATAAGTTGCATCAACACTGAAGCAACTGACAATGGTCCATGCAACAGCACCCAGGAAATATAGTGGAAATTGATCATGTAACGCTATGCTAAAAATCCATATCCCAGAGCTGCATTCTGGGGCCAGCACTTCATTTTAAAAGTGAGATAAACGAGAAAAATGTTCTCTTATCAGCCTAAAATCATATTATCTTAATGTCATTTCCATTTCCACTCCGAGACATAGCAACTATCTTCTGCACATTAATAACATAATAACATACCAAATGCAAATGAGGTCTTCGTTCAATGTCCAACAGAGACAATAACACATTAAAGCCACCCTGTGGGTAGTAATTAAAAGAATGAGAATCTGATTCATCGGGGTGACGGCATGAGTTAATTACCCCACGCTCTTTAGCATAACTCAAGTTGAATATCAGGGAGGGGCAATCCCTGGATCTGGGCTCTTAATACCCACTGGTATTGGTGAAGGAGGTTAACGTGTGATCTGCTGGGCAGGGAAGGAGCTGGAAGTTGAGAACCACAATGAGACCCACAGCAGAATTTTATCACTCTTTGGCAGATGAGGCTCAGAAAAACTAAATTACAGACCACAGGGTCACGACTATAAAGAGCAAGCATTGTTTGTCTTTCTGTAAAAGGGTTTTTCAATCAAAATTATGGTGTAATTTGGCACTGAATCTCTGATAAATGAAAACCATCTGAAACGAAAGCTTCTTAGACTTTTTTACCCAGCGTTTCATGAGCAGCCTCCTCCTGGGGCCTCCCGTCATCATCTTCGTGCCTGTGAAGCAGATGGCATGCCCTCTCTTTCAACTTGCCGGCCATTTTCCATTTGCAAGTGACAGGCAGGACTTAGGCAATTTTTACGCATAGTGGATATTTGACAATGGACTTGTAAAGGCCCACTTGACGCTCTTGCTGCTGGACGCAGAGTGAACCCTGAGTTTACATGGACATTTGTCATTGTTCTTAGAGGATACTTAGGACACCCAACACCTGCCACAAGGTCCAGGTCCATAGTAAGGGCAAGCTCAGATGAGTGGCCCAGTCATCCCACTGCTCCTAACAGCACTGCCCTCCCCTGCCTGTTAAGGCAGAGCCCGGGTGTGGCTGTGTCTGCACTGGTGGTGGGTGAGGTGCCAGGCTTTGTGTCTCCTGCAAATGGACAGGCTGTGAGACCTGACACAGTGGCTTCGGGACACCAGTGGCATCTCCCAAGGTTGGCAAGCTGGCCCTGAGTCCACTCCTACTTGGTTGCAGGAATCAAGGAAGGGCCCTCCAAGATAGAGTCAGCCCAGAACCGGAAATGCTTCCTAAAGAGCCGCAGCATCACGAAGGGAACCAAGTGGCCACTCGAGGACAGCAATCTAGGAGAACTGAAGGGAAGAAAGAGAAACACGAAACAGCACGAAATTGGAGGTGAAAGACAACAAATCTGTCCCAGGCCAGTGGTCTGGCTTCGCCACAGTGACACGGTTAGGGCCTCTGTTCAGTTCAGCCACCAGCTGTGCCTGGGGAAAGGCTTAGCTGTCAGCTCACAAATGAACAGCATGTTATCAGTTACTTGTAATTAATGGTGAACTTTTAACCTAAACAATCAGTAAAAGCCAGTTAACTGCTGTGCGTGTGGTTCCTGGCCACCACCTTGCTAGTGCTCCCCATGTCTGAGTGGGGCAGGTGCCAGCCCTGAAGGACGTTCACAGGGTCTCTGACCTGCCGCTCCTAGGAGGTCACAAGGGACCAAGGGAGGGGCTCCGACCTGAACGGAGCAACGGCTGCTGGTTCCTCTTCAACAATCACATTTATTTTTCACCAGTTTTGCATTTCCTAAGTACATATACATTTTTTAACAGATTTCAGCAAATGACCCAGGATTGTTACACTGATTTTAAAAAACTGTTACTTTTAACACTTTTGTTTTTTTATGATTCTAGTGTAATGTTTTCAACTTTGGCTGTAAAAACTGATAAAAATTAAAAAGTTTCAAATGGCACGACTGTAATACATCACATTTGAATTCAAATCAGTGTTACATTAATCTGACCTTTGATGACTGCAGGGATAATACTTTTTAACCATGTGATCAGAATGACAGAAATTTGCATTTTCCTTCCAGATTCCACGTCCTTGTCTCCTCTCTCTCAGGGAGCAGCCATGCTGTGGGGCAGCCACGGAGATTCCTGATAGGCGAGGAGCAGCGAGGGCCGCTGGGGAGCTCTGTTCAGATAACTCCCATGGAGCTTGCTCTGGGCTTGCAGCACATTTACAGTGCCCTTGTGATGTGGGTTACGTCTAAGCCCTGAGCTAAAAGAACAAATCAGATCACTTTGAAATAAGCCCAGCAATTGCAGTGTCCTGCATTATTCAAAAAGCCTTGGTTCTGTCACAGACGCTGTTTTATGCTAGAGATGTGGGATGTGTGCGTGGTGATCAGCCCTGTCGTTAGGAAGCTGTCCATTCGGTAAAGACTGAATTGTGTAGGGGCTGATGCCGCCCTATCAGCTGGAGTATAAAATGCAGTCATTTGAAACTCTCATTCTGTCTTCCAAGAAGATACAGTCTTCATATGTAGCACACTGGGAAAAAGGCATAAACCTTTTATTAACTCAGTTTAACAATGAAAATAGGTTGTTACTGGTTTTACAATATAATGAAGAATTCATAATTGGTGCAATTAGCCTGTTGTGCTGCTGTAAGAAGATTCATGGTGACAAGATGATTTTTTTAATTACATGCAACACGGAACAGGCCCAGCCCTCCCTTCCCTGCTTCGTCTTCCCGCAGCTCTGCATGTGGCAGTTGCTGGCCAAGCACAGGTGTGATCCCAGGATGCAGCCGCATGTTCCCCTGAGAAGCACAGAATGCAGAGCCAGGCCTCAGAATCAAACCCCTCGTTCCTGCACTTTTGCATCCGAAGAATGTTTTTTCCTCCCTTGGATAATCATGAATTTTGTCCAAGGCAAAATTAGATTTAAAAATTTATAGTCACCAATAAACCAAACTTCATACTTTGAAAATAGCAAACATCAACAAAAGAGTAATGATATTCTAATGGAGGCAAAATAAACCTGATCCTCAAAAATAATTTCTTGCTGTTTACTTTGTCATCTCAGGTCTCACCTTCTCTGGGCCTCTACCTCACCCGGCACCACCCACCCCTAACAAAAATGTGTAAACGATGATGAGTAAGTGAGCTGTCCCTCCACAAGACTCGCCTTGAGTCAGAGGGACCCACCCAAGGATGGACACTTCACTTCATGTAAGATGTTCCCAGGACCACACGCTGCTCGGACACCAGACCCGAACCTGGTCTTCCCAGAAACAAAAACACAAACGCCGTGAAAATGCAAATGCCGTGGGAACATGAAAAAGCATTGAGACTATTTCCTCAGTTAGATTAACCTCAGCGAAGGAAAAGACCGAGAGTCTGTTTCCTCGGTTAGATTAACCTCAGCGAAGGGAAAGACCGAGAGCTGGTAACTTTTGAAGAGGCTCGAACAGTGACGTGGGCGTGGGGCGTGCATCCTGCGGGGAACTTCTGGAAGCCCAGACGCTAGAGAGATGCAGAGTGAAATGTTGAAATCAGACCCAAGGGGAACGTGGCTCAGGGCAGGCGGCTGGAGCCCACTGGCCGTGCCTTCCCCTGTGCAGGGCATGTACCGTGACCTCTGCTGCATCTGTGAGGATCACCAGTGCTTGATGACATTCCCACAGACACAGAGTAGGACAGAGCTGACCTGGACTCACACACGCAGGAGCCCTGGGCCTGCACTATTCCCATGGAGGTCGGCAGGGCCCGGCGGGGAGGCCCAGGCCGTGGGCTCCAGCACCTCACTCCTGCCGTGAATTAAGTATGGCGTGTCCACCTTCCCAGGGGCGCGACTTTGTCTGTAGGACGTGGGGGACGCTTCCTTGTCGCAGTGGAGCACGGGTCTGAAACACGCGTGTGAAGCCGCCCCACAATCTCTGCCATGTCATTGAGATTCTCATGCTGCCCCTCACCTCCAGGGCCAGGGTCCCGGGAGAAGAGGGCACAGGGGCTCCAGCCTGATGGGGGGAACATAGCTTCTGCCAGTGGAAGAGGCAGGGCACACATGGAATGGGAGGCTTCCGCCCGAGCCCATCTTTACTTCACGCCGAGCAAATCCCGGTGCTGTGCCCGGGTTCAAATCCCAGTGCTGTGTCTGGGTTCAAATCCTGGTGCCGTGTCTGCTGCAAGTGGGTGGCCTTGACCAAGTTACCAGGGCTGTCTCGGGTTCCTCCCCCATTTAAAAAGGATCCAATACTTCTCAGGGCCTTCAGGTTACCTAAGCCCCACACTGTTGTAAAGAGAACGTAAATGGAGCTCAGGACAGCTGAGCACGTGGAGGTTCCTGGGGTCGCTGGAGAGGGGGTGGAAGCTCAGCACCCGCCCACGAGCCTCGCCCTGGCACCTTTTCCTCTGAATCCTTTGTAGACCCTTTATAACAAAGCAGTGCACATAAACAACGAAAGAGAACCCACCGGACGTTTTGCACAGAGGCCAGTGCATAGTGAATGCCACGTAAATGCTGTTATCAGCCACTTTAAAGTATTTGTATTGTGTGTCTAACTCTGAAAAGTAAAACAAACAGGTATCTCTCTTTGCTAAAAAGACATGAGTCCAAAGATAGCCCAGAAGACTCAGAAAGGGTGAGCAGAGCCCCCCACAACGGGACTTCAGGGAAGTGGGTGCGTCCTGTTTCTCCACAGCCCTCAACAGGTGTAGAAAAAGACTCCTTGGGCTGGGATTTTAAAAATCAATTTTGTGGGTGATGATTTGTTGCAACTGCAACACCATCCTTTTTACCTTCACAACACTCAGAAACCTTCTGAGTATTTCCTAGAAGAATTCCTCGGAACCATCAGCCATCAGAAAGGCTAACGGGAAGTGCCCGCCCTCTCCAAGTGACAGGAATGATTTATCACAGCGGTTTCTCATTCTATTACAGAACCTGAGCTCTATTAAGTTTGGCGTAAGTGTGAACTCTGTTTTTGAAGGGCTATACAACGAAAGAGAAACAGTTTACTGCAAATTAAAATATAATGTACAAAGTTCTCTAATTACCTTTAATTTCACCTCAATCCATTTCAGTATTATGTGTGCATTTTGAGAAAAGTTAGCTGCTATTTTAATAATAGATGTAAAAGACTGTCTCTGAAAATAAGTCACTTCAACCAACCATGAACCAACGGCTTTCAAATACATATCATGGAACAAACGCTGGAAAAGTTGGGGTGGGATTGAAGGACACACGGGGTGGGATTTTTCCTGCACAGACCTTGGCCTCGCCTGGGTTGGTAAGAAGTGGACAGACACACGACCCACAGTGCAGGCTAGGCACCGGCCAAGCAAGTGCTGTGGGCCAAGCTGCTCAGACTTCAGTCTGCAGAGGAGCTGCCGGCGCCCTTGCTAACAGGCAGGTTCCGGTCTGTGGATCTGAGGAGGGGCCCGAGGTGGTGCTCACTGGCCAATGTGGAAACACTGTGAGTGACGAGACGCAGGGAACCCTGGGAGTCAAGGGAGGCGAAGAGCAGAGACGCGGTCCGGAGCAGAGCCGCACAGGTGTGGAGGTGATTGTGGGCAGCCTGGAGGCGCGAAGGCCAGGGCCTCACCTTGTTCACCACGCTGCTTGGTGACTTGGGGAAGCGGGCCCCCTCTCCAGGGAGGGCTGTCTGTGAGTCTGTCTGTGATTCTCCAAGTCAATATCCAAGTGATTGGCAGAGTTCCCTCCTCAAATCCCCCAGCTGATTTAGAGACCAGCATGATGGCCGAGGAGGTGGCTGTGTAGGGGCAGTGTGGGGGGTGGGAAGTGCCACTGAAGACTCACCCGTGGGCACACAGCTGTGGGGGAGCTCCCAGTGACCATCTCACAGCACAGCAAACGGTGTGATGGTCGCTTTGGTGTCCCCTGAAGACTCACCCGTGTGCACACAGCTGTGGGGGAGTTCCCAGTGACCATCTCATAGCACAGCAAACGGTGTGATGGTCGTTTTGGTGTCCACTGAAGACTCACCTGTGTGTGCACAGCTGTGGGGGAGTTCCCAGTGACTATCTCATAGCACAGCAAACGGTGTGATGGTCGTTTTGGTGTCCACTGAAGACTCACCCGTGTGCGCACAGCTGTGGGGGGCTCCCAGTGAGCATCTCACAGCACAGCAAACGCGGTGTGATGGTCGTTTTGGTGTCCCCTGAAGACTCACCCGTGTGCACACAGCTGTGGGGGAGTTCCCAGTGACCATCTCATAGCACAGCAAACGGTGTGATGGTCGTTTTGGTGTCCACTGAAGACTCACCCGTGTGCGCACAGCTGTGGGGGGCTCCCAGTGAGCATCTCACAGCACAGCAAATGCGGTGTGATGGTCGTTTTGGTGTCCCCTGAAGACTCACCTGTGTGCAC
The DNA here is from genome assembly GCF_000001405.40 of Homo sapiens. Taxonomy (NCBI): domain Eukaryota; kingdom Metazoa; phylum Chordata; class Mammalia; order Primates; family Hominidae; genus Homo; species Homo sapiens. The sequence continues at coordinate 442,466 of NC_000002.12, read as the reverse complement.
ACAGCTGTGGGGGAGCTCCCAGTGACCATCTCACAGCACAGCAAACGGTGTGATGGTCACTTTGGTGTCCCCTGAAGACTCACCCGTGTGCACACAGCTGTGGGGGAGTTCCCAGTGACCATCTCATAGCACAGCAAACGGTGTGATGGTTGTTTTGGTGTCCACTGAAGACTCACCTGTGTGTGCACAGCTGTGGGGGAGTTCCCAGTGACCATCTCATAGCACAGCAAACGGTGTGATGGTCGTTTTGGTGTCCCCTGAAGACTCACCCGTGTGCACACAGCTGTGGAGGAGCTCCCAGTGACCATCTCACAGCACAGCAAACACGGTGTGATGGTCGTTTTGGTGTCTCCTGAAGACTCACCCGTGTGCACACAGCTGTTGGGGCGCTCCCAGTGAGCATCTCACAGCACAGCAAACGGTGTGATGGTCGTTTTGGTGTCCACTGGGCTGGGCTGCAGTCCCAGTTATTTAACCAAACACTCAGCTAGGCATTGCTGTGATGGCATTTTGCAGAAGTGACTGCTTCTGAGAAGCTGACCCTTGATCGTTTCCCTGCTTCTCATACTTTCATTATGAGTGAACATGAAAATGCTCTTTTACAGTAAAGCACAGTTTTGATGTTACTTCCAGGACACAGAGTTCGCGCCACAGTAAACAGGGCGTGTGTGTGGAAACTGGCCTGGAAGTTGGGCTGTCGGGAGGGTGGAGGGAGAGAGCCAAGCTGGGGCTGCAGGGCTGCAAAGCCTGGGTGACACAGAGCGCGGCACCCCCCACGCCTGCTCCACCACGCGCTTGCCCTCCGAAAAGCCAGATCCTGTCTCTGTGGCTTTCTCCAGCCTCACAGGGACACAGTTCCCAGGGATGCTGCCTGTAAGTGTCTACGGAGCCTCAACACACAGTTCTGTAATTATTGTAGTATTTTTCAAATCAAGGCACTGTATAGACACAGACTGGTGCTGCCTCCTCTCTGGGATGTTGGTCAGGGTGGTGAGGGAAGCAGGCTGAAATCGAAAGGGCAACTGAACGCCTTCGTCATAAAATGTCTGTGAAGGCTTCTGTTCTGAGCCAGACTTGGACCTGGGCAGAGCCTGACTCTTGGGGCCTGGAGAAGCCACAAAGATGCTAAAATGTGATGGAACCTCCAGACAGTGTTGCCTTCTTTTAAGTCATTCCAGGACCTCCCGTGACTGTCACAGTGGTCTGTAGTGGGCCAGGTTCTCGTAAGAGAAGCAAGCATGGAGATGCCAGCCCATAGGCAGGGCAAGAAAACGGGAGAAGGGCTCCAAGGGCTGAAAGGTGAGACGGGGTGGGAACGTCTCATCACCAATGTCTGCCATCTGAAACTGCCGGTGGTCTCCACAAGCCCCGAAGCCCACCCAGCAGCTGCCCTGTCCTGCTGGGCACAGCCCCCACAGCCCATTTCTCAAGGGTGGTCTTCACGTTCCTATCTCGTGTCTTTCGGGAACAGACGGTGCCCTGTCCTCCATCCCCCCACCCTCTGCTCCACCTGCTTCCCCGAGGCCTGGGCTCTGCCTGCTCCATCTACCCGCGGCCAACTCACCTGAGCAGGTGGCACGTGCTGTAAACAGCACTGGGTGTGGAGATTCGTTTGGTTAACAAAGCTGTAGACCCACTATCAGAAAAGGAGATCACAGGCAGGAGACACTGAAGAGTATCCACTAAAACTGTGGCAGTCCCTTAGGCTAGGGTGCCCGGGTGCTCCAGGGAAACGGAGCCCACAAGAGGAATCTGTATGTATTTAGAGGGAGTGAATGTGTGTATATACATATAGAGAATATATACACTTATATGGAGAGAGAGTGGGGGAGAGAGAGAGTTACTTTGAAGTAATTGGCTTCTGCAATCGTGGGGTCTGCCTGGCAAGTCTGAGAGTGACAGAGTAAGCCAGCAGCTGGAAACGCAGCAGGATGCCACTGCTGTCTTGAGGCAGAATTTATTCTACAGGAAACCTCAGTTTTCGCTCTTAAGGCCTCAACAGATTGGATGAGACCCACACACATTATCAAGGGTCAGCCCCCTCAGAGGCAGTCACATCTGCAAAATACCCTCACAGCAACGCCTAGCAGAGTGTTTGATTAAGTAACTGGCACTGCAGCCCTGCCAAGCAGATGCGGAAATGACCATCATGCTTAGTTTGCTGCATGATGGGATGGTCATTCTAAGACCAAAAAGAACATTTTTTTGGAAAAGGAGCTTGGCAAGACTTTGCAGCCAACATTCTTGAACCGCGCAACACGAATAGGGTGCAAAGTACGGCTCACGCTGTACTTCACGCTGGCTGGCCTTTTGTTCCCGGGCGTCTGTGAGGATCTCGAAAGTACAGTTTGTTCTGCTACAGAGAGTGTCTCCAGGACCCAAATTAGCTCATGTGCAATTAATAAGTAGAGAACGATGCTAATGGGACACAAAAGCACCACAGTCAGCTTTATAGTCGGGGGCCTGGAGCTGTGGCCGCACACATCCAAGTCTTCCGGCTCAGAGAGGAGCCCCTGCCCTGCATGGCACCCCCCAGTTGCCCTGGCCTGGCCCAGCAGTGCCCCATGCAGGGTCCTAGCACCCAGCTCTGTGCCTCCGTGGCTCCTGCCCTGTCCACTGCACCAGCGGCCGCTTCTCCCACAAGGTGGCTCAGTTCAACTGGCTCCCTGGTGTCCAGGTCACAAAGTGGTTTTAGCGCCCTGGGTTCTGAGCGCTCTGCAGAAACCCTATTTCCCCTCACTGTTAGAGCAAGATATGTAGAAAGTGGTACTTTTTATAAACACATGTGTCACACTAAGAGTTCCGCTGTGAAATATCTAAACATACCATTCGACGTTCTTCCCTTCCTCAGACCTCCGCTTCTCCATATTTCTGGGTATTTTGATGCATTATATAGAATGCTAAAAACAAAGACTCTAATTCTATGTAAAGAGTCTTGAAGAAAAAGGAGTTGGAAGATTCATATCTACATTGCAAATTCTTGATAAAAACAGAATGTGTGTGTCTCTTTTCAACATTACGTACATTTTCCCTTGCAGAGGCGTATCCGTGTATTGGCTGGAAAGAGCTAATACCAGCTAACCCATGTGCCAGGCAACACCAGCAACTGGCAGAAGTCAGCAGCAATCCGATCCCACGTGACCGCTCCCTGAAGGCCCAGCCACGTGCAGGGGCCGCTAATCCGAGTAAAGATGATAAAGATCTCGCGTGCTGGGCATTGTCAGAGGCCACCTGGAGCGCACCGCACTGCACCTCCTGCGTCTCACTGCCTCTACTCTCTTCCGGGCTGCCTTGGAGCCAGGGAGATGGAATGTCTCATTCCACTGACATGGAACTTTGTCAATTTACCTAGTAAACATTTGCCAGTGCCCCCCACATGCCGGGTCTCGTGTTTGATGCTGGAAATGCAACTATGGAAAAGGCCAATCTTGTAGCCAAATGCAATCAACAGGCCCTGAAAATGCCCAGTGGGCTGGTGAGCGTCTACAACATCTACAACAGGCAAAAGGAAATTTCACGACGACTCGAGCCCCTGCATTCAACAGGGGGAAATGCATTCAATCCAGCAGGGAGAACCCAAGGTGAAGACAGTTCCCAGAAGCAGAAGCAACGCAGCCCCGGCACCAAGGTGTGAGCCCAGCTGTGGCCGAGGGTTCCTCTCACCTGGTGTGTGCCTCGTGCAAGGGAACCTGCAGAGACGCTGCCCTAAGACCTGCCAAATGGGGACCTGGAGATACATGTGGGAGGCAGCCTTCAAAAGGGAAACCAACCGCACACCCACCAGCAGGGAACAGCTCAGTTGACTTACGTAGAACTGAGGGAATGGCACTCGCTGCACCCCAGAAAACGAGTGGAAGATGAAAGGATTCCATGGAAAATGTCGACGATACATTTGAAGTAAAAAGGCACCTATATTCATAGCATGATCTCATTTTTAATCAGAAATATATTTGGAGAGAGGACAGAGATTAAACATAGCAGACAGAAAGTGGGAAGGGCTTATTCCAACTACTGACAGTACTTGACTCTGGAAAGTTAAACGGAGAATGACAGGAAGTTTAAATGGGATATTTGTACAAATATTTCAGGGTTTCCAACCTCGGCACTTTTAGCAGTTTAGGCTGTATGTTTGTGGCGGGCACCGTCGTGTTGTTAATTTAGGTTAAATTTGGGCTAAAGCTGCCTCCGTACTCTGAGGCCTCAGCCTAGCTCAGCATGTAAACAAACCACAAGCTGCCACGGGTGTGTATTCCGGTGACAGGTGGCTGCGTCTCAGCGAGCCAGAGCTGTAGCCAATCAGGCTATCTCTGCAGTCACTTCTGCTTTCTGCTATAAATATTCCCTGCCCACCGTGCGCCTGTTTTTGTCCTCGGTGATTCTTGGCTCATGAATCTTTTTTGCTCACTTAAACTCTGTTAAATTTAATTTGTCTAACCTTGTTTTAAACTGCGTGCACTGTAGGGTGTTGAGTGGCATCTTGGCCCCACCCATTCAGTGTCAGTCACATTCCTCCTCCAGGTGGGGCAAACAAAAATATCTCCGTACCTTGCCAAATGTTCCCTGGGGGCAAGATTGCCTCTGGTTGAGAACCTGAGAAACAGAGATGGGATTTGTGATAATTTAGAAATAAAACATAATGCAAGGTGGTCAATTATAATGGTGAGAAACAAAAAACTGCTTGGGAGCACAAAGGCGGATGTTGAATCCACCAACGTCCTTCACTTCCTTGTGCCTCAGTTTCCTCATCCACAGAAGCAGCGTAAAACACAGTAGTTCACAAGAATTGTGAGAAAAGTACCTGGTGCATAGTAGGCTCTTAAGGATTGTTAGATCCTTTTTTCCTCTTTAGTGTTGAATCTGGCTCCATCTGTGCTAGATCAGGAGCTCCCTTCACCTTGCTTACTCCCGTACTCATGCTACACACGCAGTGGAAGCTCAGTGAGACGTCTACACACACAGTGGGAGCTCACATCCATGCACACAGTGGGAGCTCACATCCATGCACACAGTGGGAGCTCACATCCATGCACACAGTGGAAGCTCATATCCATGCACACAGTGGGAGCTCACATCCATGCACACAGTCGAGCTCATATCCATGCACACAGTGGGAACTCTATCCATGCACACAGTGGGAGCTCACATCCATGCACATAGTGGGAGCTCATGTCCATGCACACAGTGGGAGCTCATATCCACGCACACAGAGCTGATGATATCCATGTACAGAGTAAGGGCTCATATCCATGCACAGAGTGAAAGCTCATTATGTGCTTATACCTACATAATCAAGCTCATATCCATGCACACAGTGGAAGCTCAAATCCATGCACATAATGGGAGCTGATATCCATGGACACAGTGGGAGCTCATATCCATCCACAGAGTGAGAGCTGATATCCATGCAAACAGTGGGAGCTCTATCCATGCACACAATGGGAGCTCTGTCCATGCACACAGTGGGAACTCTATCCATGCACACAGTGGGAACTCTATCCATGCACACAGTGCGAGCTTTATCCATGCACACAGTGGGAGCTCATATCCATGCACACAGTGGGAGCTCATATCCATGCACGCAGTGGGAGCTCATATCCATGCACGCAGTGGGAACTGATATCCATGCACACAGAGCTGATGATATCCATGCACAGAGTATGAGCTCATATCCATGCACAGAGTGAGAGCTGATATCCACGGACACAGTGGGAGCTCTATCCACGCACACAGTGGGAACTCTATCCATGCACACAGTGGGAGCTCTATCCACGCACACAGTGGGAGCTCTATCCACGCACACGGTGGGAACTCTATCCACGCACATGGTGGGAGCTCATATCCACGCACACGGTGGGAGCTCTATCCACGCACACGGTGGGAACTCTATCCACGCACGTGGTGGGAGCTCATATCCACGCACACGGTGGGAGCTCTATCCACGCACACAGTGGGAGCTCTATCCACGCACACAGTGGGAGCTCATATCCACGCACACAGTGGGAGCTCTATCCACGCACACAGTGGGAGCTCTATCCTCGCACACAGTGGGAGCTCTGTCCACGCACACAGTGGGAGCTCTGTCCACGCACACAGTGGGAGCTCATATCCATGCACACAGTGGGAGCTCTATCCATGCACACAATGGGAGCTCAGTGGAACACGCCAGATGGTCAGTGGAGCTGAGTCTTGACTGGGAAAACTCAAGCACTTTAGAAAAAAACACAGTAGAAGAAGTCTATGTGACTTCAGAGCAACACAGTAGTCTCATGTCTATAAAAGGAATAAATATAGTGAACATTTAGAAGAAATTATGGTTATCTTATTTACTGAAAAGGGGTCTTACAAAAATAGATGGAATGTTTAAAATTAGCACTAAATAAGAAGAATTTGCTAATTACCAATATGAAATATTAAATGGTCTGAAGGAACAATAGGAAGGAAATGGCAGAGCAGAAATCACATTAATGTCCCAAGGAGACCCATTAATAGAATTGTACTTTGCTATTGGAAATGGATCACTAATTAAGAATAGACTATCAGTGGTGCAAGTAGCTTTGTGCACAGAGACTTAAGGCAGAAGTCGTGAAATTGGATGTGCATGAAGAAACCAGCTGCATGACCCAGGTTGTGAGGCAACTTTTCCATGCCTTTCCCAAAAAAAAAAAATAATAATAATAATAATAATAATAATAATGATCTTGCCTAAATCTCAGGTACAGGGAAAAAAATGTCAATTTATCCATAAAGTTAAATGGTATTAACAATGAATCAAAAAGTAATAAAGGATGTGGAATCAATAAAACAAAATTTAAAACTGTGTTGATGAAGGTACGCTCATTTAATGCACACTGGTTGCTCTATAAAGTAGTATACAACTTTTGAAAAGAAGTTCTGTAGTTCTAGCTGTCAATTTACAGAAAATGTCTGTACACTTTGACCCACTATTTCCAATAAGTTATAAGGAAATAAATAATCTGTAACTCTAGGTTTTTCTTTCATAGAGAAGTCTTGCACCTTCTATTAACACTCTGATTTATCACCCACCGGGGGGCTGGTGGTGGGTGCAGCCCACTCAAGATGCAAGTAGTAAGGGGTGTGTCTCTGTCAATCATTTAAAAACAATAATAAAAAGCTGGGATTCTTTGCTTTACATACTAGAATTTTTAAACAATGCCAGGAAACAAGTATTGCTTCCTAAAAAGGCCTTTTGTTAGCATAAGTTCAAAATAACTGTCGAGGTTACTACTGAGTTTTAAAATATATGTAAAATTCAAATTCACATATTGTAACATGCAGTTTTTTTTTTTTTTTGAGACAAAGTCTCACTCTGTCCCAGATACATGGGGAGGTGAGAGAGCAGGACAGAGGGTCACCTGAGTCCAGAAGTCAAAGCTGCAGTGAGCCATGATTGTGTTACTGCACTCTAGCCTGGGTGACAGTGTGAGACCCTGTCTCAGAAAAAAAAGAAAAAGAAAGGAAGGAAGAAGGAAGGAAGGAAGGAGCAGGAGAGAGAGAAAGAAAGAAGAAAGAAAGAAAGAAAGAAAGAAAGAAGAAAGAGAAAGAGAAAGAAGAAGAAAGAAAGAAAGAAAGAGAAAGAAAGAAAGGAAGGAAGTAAGGAAAGGAAGGAAAGGAAGGAGAGGAAGGAAAGGAAGAAAGGAATAAAGAAAAAAGGAAAAAGAAAGAGAAAGAAAGAAAGAAAAAGAAAGAAAGAGAAAAAGAAAGAAGAAAGAAAGAAAGAGAGAAAGGAAGGAAGGAAGGGATTAAAAATGGTCAAATATATGAACTGCTAGGTGTAACACTTTTGTTTGGAAAGTGCAAATTGAAGTCATGCAATAACATTTGAATAAAGTTTACTGAATTTCAGTGTCTTCAAAATTGAAATGTATCACTTTCCAAGTATTAGTTGTTGCTTTACAAATAATTTCAAGAAAATCATCATCATCACTGAGCTTTTCATAAGTATCAACTGAAAATGGCCTTTGATGTAGAGCAGGGTGCAGAAAGGTGAGTGGCCATGGGTGCCAAGCACTGCAGGAATCCCATATGGGCCCAGGAGAGAGGGGCCCAGCTTCTGCAGCAGACCAGCCAACTCTGCTGCTGGAACTCTGAAGGAACAAAGGGGAGTTAAGAGGTCGTTGGAAAAGAGACAGAACGTAAATGGTAAAGCCACGCTGTGCTTTTGTTTTTAAGGAAATCTTGAGCATGAAACAGGAAAGATGAGAGAAGTGAACCTAGTCCAAGAACGATTGTTTGTGCCTTTAGAAAGGAAGCAAGGATGCAGCGAAGGAGGAAGGGAATATGTGGTTGTGGACCCACAAACAACAAACAAACAAACCACCAACACACTTGCAAAATCGTGAATGACTCTTGGTATCAATATAACCACAAGATAATTTTTAGAAAACAAAATCAGATGTTAAGCATTCCTTTAAGAAGGCCAAGGAAAGAATAATTGCCAATTTATCTGTGGAGCAAGAAAACATGGTAAATTTAAAATAGTAAATTAAGAATGACATTCTTCAAAAAGTGTATACTTTTAATTTGCTACTGATACATGATAATACTACAGTAACAAATAACAACAATTATTAAACAATTAACTATTGCTAAATGCTTCTGCAGTCCCTCCTTTGAGGGGCCAAGGTGGTAAGATCACTTGAGGCCAGGAGTTCAAGACCTTATCTCTACCAAGAAAAAAAAGATAGAATTAAACTATATACAAAAGTACAGATGAAATAACGTGATGTCTGGAGTGGGTACAATTGTGTTCCCCAAAAAGATATATTGAAGACCTACCTCCGTTACCTGTGAATGTGAATGTATTTAGAAATAGGCTTTGCAGGTGTAATAAAGTTCAGATGAGGTCCTCTGGGTCAGGGTGGGCCTTAATTCCAGCATGACTCTCCAGTTGTATGTGATAAAAACAGGGAATTTGGACTCAGGTGCAGGGGATGCAGGGAGCCCCACTGTGTGGAGGCTGAGGTGGGGACTGGAGGGCATGTCTACAAGTTGGGGAGCTCCGAGGATGGCTGGCAGCCACTAGGAGCTGGGCAGGGCCTGGAACAGGTTCTCACTCAAAGCCTGTGGAAGGAACCAACCCTGCCAACACCTTGATCTCAGACTTCAGGCCACCAGCACTGAGGGGGAATGAATTTCTGTTGTTTTAGCCACCTCGTCTGCGGGGATTCCTCATGCAGACCTAGGAGATTGATAGAATGCCTGACATTTCTTCTCTAGTAAATGAACGGAGAATTACGGGTGAAGCTGGAGGAGCTATGGATCCATAGCTGTAAAAACGGGGTGACGGGTTCCAGGGAATAGTGTGTGCAACTTATCATTTCATGTTTTCTAATATAAGCAAATAAGCATGTATATTTCTTATTTTCATGGACAAATGTTTCCAATACTTTACATGCTTTTCTTCACCTTGCTTTTTCCCTTAACATATGCTAGAGATATTTCTCACTCATTTTTGTAACTGCATATTTTTATGTTGTGTGAAAATGCCATATCGCTTCCTCTTCAATCTCACACCCAGGACAGAGCCTGGGACAGCCGGGCTGTTTTCTAGCTTGCTTACTTGCAATTCTATTGCAAATTGAGCCCCATACGTCTTCTAGTATTTGTGCTCAGAAGGCTAAATCCCTGGAGGTAGGATTGCTTTTTCTAGAGAAAAATGATATAATATTTCGCCAGATATTGCAAAACTTCCCACTCACACCAGTTTAGCATTTTGCATTCCCACCAGCTTGTAAAAGAACGCCCTGTCTTATAGTCAACAGAAGAGGCTACTTTTTTAAAGAAATGCTTTTATTTTAGTTTAGTTTTAATTGGTGTTTTTCTTGTAATGAATGAAGTTCAGTATTTTTAAAAAAGCATTTCTTTATCTATGAACAGTCTGTTCATATACTTAATGTATTTTTATATGCTTATTGGTCTTTCTGTTCTGTGGTTTTAGAAGTTCTTAATGTAGATGGACTGCCAACCCTTCGTGTGTGATATAACTTGTCAGTCAATATTTTCCATTTATCATTAGCTTATGCTTTTTACCATGTAGATATTTTTCCATATAATGAAACCTACCACATTTCCTCTATTGCCTCTGGATTTTGAGTCATGGGGAATAAAATAATAGATATATGTTTCTGTATAGGGGTTCATCTCCTGCATTTCAATATGATCCATTTGGAAATTATCTTAGGATACACTGTGAGGAATGGATCCAGTTTTATCTTTTCACTAAACACCGTTCCTTATACTCACATGGGAAGGGGCTAGGATTCTCCACGTTCTGAAGAGCTTCTATGCACAGTCTGGTGAGTCCAAGTGTGGCACATGAACATCTCCTGGAGGCTGGCTGGATGTGCAGAACCTCAGAGCCCACCCAGACCTGCTGAACCAGAGTCCAAATGTTAACAAAATACTCAGGAGGTTCCTACATTCGAGAAGATTCAAGTTCGAGAAGGACTAATATTCAAAAGGTAGTTTTTCTTTTGGCTTTCTCCCCAAAATAATAGGCAGATTAAAAAATGAATACTGCCTTCCATTAGCCTCGCCATACTAATACAACACATTTACACCTTTTAAATTAGGGACCTCATGTATTGCATGATGATCGGGTCTTAATGTTTGTATGAAAATCATGGAAGGTGATAAAGATGCCCCTCAGCCTAAGGCTTAGCAAACCCAACAATGACTCCCCTCTCGAATGTGACTTAGACTTGTTTATACCATAATTACTCATTTTTGTTTAAGTTGCCATTTTTGAACTTTATAAACACACTATATTTTATATAGTCTTAAGTGATAACGTTTCACTCAATATTATGTTTCTAACATTTATCCAAGTCATGAATAACTATACTCCATTCTTTTTCACTAATGCATACTACTATACTGTGTAAATGTATTTAAAATATTTATATATTCTCTTTTTATATCCTGAGATGTCCCGATATCTTTCACCGGTATAAATCATTACAAATTATACTTCTAAAAGCAATTCTTTTTATTTATATTTTTCATTTCAAAAGTGTGCTAGAATTTTTCTCAGGTGTGTATTTAGGAATGGAAACGTAGGGTAAGAGAAGGTAAGCAAGCTCAGGTGATCATGCACATTGATTTTTGATCGTGCAAAGGGCCACATGGATTCATACTCCCAGAGTAGTGTGGCAGTGCGGCCCCCAGCCAGCGTCATGCATGGGTGACCTTCATCAGATCAGGGCTTGTGAATTGACATCTATGCAGTCAAATGTACTGACTTTGGTTATCTGATTACTTCACGTTATGCTTATAAAAATTGTTTGATATTTTTAGATTTCAAAATGGTTACTTTTTATGTAATGATTCTATCCTCTTGAATTAGTTACAAATAATTCACCTTTGTGGAACAAAAGACCCAACTTGGAGCATCTTAAATATGTGGAGACTTTTTTTCCCCAAGTAATAGGAAGTCAAGAGATAGACAGTTGGTGGCACTGCTTCAGTCTTCGCTGTGAGGAGACGGATCTTACGGTCACTTTTATGAGCTGGGCTACGTTCTCATGGAGCATTGAGACCCACAGAGTCATGAGAATCAGCGGCCGCCCGAGCCCTCCTCGCCCATTGTGGTTCCTGGAGCCGTCCTCGTAGGATGTGTGTGTGAGGACGTCCTGCCCCACTCTGTTCTTTTAGGTGGTCAGAGAATTTAAGAGAAAAACAGGAAGCTGTTGTTTCTCATGAGATGAAGCCTGTGTGATCCACTAACAATTATATTTCATCTCTATTTTATTTTCTGAAAATTCCTGTTAAACTCAGATAGTAGCTTATCTGACAATTTCAGTTTCCCAGGGGGTGAGTACTGTGTTTTTTTCTCTGTGCCCTCACGTTCGGAGGGATGGGCCATGGCTGGGAGTGGTGCCCGCTTAGGGCCCTTTTGCGGCACCCCTCCCACTCCTGCCTGCAGGGTCACGTCCCCCTGGAGCGGGCACGGTCCTGTGTGCATCTCGTCACCCCGCAGGCTGCAGGATCCTGAGCCCAGGATGCAAGTGAGTCTTATTTCTTCCCCTACATGGTCCAGACAAGAGCCTGGGCTCTGGATCTTTGTATTTAAGTGTGTGGCCAGGGAAACACACAAACCAGGCTGTGATAACCAGACTTCCTCTCTCCAGTGAAAAAAAAAAGCAAAAAATACAACAATTAAAACTAAAATGCATGGCTTGATTATTGAGTCTTCTTTCATCATGGAATTCATTGCTCCTATAGATCATCCAGTGTGCAATAAAGGAACTCACTACACACACAAAAATGAAACAAAATGTTCTCTTGTCCACTAGTTTGATCTGGTTATTATAGCAGCTCTACTTCAAATTTTAAAAAATAGAAATTGGGGGACAGCGATGCTTCCGTGTGCCCTTCGAGCTCACGCTCAGCGCGGCTGTGGCTTCCTGTTTACCAGCGCTTGCCTGGACCATCCATTTGCCGTCTCTGCCACCAGCCCACGTCCCGTTCATAAAAGAGATTTCTGTTTACCGCCTGCTATTTAGAGTTCTTCCATCAAAGTTCGATTTGCAGTGTTTTACTCTATTATGCTGTCCTTCTCCTTTCCACCAGCTGTTTTCCCTGACTCAGTGGCGTTCAGATGAGCATGGCTCACCCATGCCCACGTCTTCCTGTCCACCGTTACTGGTGGCTGCTGACCTTGCTCTGCTGTGCCCCTGGCAGGCCCTCCTCAGTGGGGTGGAGGCCCTGCAAACCGGGGCAGGGCTGGAGCCACTGACTAAAGGGCGGCAGGGAGCCGGCAGGTCTGACCCATGCAGTGCTGCTTTCTGCCCAAGAGCACCTGTGTGGCTCAGTTATTTTCCTGTCTTTACCGGCACCTGGCACAACACTTTCTACACCCTTTGCTGAATAGAATTAAAATCCAAATGTAATCTTAGATGATTAGGAGACATGTCTTGCCTAGAGGATGAGTGAATATAGCCCAGTCTATTAGTCTGTTCTCACATTGCTTTAAAAAACAAATGCCGGTGACTGGGTAATTTAAAGAACAGAGTTTTTATTGACTCATAGTTCCACAGGCTGTACAGGAAGCATGGCGGCTTCTGCTTCTGGGGAGGCCTCAGCGAGCTTCCAATCATGGCAGAAGGCGAAGTGGGAGCCGACTTGCCTTTTACGGCTGGAGCAGGAGGAAGAGCAAGAAGGGAGGTGCCACGCACTTTTCAAAACCAGATCTCTTGGGGACTCACTCACTTTACAGCACCAAGGCAGGTGGTGCTAAAGCATTCATGAGAACTCCACCCCCATGGCCCCACCACCTCCCACCAGGCCTCAACAGTAGGGACTACGATTCAACGTGAGATTTGGGTGGGGACACAGATCCAAACCATGTCACCCAGTAACTTCCCTCTGTCCACTAATGCTTCACAGAAATGATTAGCACGGGCCACAGGAGAAAGGCCACATGTGAAAGGAGACATGGCGTGACACTGCATGAACCTTCCTGACATTTCTCTAGACACAGTGGAGATGGAACCAAACCAAAGAGACTAACTCACTGTTCTGATTCCTGCAGTGTCTCTACACCCCTAGTCAGTCAGTGGAAGGACCCGGGCGGGAGGGTTGTCCAAACCCACAGGCTGGGGCTGGGCATGGCTGAGGGGCACGGGCGACCCCGCTGCTTTCCTTTCCACAATGGGTTTGCAGGCTCTGGAAGCAGAGGCACCAAAAAGGTGGCAAAATGCTGAACAAAGCACTGGGACGGAGGGGGCTTGTCCCAGACCTGGCAGGACATGTGGGCAGGCTGGGCCCAAGTGAGGCAGTTTTTCAGGCACTGGACCCAAGCCCAGTACTCACCAGAGAGAGAAGAAAAGGGGCCCGGAGGAGAGTCACCCCAGCCCCTCAGTCTCCTGGTTCACCGAACAAAGAACATGCATTTGCAGGTGAAGCCATCGTTGCTTATTTTTTCTCTTGATTTGAAATGTAGGGATATATGCCTACCTCTGTAATCTCTGATGGAGGCCATAACTTGATTAGAAGTCAATATACAACACAGACTTCCCTCTCTGTAAGGCTGAGCAAGGAAGAAAAATAGCAGAATATGTAATCACATATATTTAACACAGATTCACAAGTTAAATTAGTCATATGTTGTGGCAATGGACACTTAATTCAATAACTAAACAGAAAACAAAACTAAACAATCCTCCAAGACTTAGAAAACGAGCATGAAAAGTTTCTAAAGATGGGAAGTGTGGAAGACGGACAGACCGGGCAGATTTAATCCATAAATCACAAAACCCACAGGTGGAGGGCACAGCCCCCAGGCAGAGGCAATGCCCAAAGACAGCAGAAGACAGCATTCTCTATCACTTTGTCTGTGAGGCATAAACATTTGCCACTTAATCACTGGGTCATCTCCTTGTGGTTTAAATTCACATGTTACTGATTGTTAGTGAGGCTGGAATCTTTTCATGAATGTACTAGCTATTCATTTTTCTCTTCTATAACTTGCCTAATCTTTTGCCCAGTTTTCTATTATGTGTGTTGTATTTTCTTTAAATTGTGACAGTTCATCTATTCTGTATTTTGGGTGGATTAAAGATCTAATATAAAAAGTAAATTTTCAAAATATTTAGGGGGAAAATGATGAGTATCTTCATTAAAAACTAAAATAACATAGTATCTTAAATAATTTATAGAAGCATAAATGTTAAAGTATGCCAATCAATTCAGCTACATACAAATTTATAACTTTTATTTACTAACGAATACCATGAAATGGAAGAACACAGCCTCGTAGAAGACAACTGCGGCTCCCTAAATACCTTCAAAATGAGCACCTGAAGCAAAATGACTGGGAACATGAAAAAGACAATCTCTGGTGGCTGTGCCAGCAGAGCCCCCTGCGTGCCAGCGGAGCCCCCTGCGTGCCTGCGGAACCCCCTGCGTGCCTGCGGAGCCCCCTGCGTGCCAGCGGAGCCCCCTGCGTGCCAGCGGAGCCCCCTGCGTGCCTGCGGAGCCCCCGGCGTGCCAGCGGAACCCCCTGCGTGCCTGCGGAGCCCCCTGCGTGCCAGCGGAGCCCCCGGCGTGCCTGCGGAGCCCCCGGCGTGCCAGCGGAACCCCCTGCGTGCCAGCGGAGCCCCCGGCGTGCCTGCGGAGCCCCCGGCGTGCCTGCGGAGCCCCCTGCGTGCCACCGGAGCCCCCTGCGTGCCTGCGGAACCCCCTGCGTGCCAGCGGAACCCCCGGCGTGCCAGCGGAACCCCCCGGCGTGCCTGCGGAGCCCCCTGCGTGCCTGCGGAACCCCCGGCGTGCCAGCGGAACCCCCTGCGTGCCAGCGGAGCCCCCGGCGTGCCTGCGGAGCCCCCGGCGTGCCTGCGGAGCCCCCTGCGTGCCACCGGAGCCCCCTGCGTGCCTGCGGAACCCCCTGCGTGCCAACGGAACCCCCGGCGTGCCAGCGGAACCCCCGGCGTGCCTGCGGAGCCCCCTGCGTGCCTGCGGAACCCCCGGCGTGCCAGCGGAACCCCCTGCGTGCCAGCGGAACCCCCGGCGTGCCAGGGGAGCCCCCTGCGTGCCTGCGGAGCCCCCGGCGTGCCTGCGGAGCCCCCTGCGTGCCAGCGGAGCCCCAGGCGTGCCAGCGGAGCCCCCGGCGTGCCTGCAGAACCCCCGGCGTGCCAGCGGAACCCCCTGCGTGCCAGCGGAACCCCCGGCGTGCCTGCGGAGCCCCCGGCGTGCCTGCGGAACCCCCTGCGTGCCAGCGGAGCCCCCTGCGTGCCTGCGGAGCCCCCTGCGTGCCTGCGGAACCCCTGCGTGCCAGCGGAGCCCCCTGCGTGCCTGCGGAACCCCCTGCGTGCCAGCGGAGCCCCCTGCGTGCCTGCGGAGCCCCCTGCGTGCCTGCGGAACCCCTGCGTGCCATCGGAACCCCCGGCGTGCCATCGGAGCCCCCTTTGTGCCTGCGGAGCCCTCTGCGTGCCTGCGGAACCCCCTGCGTGCCTGTGGAGCCCCCTGCGTGCCTGCGGACCTGCCAGGGAACTATAGGGTCACCCATCAGGACTCTCATGCATGAGATGGGTTATCTCATTTCACCCATGCACTAAAGTAGGAAATATGCTTTTTCTATTTCTCACAGGAAAGAAAGACTTGCAAGGTTTAATATCACTTGGACAGATGTGGGTAGCGCCGGGGCTCCAACCCTGCTTGTGGGTCTAGAGCCCGTGACACCATCCCGGAGGACGCCCGTAGGGCCCCTGCGATGGCAGTAAGTAGGGCCCCAGAAGAGGCTCCCCAGGCACATCCCTGTCTTGTTTCCCCTGGTCACTTGGTGCTAAGCCGGCACGGCGCCCTGCTGAGTGGGATCCCTACCATGAGAGAGCAGCTGGGAAGGACGACTTGGGTTCAGCTCTGAGGGAAAGCAAAGGCGAGGAGCAGAGGCGAAGCCTGGGCCCCGGAGTGAAGAGACCAACCTCAGCGTCAGCCGCACGCTGGGCCACAGCCATGCCAGGTGTAGTCCTGGGCCCACCTCAGCCATACCCACCTCTTGCCTTGGAAATGGAGGCAGCTCTCCTTTATTTCAGAGCGCTGGGGACATCGTACATCATTCCAACATTTCTGTCACTTTTTTCAGTAGCACCCCATGATCAGACACAGCCTCGTTGTCCTTCAGGCTGGCCACTTCCCAAGCCTTGCAGAGACTGAGAGAATGGCATCCGAAAAACTAGAAAAGCACATTTCATTTTCATGTTCCTTGATAATGTAATATATTACAACAAGTCATGGTGAGAAAATTTACATTCAAGCATGTTCAACTTTGTTGTGTGTTCTTCTACAACAATCAGGGGAAGAGTGAATTTTTAACATTGCCTTTATGGCCTCAGGCTTCTATAATTTGGCTCAGTAAAAATCTGTTACTTTTAATGATTGAGTCTTCCACTCCATCGTAGCTGTGGGTGATGGTGAACTCACCCCGATAACACCATGTTCCGAGGCTTCCAACCTTGCCTTCAAACCTTCACACAGGTGTGTTAAGCTGTACTTTTCACCATGGAACAGGTTTCTCCCCCGTGCTGTGTGAAGCTTCTTTTATACGCATTTATAAACTCCACCCATTCACGAGGGAGGAGCCCTCATGACCTAATCACCCCCTAAAGGCCCTGCTCTTAACGCTACTGCCTTGGAGATCAAGCTTCAACATAATCATGGGGACACTTGGGCCTGGCAAGGAGCGAGTGGATGGGAAATTTGGGGAAAACAGACAACTTTATGCCACCTGCTTTCTGACTCATATGAGCTAAGACATGACTTAAAAGGAGAAAAGGTCTTTGTTGGAAGCCAGGGAATGAGAGCAAAAGAAAGATAAAACACGTGGAAAGCACAAGACTTGTTTTTTAGGAGAGGCATCATGGGCAGTTAAAGTAAATAAACTTTCCTGCTAGACAAGCTTCAATCCACACCATCCTCCCCATGAGCTAATCACATTCCACGGCCAACTCACCTAACCCTTTAGGCCCATTTTTTTCATCTGTAAAATTTCATTATTGTTATAAGCATGACTAAAGCTTACGCATCTGAAAGGCACGCCTCAGTTGAGAAACAGCCCCTCCATGGAAACATTTCCTCCTTTATTGGCGGTGCTGACCCCTTGTCCAGCCTCTGCAATTTCACAGTTTCATTGCAGACTCTCCTGCTTCTTGCTGTTCCCGACGCGATGAGCCTGGATTGGACCCGGCCAGGATTTTGTGGTTGTCCTTTGCCATGACTGGGTTCCAGGAGGAAGCTGCCCCTCTCCACTCTGACCTCCTTGGCCATAGAGGTGGTGGTGGAGGTGGTGGAGGTGGGTGGGGGTGGGCATTTATTTGAGCAATAACGAGGGTTTCTCAAGTGGGAGGAAAATAAAAATGTCTCCTGCTGAGTCCTAGATTTGCCGCAGAACAGCAGCAGAAGCAGCCCCATCAGTCTCCCCGACCCCTGACTGGACTCTATACCCCCGGGGCCAACGCTCCCAATTCAGAGTCAGTCTCCAACCCCTGCAACATGAGCTCATGGAACCTGCTAAGTTCATGGAATAAGCTCATGGAACTTATTTTAGGACGTTATTTCTGTATGTACCTTCTCAAGGCCATGAGTGCCCCGGGCAGGAGTCAGGCCATACACCTCACCGGATGGGAAGTGCCTATCGCGGGCGCTGGAGATCAGGAGGCGTCTGGTAAGTGACGAATGCACGGATGGGCACATGAACAAATGGGTGCATGAATAAATGAATTTATTAAGAAATTGTTTAGTAAATACACTGTCTTTCAGGCTTGAAAACTCATCCTTCATTTTATGATATTAGCGACGCAAAACCATTGGTAAAACAGGGTAATTTTTCTTCATTTTGGAAGACACACTGAACTTTGGTTTTTAAGAATGTTATGAGAAGTGAAGTCCAAATAGTTTCAAAAACTGTTTTTATGTAGCTTTTGTTAAATATTCCTCTAATAATCATTCATGTGGTTGGTGTCTGATTAATAGGTAAATCACGTGTCCAGATAGAAATCCAAATCCTAATATTCATGTAGATTACATTTTATCATGTGCCGGGTGAGAGTGGGAAGTAGAGAGAGGAAGTCAGGAAAAGGCAGGACGCACACTTGGGCCACGCAGCCGTCGGCAGAAGCTGCCACCAGCAATACAACACTCAGCAGAGGCTGCCACCAGGAACACACAACACTCGGCAGAAGCTGCCCCCGCGGCCACACAGTCCTTGGCAGAGGCTGCCACCAGGAACACACAACACTCAGCAGAGGCTGCCACCAGGAACACACAATACTCAGCAGAGGCTGCCCCCGGGGCCACACAGTCCTTGGCAGAGGCTGCCACCAGGGACAGCTCCGTGTGCACCTCCAGAGACACAGACCTGACTTGGGTAGAACAGCAAATGTTCCAGGATGAAAGCATTTCCTGCATTTTCAAGCCATTTGCATTTGCCATGGGGCTTTGACTTACCTTTCAGTTTATCGCTTCTCAAGAACCCCTTCATTAAGTAATTCCTGTATTTTTGGTTATGCAGGGTTAAAATTTGAATCCTCTTTTGACAAATAAGGATACTCACGTGTTTAGATTTAAGGAGCTCACCAAGGCGTACACACAGCTGGTGATGAGAGATGGGGTCCTGGTGCTGAGTCCAGTGTACTCCACGGCCATCATGCAACCTGAGTATACGTGTTAAGCAGCCCTTGCTTTAGGGACCCACTGCAGCTGGATCAGTGAATTCCTTTTACTTCAAAGTAACAGCTATCGGACACCCCCCGCTACTCATTCTCAACAATGTCACCTGTTATGGGAGACAGGCATAAAAACATAGAGCCAGCATATGGCTCATGGAATGATGAGAGGGTCTTTGCCTTTCACAGGTGCATTAGCACCAAGAGGCCTGCTTGTCCAGCTGGAAATGGTTTTGAGAGGTGCAGACACCCAACTGCAAGCTTCATGGTGCATCTGTGCCACTGCATGCAGCTGACGAGGAGCCATACATGAGCTATTTTGCCCAAAGCATCGATGGCATGGCTCCCATTGCAATCCAGCAACAGGAAGCATGGTGAAGAGTGGCCGCTGTCCCCATGAAGATGAGCAATGTGACCCACAGACCAGCCAAGGAACCAGCTTCCTCACTGTGAGCAATGCACACAGTTTTCCACTGTCTCCCCTGGTAGGAGGAGACCCTGAGCAACAACATCAGGACGTGTAAATGACTAATCATGTGCTCTTCAGGAGCGGAGATTCTCACCATGGCAGGTCACTCCTCTTCCTGGACACGGGGTGAGGCCGCGTTCCCCAGCCCCTCGCTGTGAGGTGCAGCTGTGTGACCAAGTCCTGGCCAGGAGACTGGGAGGGAGAGTGATGGCCACCACCTCTAGGCCTCCTCTGAAATCTCACCAGTTCCTCCCAGCTTCCTTGTTTATATTCTACCTGCAGATGTCCATGGAGCTACTGGAGCCCAGGGGAGGATCCCAGATTCCTGGGCGGTGTTGTGGAGCACAGCCCTCATCTGGCCTAGGTTTGACAGTCATGCAAGTGAACAATACGTTCTTATTTTGGTAAGCTACTAAAATTCGGAGGCGTTGTTACAATAGTGAGCCTACTCTGAGGAATACATCATGTCTTTTATTTCCTATAACTTTAAACTCTTAGAAACTTGGAAATTGCCAATTCTCATCTTTTATTAACCATGGCTCAGTTTAGCAGAATGGATAGAAGCAATAACAATATCTGAAGCTGTGTGGGGCTAACTAAGACATGTGGCCTGGGGAATCCAGGCAGGGTGCAGTAGCTAACAGAGTACGTTTAGGTCTTTTTTGCCTAACAATGATTAAATGTCTGCCACATAGCTGCCGAAGGTGGAGGTAGAAACAATATTTAAGCACTGCAGGAAAACAGACGTTACCTACCACTGTAGTCAGCGTAGAACTTAGTAGGATGGGAAGCATTGGAGCAAGTTGAGCTCCTGGCACCAAGTTCCCAACTAGACAGGGGTCGTCCATAGGACAGGACCCCATGGAGGCAACAGTGATTCTCAGCGAAATGGGTGCTTGCAGCTGCGACAATGCAAATACTTACAGAGAAGCACACGAGCAGGTGTCCATCAGGCACCCAGCTTCAATCTGTAGTGCTTGGTCTGAAAAAATAAAGATATTCAAGGCATGAACTCACCTTCAGGCAGGGTGAAGTTGAATTGGGGACACAAGATTAATACAACTGAAATAACACCAAGCAAAACTAGAGAGAAGAAATACAGTTCTCATCTGCCCCTCACCACGAAGGCCACGTGACATCACGCAGAGAGCCCTACCCGGGCAGCAATGAGGTGGCCACACGTGAGCTGGGCCTTGCAAGAACCCTGAGCCCTGCAGAGCCTAGAAAGAGCCAAGGAGGGTCTGTGGGGATGGAAGGCCCTCGAGGCCATTCCTCCCGGACCCTTCATTTCCCCATCAGCACAATAAACACAGCATGCGGTGTGACCCCACCGTTTCACGAAGGTAAACTGAGAATACGCGTGAACGTGCCTTCTAGAAGGAAAGCACATGCGTATCTATGGTCTGTAATTATCCTCTTCCTACACTGAATTCCTGGACAACAGGGCCACACCTTTCACCTCTGAATCCACAGAGACTAGAAGAATGCCCAGCCCAAAGCAAGCACTCACTAAGTATTTTCTAACTTATTAAAAAGTATGAATGGACAAATGAACCTTTTTCTATTTCAAATTAGATGAAACTTCTGGTGAGATTAAAACAACATGACTTGTTCTGCGATAAAAATCACCCTTTCTCTACCCCCGCTTCTGGACAGACCTCTTCACAGCAAAACCCACGTGAACCTCGTCCAGCCACAGGCCGCGCGCAGCAACGCCTCCAGGTAAACCCACGTGAACCTCGTCCAGCCACAGGCCGCGCGCAGCAACGCCTCCAGGCAAACCCACGTGAACCTCGTCTAGCCACAGGCCGCGCGCAGCAACGCCTCCAGGCAAACCCACGTGAACCTCGTCCAGCCACAGGCCGCGCGCAGCAACGCCTCCAGGCAAACCCACGTGAACCTCGTCCAGCCACAGGCCGCGCGCAGCAACGCCTCCAGGCAAACCCACGTGAACCTCGTCCAGCCACAGGCCGCGCGCAGCAACGCCTCCAGGCAAACCCACGTGAACCTCGTCTAGCCACAGGCCGCGCGCAGCAACGCCTCCAGGCAAACCCACGTGAACCTCGTCTAGCCACAGGCCGCGCGCAGCAACGCCTCCAGGCAAACCCACGTGAACCTCGTCTAGCCACAGGCCGCGCGCAGCAACGCCTCCAGGCAAACCCACGTGAACCTCGTCTAGCCACAGGCCGCGCGCAGCAACGCCTCCAGGCAAACCCACGTGAACCTCGTCTAGCCACAGGCCGCGCGCAGCAACGCCTCCAGGCAAACCCACGTGAACCTCGTCTAGCCACAGGCCGCGCGCAGCAACGCCTCCAGGCAAACCCACGTGAACCTCGTCTAGCCACAGGCCGCGCGCAGCAACGCCTCCAGGCAAACCCACGTGAACCTCGTCCAGCCACAGGCCGTGCGCAGCAACGCCTCCAGGTAAACCCACGTGAACCTCGTCTAGCCACAGGCCGCGCGCAGCAACGCCTCCAGGCAAACCCACGTGAACCTCGTCCAGCCACAGGCCGCGCGCAGCAACGCCTCCAGGCAAACCCACGTGAACCTCGTCTAGCCACAGGCCGCGCGCAGCAACGCCTCCAGGCAAACCCACGTGAACCTCGTCTAGCCACAGGCCGTGTGCAGCAATGCCTCCAGGCAAACCCACGTGAACCTCGTCTAGCCACAGGCCGCGCGCAGCAACGCCTCCAGGCAAACCCACGTGAACCTCGTCTAGCCACAGGCTGCGTGCAGCAACGCCTCCAGGCAAACCCACGGGAACCTCGTCTAGCCACAGGCTGTGCGCAGCAGTGCCTCCAGGCAAAAGTTTTTAATTTTCTTTGGTTTGGGAATTTTATTTTATATTGGACTGAGTAACTCCGTTTCAAGGGCTATGTCTCCAACATGTTACAGTTCATGGAAAGGACACATCTGGAGTGTAATTTACAATGTATCTGGGCACATATGGTTTAAAAGTTATTTCTGAATGCTATACTGTGGGCCTTTTACCTTAAAATTATGTAGCATTTTCAGATTCAAAAGCAAGTGTTTGTGAGTCAGCTCTCACAATTTGTCTCAGTCTCAAAAGCAGATATTAAAGGTCCACATGAACCCAGGGATATTATGTTAACTGACTGTGTTTTCGTAGCAAGCGGCTGTATTTTAAAGGGAACTTAGCACTTGGAGGAAAGAGAAGCCTGGATGTTTAAGGCATGTCCTCTGGTTTCAGAGGATTTCAAGCCCAGTAGGAACCACTGCAGCATCCCCAAGCCAGCCTCATCTCATGACCTAGTTTTTACAAAAATGTGGCTAGAAATATTGAGAACTGGGAGTTTAAAATTCAAAACTTCAGCTAACTCTAGAAAGTCTTGCCGTGGATATAGAGACAGCTCTTTACAGAACTGAGGCACTGACGGAGCTTCTACAATTCCAACTTCCTTACAGGATTTAAACAACGACAACAAAGAAAAAAGCAAAAAACAAAAAAGTGGGAAAGGCTAAATCCTGAGTGATGAATACACAGACAGGAAGAAGACAGAAAACCCAGCTTTTCTCAGAGAACACAAAGATCAGGACGTCCACAGACTGGGGACTGTGAGCTTTCCAGCTCTGCTCTGTGGGCACATGGGTGGTGGGACAGCATTGACTTTTGTGTGATACTATAATAAGTTCTGTAAACTATACTTTTGTTTTTTAAGTTCAGAGTACAAATTCAGGTTTGTTACATAGCTACACTGTGTCATGGGGGTTTGCTGTACAGATTATCTCATCACCCGGGTATTAAGCCTAGTGCCCGTTAGTTACTTTTCCTGGTTCTCTCCCTCCTCCTAGGCCCCAGTGTCTGCTGTTCCCGTCTATGTGTCCCTGTGTTCCACCATTTATCTCCTACTTGTAAGTGAGAACGTGTGGTGTTTGGTTTTCTGCTCCTGTGTTAATTTGCTGAGGATAGTGATCTCCAGCTTCATCCATGTCTCTGCAAAGGACATCATCACGTCTTTTTTATGGCTGAATAATACTACACTTTCAATCCCATAATTTTTAGGGTTCTATGTTGAATGCATGCGTATTCACAGATGCTACAGTGTACATCTGTCTTTTCCTCAGGAAAAAGACCAGGAATCTGAAAGGACATCAAGGAGTGGCCATGAACGCACCATGTGCCATGAGGTCATGGAGACCATAACACGGCGGGGATGCTGGAGAAACTGCCCATGTCTTACCCTCCCAGGGACACAGTACTCTTCCTGGATACATGGAAGCATTCGTTCATTCATTTTACAAAATATATTGCTTTTCTATAAAGAACACAGGATTATAAAGATATATTAACTGTATCCCCAGCTGCCCCTAAGAATGTTACTGAGACAGACCAAAACTAAAATACTAACAGCAACCAACTAGACACGCAAACAACCAAAACACTCACCCTGTCCCACGCTAAGGGAAACAGCGGGATCGTAGGGACCGGTGTCCAAACAAGACTACGTGCTTAGGGATGGTTTAGTAAAAAGTAGAGCTTGAGAGAGAACTTAATGGAGATAAAGAAGCTAGCAGGGTGAAAACACGGATTGCTGGCATTCTAGGAAAAGGAAATACCATTTCTGGAGACACAAATTTATGTAAATGCATGGCATATTTGGAGAATATAAATAATTTCTGTGAATAAAATACATCAAATTAGATAAATACAGCTAAATAGTATAAGCTTTATCCTAAGGGTTATGGAGAGCCATGAAAAGGACCTCACTGCCCCACATATAACGTGGAAAACTCACTCATGTGGCAGGCAGCCTAGGGAGAATCTGGGTGGGACATGTCTGGAACATCACTGCACTTGCGTTAAGTAATGACTACTGGGGTGAAGAATGGGAAGAAATTCAGAAGGAACTTCATGTATACAGGATTTGACCTGGGTCTGTAGGTCACGGAGGCTGCAATCATGGAAAGCAATGTTTGGAGTTGGCAATATGAAGTCCCAGTGTTTGGGGTCGTTCAGGAAATGCTCATAAGGGAACAGGAGGAAGAAGAGCAGCTTCTCTGTCCCGAGGCTAACACACCCAATCCATGCCTGGTGCTCACACAGACCTTCTGTCCACAGCACTGTGCGGCATCAGCCCCAGTAAGGGTGCTTGTCTCACTTGCTTTAATCTGGGCTTCCTGAAGGCAGGCACTTTATTAGGTGTTTAGTAAATGTTTGTTAAGAAAACAAACAAATGGATAAACTCCTCTCTTGCCTTGTGTCCATCTCACAGTAGAAAAGTGTGGACTTCCCAGTTTGCAATTAGCTTTCGTGAAAGTTACAACACATTTTGTAAATGAATGTGACATTGCAGTACTTTGTAAATGAATGTGACATTGCAGTACGTATGGCTTAATACAGCAACAAGGGAACCACAGCTGCCTCTAAGAGCTCTCCGGTTCACACTGAAGTGAATTTCCTTGGTCACCTGTTATCTCAGCCAGATATCTGAAATGTTCTTCATCTCTCAAACCAGCCACACAATTAGGTAGAGGCAAGACCCCAATAAAAAACAGATGCTGCCTGCTTCAGAAACAACGCTTTCTTGGGAACATAATTTCAAGGTCTGAAGCATGAGTTATTTCCCCAAAGCAATAGAATTGTTGATCATGTTAGATTCCCAAGAACATTATTTTTAAAAGCCTGCTGACAAAATTGGTTAGTGTATTTCAGCCCTGACAGGCGCTTAGTCAGAATGGTTTTGCTCTCCAGGGAAACACAGAAGGTGGAAATGCACAATTATTAGGATTGAGGTCACCGACAAAGCTCCTCTCATTGAAAAAAAAATTAATATAAATATATAAATTGCATGCACACATACATACGAAGTGTAGCTAAATTTCATTTTCCATTTCAATTCAAGATGCGGTTTTGTTTTCTGACAGATCTGTTCTTGTAGCAATCCTTCCTGTTATAATACAACAGCTTTATATCTTTTAAAGTATTAAAAGCAAATTCAGAAATGTGCCTTTTTACAGACAATTTTAACGTATTTTGTCCATCTTTGGTCTTAAAATACTAACTTTAACAATCAGGCAAAATCATCATAGCTCAGGTATCCCATTTAGCAATGACATCAAGTGGCGATTTACCCTGAAATTGTATGAAGACCACACAACCACCCAACGAGAGTGCCATCATCAGCGTGGTGGGGCGGGAGCTTTCTGCCGTCATCAGCGTGGTGGGGCGGGAGCTTTCTGCCGTCATCAGCGTGGTGGGGTGGGAGCTTTCTGCCATCATCTGCCTGCAGAAGCATCAAGTTTTACAACTAACCACGCAAGAGAAGGTCCAGCACACTGAAAGAACAAAAAATCCAAGAATGAATGCTTTGAAGTGGGCAAAAAGCACAGTTTCAGCTTATCTGCCTCACTCCTCCTGCCAGGCAGCATAGCTCGGTGCCAAGGGGAACCCCCTCAGCCCATGATCTCCCTGATGGGGGAAAGTGAGAGTATAGTGAGTAAGCACCCAGCCCCCCCAGCACTGGCGGACTCTGCCCAAGAGGCCCACCTTTTTCTTGCTCCACCTGGAACACTGAGGTTAACAGCACGGCTGTGTAGTTGGGAGATACTGGGAGCAGAGAAGAGAGATGGGTGCTCTACCAACATTCTGCAGACTCCATGAGGAAGCCCGCCCATAAATCACCCAGGACACCCACATGTGGACCCCCCAAACAGACCCATGGGCACCCCAAGGACTACATACAGCTCGTCTCCCCCGTACCTAAGCTGGCTTCCCAAGCATGCCCCTGCAGACAGCGCGTGCAAGCATAGCCAGCGGACACTCAGCTCAACTCGGCAGAATTTGGAGAAGACACACATACATCAGCATTTCAGGGCATCACACTGGAGAAAACAAATGGGAGGCTTTTAGCACCTGTCCTGGACTTTGCACAATCAGAAGGCATACAATCTTAAGAACTTCCTGTCAAGAAGGAATATGAGGGATTAAGCAGATGCATGCACAAAAAAGATCTCATATAGCCTCAGAATCCAAAACAGAGCTGATTGGTGAAGGTATTTCTCTCCTGAAGCAAGTCAGTAAAGACTGAAGGAGGTGACCGCTTCTTCAAATGTGCCAACATCAATGCAAGACTTCGAGGAACATGAAACAATCAAGGAAACATGACACCACCAAAGGAGCATAATAATATTCCTATAACCAACGCTAGAGAAATGGAGATATACAAACGGCCAGAAAAATTCAAAATAATTGTGTTAAGGAGGCTTGGTGAGCTACAACAGAACACAGACACTCAACAAAATTTAAAAGTAATACATAAATAAAATAAGAGGCTCAATACAGATATAAAAATCCTTTTAAAAACAAAATGAAAGTTCTGGAGCTGAAGAGTAAATTAATGAAAGCTTAAAAGGCAATGGACAGCATCAATATCTGGCTTAAACAGAAGAAACTTGAAGACATGGCATTTAGAAACATTCAGTTGGTGGGAAAAAAAGATTGAGAAATTCTACAAAATGTATGGGACACCATCAAGAAAGCTATAATTCATACTACAGAGGTCTAAAAAAGAGAAAAAGAGGGAGAAAGCTTATTTTTAAAAATAATGGCTTCAAATTTAGCAAATCTTTGAAAAGGTAAGGACATTCAAGTATGTGAAGCTAAAATGTCTCCAATTAAGTTCAACCCAAAGAAGACTTCACCAATACACATTATAATAAAACTTTCAAAAATCAAAGACAGAGAATTTTGAAAGCAGCAATAAAAGAAAGGAAATCAAATAGAAGGGAGCCCCTACAAGGCTACTAGAGGATTTTTCAGCAGAAACCTAGAGGGCCAGGACAGAGGAAGATGCTACATTTGAAATGATGAAAAAAAGAAAAAAAAAAATAAACCTCAATCTGACAAGCAAAAAGACTTCACCTGGAAATGCAGTCTTTTAGAAATGAAGAAGAGATGAAGACTTTCCCAGTCAAACAAAAGATGAAAAAGTTCAGCACCAATATAACTGCCTCACAAGAAATGCTAAAGGGAGTTCTTCAAGTTGAAACAAAAGGACACTAACTGACAACATGAAAATATAAAGTACAAAACTGACTGGTAAACACATGTAGTCAAATTCAGAATACTTTAACGATATAACGATGTGTAAATAACTTATAACCCTATTAAAATATTAAAAGACAGAAATATTAAAATCACTATAGCTAGAAACATTTGTTAATGGATACACACATAAAAATATGTAAATTGTGACATCAAGAATATAAAATGCTGAGAGCGGGAGTAAAAGTGCAGAATGTTTTGATTCAATTGAAGTTAAGTTGTTATCAATTTAAAATAGGTTGATATAACTATAAAACGTTTTACTTAGGCCTCTTAATCATCACAAAGCAAACTATGGTAGATACACAAAAGATAAAGGAATCAAAGGATACTACTTCAGAAAAGCATCAAATCATGAAGAAAGACAACAAGAGAGGAAGAAAGAAACAAAAGGTCTACAGAAAAGCCAGAAAACAATTAACACATGGGCAATGGTTAATCCTTATCTGTCAATAATTGCCTTGAATATAAATGGGTTAAATTTTCCAATCAAAAGACATAGATGGGCTAAATTGATTAAAAAATAAAAACAAGATCAACCACCTGCTGCCTACAAGAGACTCATTTCAGCTTTAAGAACACACATAAGCTGAAAATGAAAGAAAGGAAAAATATATTCTATGCAATTGGAAACCAAAAAATAGCAAGGGTGGCTATACTTATAGTAGACAAAATAGTCTTTAAGTCAAAAACTATACCAAGAAACAAAGAAGGTCATTATATAATGATAATGGGGTCAATTCATCAAGAGGATCTAACAATGATAACCATATATGCATCCAATATCAGAGCACCTAAATATAGGAGCAAATATTAACATATTTGAAAGGATAAATAGTCTGTAATATAAGGGGCTTTGACACACGCCCCATTTTCAATAATGCACAGATCATCTAGATAGAAAACCAACAAGGAAACATTGGACTTGATCTACACTTTAGACTAAACGTACCCACAGACATATACAGAACATTCCATCCAGTGGCAGCAGAATACTTATTCCTCACAAGACACTCAAAACACACTCCAGGATACATCATCTGTTAGGCCACAGAACAAGTCTTAATAATTTTTAAATTATATCAAACATCTTTTCCAACCACAATGGTATGAAATTGTAAATCAATAACAGGAAAAGTGGAAAATTCAAAAATATGTGAAAATTAAACAACCCATTCCTGAGCAGCCAATTGGTCAAAGAAATAAAAATTGAAAATAACATGAGACAAATAATGGAAATATGATGTAAAAAAACTTATAGGATGCAGCAAAATCTGTTGTAATAAGTTTATAGTATTAAATGCCTACATGAAAAAAATACCTAAATAACCTAACGTTATACTTGAAGGAACTGAAAAAAAGAACAAACTAAGCCCAAAGTTAGTAGAAGAAAGGAAACAACAAGGACCAGCAAAAATGTAAATGAAATAGAGTCTAGAAAAACAATAGAAAACATCAACAAAACTAAGAGTTGGGGTTTTTGTTGAAAAGATAAGCAAAATTAACAAACTTTTTGCTAGAGTAATAAAGAAAAAGAGAGGAGTCAAATGAATAAAAACGAGAGAGGATACATTAAAACATACCATATAAATGCAAAGGATCAGTACAGACTACAATGAACAATTACATTCTATCAAATGGGTAACCTAGAAGAAACAAACCAATTCTTAGAAAGATACAACATATGAAGACTGAATTATGAGGAAATAGAAAATCTGAATGGACCAGTAATTAGGGAGATTGAATCAGTAATCAAAAATTGCCCACCAAAGAAAAACCCAGGATCTGATGGCTTTGCTGGTGAATTCTACCAGGTATTTAAAGAAAAATTCACACCATCTTTCTCAAACTTTCCCAAAACCTTGAAGAGTAGGGAAGAATTCCAAACTCATGTTATGAAGCCAGCATTACCCTAATACCAAAGTCAGACAAGGACATTACAAGAAAAGAAAATTACGTCTATATACCTGATGAATGTAGATGCAAAAATACTATGCATAATAGTTTTAATTTATTTCCATAAATAAATGGATACTCCATGTTCAAGCATCAGAAAATAAATATTGTCAAAATAGCATCACTATCCAACATGATCTACATGTTAAATATAATCTCTGTCAAAATTTCAATGGCATTTTCAGAGAACTTAAAAAAAAATCTATTCTAAAATTTGTATGGAATCACAAAAGATCCCAAATAGCTAAATCAATGTTGAGGAAAATGAACAAAGCTGGAGGTGTCACACTTTCTGATTTCAAATTATATTGCAAAGCTATGGTAATCAAGACAGTATGGTTAGTACCACACAGACCAGTGGAAACAGATGCATGGACCAATGGAACATAACAAAAGTCCAGAAATAAATCCATGCATTTATAGTCAACTAATCATTAGCAAAGAGACCAAGAATACACAATGGGCAAAGGAGAGTCTCTTCAATAGATGGTGTTGGGAAAACGTAACATCAACACTTAAAAAAAAATTAAGATTCTTAGCTTACACATACAAATCAGCTCAAAATAGATTAGAGATTTAAACATGAGAACTGAAACCACAAAACTCTTTAAAAAAATCACATGGGGAAAAGATCCATGACATTGGTCTTGGCAATGATTTTTGGATGTGACACTAGAAGCACAGGCAAGGAAAGCAAAAATAGAGAAATGGGATTGCATCAAACTAAAAAAGCTTCTGTGTAGGAAACAATTGACAGAGTGGAAACAACCTGAGACAAAATGAGGGGAAACATTTGCAAATCCTATATCACATAAGGGGCTAATGTCCAAAATACATAGGGAACTCATACAAGTCAAGAGCCAAAAAAAAAAAAAAAAAGCAAATAACCCAATTTAAAAATGCAAAGGATCTGAATAGACATTTTTCCAAAGAGGACATACAAATGACCTAGAGGTCTATGAGGAGGTGCTCAGCATCACTAATTGTGAGAGAGATGAGACTCAAAACCACATGAGATAATATCCCACCTGTTAAGATGGCTAATACCCAAAAGTCAGAAGATGTTGGTGAGGATTTGGCAAAAATTGAATCCTTGTATACTGGTGGTGAAAGTGTAAACTGGTACAGCAATGATAGAAAACAGTATGAAACCATTTTTTAAAAATTGAAAATAAACTGTCATCATAACCACCAATAGTCCATTCATGTATTATCCAAAGAAAATAAAAGCACTATCTGGAGGACATGTCTGCACTCCCACACTCACTGCAGGACCATTCACAATATCCAAGGTATCAAAATGACCTAAGTGTCCATTGATGGATGAATGGGTAAAGGGATGTCATATGATGGAATATTATTCAGCCTTAAAGAAGAAGGAATTTTGTCATTTGCAACAACATGAAAAAACCTGGGTATATTATGCTAAGTGAAACAAGCCAGACACAGAAAGACACATACTGTATGATTTCATTTGTCTGAGGAATCTAAAAACAGTCAAACTCATAGAAGCAGAGTAGAAGAGTGGTTATCAGGAACTGGGGCAGGGAGTGGAAAAATGATGAGATGTTGGTCAAAGGGTACGAAGTTCATTTATCAGATGAGTAAGTTCTGAAGACCTAATGTTTATCATGGTCACCATAGTTAATAATAATGTATTATTTGTATGTACATATATTTGTACAATGTATACTTGGAATTTACTAAGATGGTAGATCATAAATATTCTCATTCTCTACACACCCAAAAAGGTAACTATATGATGAGATGTCATGGATGTGTTAACTAATTTGATTATAGTAATCATCTCACAAAATTTACTTATTTCAAAACACCACATTGTGTATATACAAATATATAGAGTTTTGTCAATTACACCTCAATAAATCTGGAAAAAGGTATTGGTAATAAATGTGAAACCCATATTACATAATGGGGATTGTGTCAGTTGACTGTGTGGTTTCAAAGATGAGAATCTATAAATCATGTGCGGTAGGTTCCAATATCAGCCTCTATCTGCTCTTCACTAAGAAACTGATGAAAAATTTCCAGATTAGTTATGGGATTTTATAGAAATATTTTGGATGGGAGAGATAAATCTATACAGATCACCATCTCAAGTGAAACATAAAAATAATATCCAAATTATTAAAAAGCCAAGATAAAAAGGAATGAACACAGTGGTAAAGCACAGTGCAGGACAGTGGTGTGGACAGTGAGGATGTTGGTGTGGACAGTGGAGGATGGTGTGGACTGTGAGGATGGTGGTGTGGACAATGAGGATGGTGGTGTGGACAGTGAAGATGGTGGTGTGGACAGTGAAGATGGTGGTGCAGACAGTGGAGGATGGTGTGGACTGTGAGGATGGTGGTGTGGACAGTGAGAATGGTGGTGTGGCAGTGAGGATGATGGTGTGGACAGTGAGGATGGTGGTGTGGACAGTGAGGATGGTGGTGTAGACAGTGAGAATGGTGGTGTGGCAGTGAGGATGATGGTGTGGATGGTGAGGATGGTGGTGTGGACAGTGAGGATAGTGATGTGGACGGTCGGTGGGGATACTGGTGGGGACAGTGAGAATGGTGGAGTGGAGGGTGAGGATGATGATGTAAATGGTGAGGATGGGGGTGTGGATGGTGGAGGATGGTAGCATAGACAGTAGAGGATGGTGGTGTAGACACTGGTGGATGGTGGTGTGGACAGTGAGGATGGTGGTGTGGATGGTGAGAATGTAGAGGTGAACAGTGAGAATTATGGTGTAGACACTGGTGGATGGTGGTGTGGATGACGAGGATGGTGGTGTGGATGGTGAGGGTGGTGGTTTGGATGGTGGAAGATGGTTGTGTGGATGGCAAAGATGGTGGCAGGGATGGTAAGGATGATAGTGTGGACAGTGTGGATGGGGGAGGATGGTGGAGCAGACGGTGAGGATGGTTGTGTTTGTGGTGATGGTGGTGTGGACAGTGTGAATGATGATGTAGACACTAGTGGATTATGTTATGGATGGTAAGAGTTGTGGTGCGGATTGTTGGATGGTGGTTTAGACAGTGGAGGTTGGTGGTGTGGACACTGGAGGATGGTGGTGTGGATGAGGATGGTGGTGTAGACAGTGGAGGATGGTGGTCAGGATGGTGAGAATGCTGTAGAGTCTGTAGATATGTTGGAGACAGAATTTCGAGGCATTGCTGGTGGTGTTTGTGTGAGGAAAGAGAACACAATAGGAAGGACATTAAGATTCTGCTTGGAGTAATGGATTCGTGTGGGTGACTCACCTTTTCTTCAAAAGAGCAGTGCTTCTGAGCCTCTGCACACTGACACAGGGCATCCTTGCGTTGAAAGTCCTCTGCTCTGTAAACCCCAAGTCTTCTTTCTTCAGGGCTGGTTTTTTTTGTTGTTGTTTGTTTGTTTGTTTGAGACAGAGTCTCACTCTGTCCCCCAGGCTGGAGTGCAGTGGCGTGATCTTGGCTCACTGCAACCTCTGCCTCCCAGGTTCAAGTGATTCTCCTGCCTCAGCCTCCTGAGTAGCTGGAACTACAGGTGTCTGCCACCACGCCCAGCTAATTTTTGTATTTTTAGTAGGGATGGGGTTTCACCATGTTGGCCAGGCTTGTCTCGAACTCCTCACCTCAGATGATCTGCCCACCTCGGCCTCCCAAAGTGCTGGGATTACAGGCCCGAGCCAGCATGCCTGGCCTCTTCAGGGCTGTTATAAAAGAGGCCACATAGGCGGCTGCTGTGACCTCTGCTTATGCAGAATAAACGCACTGTTCCTCTGAGCTCCTCCGTCTCTGCGTGCACAGTAGCAGTCCATGTCGCACATCTAACTCGTGTCAACTGATTTTTCCACAGCCTGTTAGACAAAGGATTTTTTAAAGAAGAGAGTATGTCCTTTTTTCTCTGTACCCAAATATCTCCATTTCCTGTAAAAAATGCCATGCACTGGTGAATGGGGAACGGACACACGTGTATGTATTTCCCACGGCATCATAAGCTGACATGCCCAGGTGTTGTTGGATGAACCGTTCCTTATATTTGGGCACAGAGCCTACACGAGAACTTTCAGATAATATTTCCTTTTGGCCTTACTGCTGTGCCTAGATTAGCTGCGATTCTTCAAAGACATTTGTTTATTTAATCATCATTGACCTTACTCTTCAGCATCTTTTTGGTTGTTTAGTTTGAAAAGTCATGTCGGCTTTGTTACACATCAGTCCCCTCTCACCTGGACCATAACTCTTTCACACAATTGAGTCATCCAATAACATGCCTCCTCCTACATCCCACATTTAAAACTTGAGGGATTTAAAAAGAAAGTTTTTTTTTAAGTCAGAGGAGGGAAATAAAACAAGATTCCATAAACTCAGCAAGAACTCTATTTAAAAAAACTTCTCATTTACAAAACTTTGAAAAGATTGAATATCCAGTATCATCAAAAGATGGCTTCAATAATTAGAAAACTATTTGCTTTGGAAGTGTTGAGTTCAACACATAATGTAATTTCTGTCCACTGCATGAATGACAATATTGGCAGCAACACATTTTACGATGCAGCTGCATTTCGTCCAAAGCTTTATGATTGTAAAAGCACGGCAAAACATGGCACTTCATAGGCTAGTGTTTTGGGATATTTTTGCAAAATCTGCATTTAAGATTTTAAAAGCTTAACTTTTGCCCAGCAAATTCATAACTCATATGCATATTACTTTTTCGCCTCAGCCACACAGTCCTACACTACGGCTGGAGCTGAGTGTGTATGGAAGACACAGCCACACTTCCACACTCCACACCTGCATGCTTCCTGCCACTGAGGAACCTATGAAACGTGCCGTGAGGGATGAAGTCCTGTCCAAAGACATGCTTTGGAGGACGTGGCCGAATGCAAATAAGTCTTTCTGAGTGAGGACCCATCAGACACATGGTCATCTCACAGCAGGGCTAGTGCAGGTGAGGGGTTGAGCTGCAGGGAGAGTAGACGTGGGCTTGGAGGGTTTTGGGGGGGGTTCTGAGGAGGACCTGGCATCCGGAGCCACTGGGACAGGGACTGAGCACCAGCCGGGGTAGCTGAGAGGGTCACCAGCCCTTCCTTGCTGCTCACAGGCTGAAGTGGAGTTGCGCTTCTGCTTCTTGCCCATAATACAGCCACGGTCAATTAAACTAACACCCTGAAACCAGACGCAGCCAATCCAGAGTGAGCCTCAGTCGTGTTAGCCTTTATAGTAAGGGTGACACTCTCTGGCATGCATTCTGCTGGGACCCGGAGGCACAGGGACAGACATGTATGTGAGGTCCACACAAGGAAAAAGGTCCACTGGTTTGGGTCAGTTAAGGTTTCCACAGCATGATTATTGGCCAGGTCAACTCCAGAAAGTGCGTTGTCAGTATTTCTCAAAAGCACTAACATTTAATTTTATTGCTCTTCCTGTTTTGCAAAGTGGCGTCATCACTATTACATCAAACACGACTACTCAAGCAGTGGCTGAAGATTTAAAGGAGCTTCACCACCTGTGCCCAGCAGCAAAATAAGATTTGATCTTTTATAGCATCTTGCTTGATAAATAACTAACAAGCTTCCCCTGAACCGTGGACCACATTCCTTTAATTCAAGTTTTAGAAATGAATGACTGTGTTAATTCCACACATGTCCCCTAGCATATTATGTCTAACTCACAGAATCAAGGGTAATTTCGGTTGTATAAATGCCGTTAATGCCTTCCAGCCACACCCCAGGAGCACACCTGCAGTTGGACAGCTGGGCTCATGAATGGTTGCAGCAGGGAGGACTCACCCTGGGGAGCCGCAGGTTGTCAGGAAGGGGGTGTCAGGAAGGACTTATCATAGGGTTTGGCTTGTGCTTGGTAATTTGGGGGTGGGGTTAAGGAAGCAGGATTTTCTGTGGATTGGATCTCCTCAGGAAGCAGGAGTAATTTTACAATTTGGTCTCAAATATATCCCCTTTAGGAAGAGGGAAGACGAGACTGGGCAGAACTGGTAAAGATGTAGCCACCCCTCACATTAGCTAGAAGAGGGGATTGGGGATTCTGTGGCTTGAACAATGTTCCCGTTTTGTCTGTACTCTGGATGATTACTGGGGGGTCGTTTTTGTCTTAAATCATGATTGGCATTGTCTGATGTTTATGTTCTCCGAGTTGTCCAACAGGAGAGTACAAAGCATGTCCCCAAGGCACAAGGCCACTCCTGGCTGTCAGGGGCTGCTTTTTCATTCTTAAATTTCACAACTGTGAACTTACAACCCTACAGTCAGATGGCCAGGAGAGGTCAGGTGCTATGTGGAAGGTTGGATCGCCACCATCTGCACAGAGACCAAGCATGGTCTGTTCTTCCTGCTGACTGTCTGTGGCACTGTCTCCACCCAGCACATCACACAGGCTGTGAGCTCCATGTGTCCTGAGGCCTGAAGGATGACTTCTAACTGGGGCTCCCTGGGCCTCATCGCATTTCCTTTGGAAGTGTTTAGTTCAACACATAATGTAATTGCTGTCCACTGCATGAATGACAATATTGGCAGCAACACATTTTACGATGCAGCTGCATTTCGTCCAAAGCTTTATGATTGTAAAAGCACGGCAAAACGTGGCACTTCATAAGCTAATGTTTTGGGATATTTTTGCAAAATCTGCATTTAAGATTTTGAAAGCTTAACTTTTGCCCAGCAAATTTATAACTCATACACATATTACTTTTTCTCCTCAGCCACACAGTCCTACACTATGGCTGGAGCTGAGCATGGATGGAAGAGATGGCCACACATCCACACTCCACACCTGCATGCTTCCTGCCACTGTGGAACCACTGAAATGCCAAGGTCTCTTTTGAAATTACCACTGGAGTCCCAGACTTCAG
The DNA here is from genome assembly GCF_000001405.40 of Homo sapiens. Classification (NCBI taxonomy): domain Eukaryota; kingdom Metazoa; phylum Chordata; class Mammalia; order Primates; family Hominidae; genus Homo; species Homo sapiens. The sequence goes on along the minus strand of NC_000002.12, from coordinate 405,940 downwards.
GCCCTGCAGGCATTTGAGTTTTCTCTGTCTTCATTCCCTTGATAACCAACCCAGGGACGATTCTAAGTCAGGTGCTCTGGGGCCAGACCAATCACTGGTGTGTTTTCAAAGATTCTCAGCTAATTCCAATGTGTAGTCAAGATCGAGGGCCGCTGCTTTAGGATATGACATCAGAAGACATCAGATTGAGGACCAGTTCTGCTAAACTACTAATAAACCATTTTTCCTGGTTATCATTGTAAGACTCAAATTAACCATGAATGTACAATCACTTTCTGTCCTGCACGGCCTCCAGGAGCCTGACTTATGGATTCCTTCAATAATGTTGGAATGCTGCGCCTGAGGAAAGTGAGGGGCTGGCAGATCCACTCAGCTACTATTCTGTCATGACTTTCAGTTCAGCCTCAGCTTCCAAGTTTGCTTGTCTCACCAAGGGTCTGTGAAAAACTAGCCTCCAAAAATTAGCCAGAAAAGCTGGAGAAGATCCTGTATTTGAAAGCGTCATGATATGGTTTGGCTTTGTCCTCACCCAATTCTCATCTTGAACTGTAATCCCCATAATACCCATGTGTCTAGGGAAACACCTGGTCAGAGGTGGTTGGCTTATGGGGAATATTTCCCCCATGCTGTTCTCATGCTAGTGAGTTCTCAGGAGACCTGATGGTTTTATAAGGAGTTCTTCCCCCTTCACTCCTCACTCCTCTCTCCTGCTGCCATCTGAGAAGGTCCAAGCTTATCTTTCACCTTCCCCCATGATTGTAAGTTTCCTGAGGCCTCCCCAGCCAGGTGGAACTGTGAGTCAATTAAACCTCTTTCCTTTATAAATTACCCAGTCTCAGGTATTTCTTTACAGCAGTGTGAAAATGGACTAATAAGGTAAATTGGTACCAAGATTGGAGTGCTACTATAAATATACTTGAAAATGTGGAAGTGACTTTGGAACTCGTTAATGGACAGAGGCTGTAACAGTCAGAGGGCTCAGAAGAAGACAAGAAGATGTGGGAAAGTTTGGAGTTTCCTAGAGACTACGAAAATGCTGGTAGTGATGTGAACAATGAAGTCCAGGCTGAGGTGCTCTCAGATGGAGATGAGGAACTTATTGGGAACTGGAGCAAAGGTGACGATGGAGATGAGGAACCTGTTGGGAACTGGAGCAAAAGTGACTCTTGCTCTGCTTCAGCAAAGAGACTGCTGGCATTTTGCCCCTGCCCTGGGATCTGTGGAACTTACAACTTGATGGAGATGCTTTAGGGTATCTGGTGGAAGAAATTTCTAAGCAGCAGAGCACTCAAAATGTGACCTAGGTGCTCTTAAAAGCATGCAGTTATATTCATTCACAAAGAGATGGTTTGGAATTGGAATGTATGCTTAAAAGGGAAGCAGAGCATAAAAGTCTGGAAAATTTGCAGCCTAAAGATGTGATAGAAGAGAAAAACCCAATTTCTGGGGAGAAACTCAGGCTGGCTGCAGAGATTTGCATAAGTAACAAGGAGCTAAATGTTAATTGTCAAGAAAATGGGCAAAATGTCTCCAAGGCATGACAGAGACCTTCACAGCAGCACCCCATCCATTGCAGGCTCAGAGGCTTAGAAAGAAAAAATGGGTCTTGCTGCTTCATGCATTCTTGGGACTTGGTGGCCTGCATCCCAGCCATGGTTAAAAGGGGCCAGTTTATAGCTCAGGCCATTGCTTCAGAAGGGTGTAAGCCCCAAGCCTTGGCAGCTTCCACGCGGTGTTGGTCCTGTGGGTGCACAGAAGTCAAGAATTAAGATTTGGAAACCTCCACCTAGATTTCAGAGGATGTATAGAAATGCCTGGGTGTCCAGGCAAGAGTTTGCTGCAGGGATGGAGCCCTCATGGAGAACCTCTGCTAGGGCAGTGCAGAGGGAAATGGAGTTGGAGGAAAAGGGGTTGGAGTCCCCACACAGAGTCTCTACTGGGGCACTGCCTAGTGGAGCTGTGAGAAGAGGGCCACCATCCTCCAAACCCCAGATTGGTAGATCTACCAACAACTTGTACCATGCACCTGGAAAAGCCACAGACACTCAACACAAGCCAATGAAAGCAGCCAGGAAGTGGGCTGTACCCTCCAAAGCCACAGGGCAGAGCTGCCCAAGACCAGGGAGCCCACCTCTTGCATCAGTGTGACCTGCAAGTGAGACCTGGAGTCAAAGAACACTATTTAGGAGCTTTAAGATTCAATGACTGCCCTGTTGGATTTTGGACTTGCATGGGGCCTGTAGCCTCTTTGTTTTGGCCAATTTCTCCCATTTGGAATGGGAGCATTTATCCAATGCCTGTACCCCCATTGTATCTTGAAAGTAACAAACTTGCTTTTGGTTTTACAGGCTCATAGGCGGAAGGGACTTGCCTTGTCTCAAATGAGACTCTAGACTTATACTTTTGGGTTAATGCTGGAATGAGTTAAGGATTTGGAGGACTGTGTTTCAAAATGTGAGGACATGAGATTTGGGAGAGGCCAGGGGCAGAATTATATGATTTGCCTTTGTTCCCACCCAATTCTCATCTTGAATTGTAATCTTTATAATCCCCATGTGCCCAGGGAGAGACCTGGTGGGAGGTGATTGGATCATGGGGTCGGTTCCCCCCATGCCATTCTCGTGATAGTGAGTGAGTTCTCCCGAGATCTGATGGTTTTATAAGGGGCTCCGCCCCATTCCCTCTTCACTCTCTCCTGCTGGCACGTGAAGAAGGCCCAAGCTTGCTTCCCTCTGCCTTCTGCCATGATTGTTAAGTTTCCTGAGGCCTCCCCAGCATGTAGAACTGGGAGTCAATTAAATCTCTTTGCTTTAGAAATTACCCATTTCCAGGTACTTCTTCATAGCAGTGTGAAAACAGACTAATACACTCACCAAACTACTTGAAGAGAATTCCAAATGCAAAAATCTTCCCAAGCTTTTGAACAGCTCCTGCAGACAGAGAGAGCTAGGAAAGGCTGGTCCCTCAGGCCCATCACTGCTGAGGTGTGTGAGGGGCCACTCAGCATCTCCCATGCCCGTGCCAACCTGGACCCTGACAGACAGGCTGTGAAGATGGAGCTCGCTCACCTCTGGCCAGGTCAGTCAGCGGTTGAAGGCAGCCCTCCAGACAGCAGCATTCACTCAAGGACAGATGTGGGCAGTGCCCCAGAACTTACCATGTGCCCCCTCAATATTTAAAACTGATCCAGTGATACACACATTTTTTCCTGATCTTGAATTTTACCACAAACTGGAAAATAACTGGAAAGTTGTATTTTTGTTCAGAGGTTCTCTCTCTCTTTCAGGGCTGTCAGGGTGATTTCTTTACCACTATTCCCAGACTATAAGGCTGTTTTGATATGTAAATGCACTTTGTCATTATTTTAGATAGTATCAGGGTTCACTCAGCCAACACTGATGAAGGCACCAAGAGTTAAGTCCCTGCAGTTCCTGGTGCCGTGCTGAGGGGAGGATGATGCTGCTGGAGCTGACCCTGCAAGGTGCTCTTGGATCTAGAAAGGAGAAGCCTCTCTCCTGGCCTCAGGCCCAGTTGGTGGCTCTCAAATCTAGAAAAGAGGGGCCTCTCTCCCAGCCACAGGGCCAGCTGGTGCCACATCCCTCAAATCTAGAAGAAGAGGCCTCTCTCCTGGCCTCAGGCCCACTCAGTGGCGCTCAGATCTAGAAGGGAGAGGCCTGTCTCCCGGCCACAGGGCCAGCCAGTGCCCTATGTTTTGGAAAACTGGATGCTGGGGTCCTGCTTTCATTTCTCCAATCATGTCAGTCCCAAACATCCAAATCATTTTTGGCCTTCAACCACCAAGGTGAAACTCTAGCTCATATTCCTGTATTTGAATACCCATTGTGGTATTTATGAGATTATTCCTACAAGTGTAGGAAGAGAGGGAACGTCCTAGCATGTATGGAATTTCTACCAGGTGCCTGGATCAGTATAATAATTTTACTTGGTCCAAAGTAAATCCCTTCAGGTAAGTATTAATCTCCCCATTTCACTGATGTGAGTACTGATGCTAAGAGAAGTTGAAGTGTCCAAAGTCACACGGTCAGTCCATGGTGGGGCGTAGGACCACAGACCATTTTGATTCCAAAGCCTGTGTTCTTTTAGGATACACTTTTGTCACCTCAGGTGGAGAAACAAGAAGAGAGATGAAGGGCTGGCCCTGTCAGTGACAAGGAAGGAGTGTGTCTGTGACATCGTTACTACTAATACAAATATTAGTATTATTATTATTTAGCCACTACATTGGACCAGACATCACACAGAGTGACTTTCAAACATAGACATTTAAAATTTTCACAACCACCCTGCAGAGCGGGTGTTAGTATTTCCATTTTTATTTAAAGAAAAACTGAAACCCAAAGTGCTTTGTTTTCCTGGCCCAGGTTTCACAGCTGGGAGGCAGCACAGCGGGAGCCCATCCTTCTTGGCCCGGCTCCAGCCTCCACCGCCTTCCACACAGGCCCTGAGTTTGGGGGCAGAATTGCAGAGTGCCATTTCTACAAATCCATTGTGTGTATTTTATGGATTTTTCTAATCACCAGTTAATTCAAAATCCATCAGTGACATGCCATGGCCCCAGCCATGAGGAGCGCACAGTCTGAGACTCACATTCCTCACGCAGCTCTGGGGCTATGAACCCAGGGCCTGTCCCATCCTCCACAGCCTGGAGGCAGGGATGAGAGACATCAGTGATGGATTATGTCATTAGAAAGATAAGGAAAACTTCAGCGAGATGGCAGAGAAGCGCGAAGTGGGTGAAAGGTCCCCCCTACCTCCGACGTGGCCTGGAGACCTGTGCAAACCAGTTCTCTCAACGTGCCGCATGTTCCTTCTCACTTCCGGATCCTCTTGCCTGTGCCATGGTGTCTGTGGGATGGTCTGTGCCTTCTGCCTGGCTGACTCCCCACAGGGACCCCTTGTTACCCCCTGAGGCTGGCTGGGGTGCCTGTGTTGAGCTTCACTGTTGCAGCACCTGTTCCGTAGCCCTGTAATACTGACCTGTTCCATACCCTGTGGCCCTGGCCTGTTCTGTAGCCATGTAACCCCAGCCTGTTCCATAGCCCTGTGGCCCTGGCCTGTTCTATAGCCATGTAACCCCAGCCTGTTCCATAGCCGTGTGGCCCTGGCCTGTTCTGTAGCCAAGTAACCCCAGCCTGTTCCATACCCTGTGGCCCTGGCCTGTTCTGTAGCCATGTAACCCCAGCCTGTTCCATAGCCGTGTGGCCCTGGCCTGTTCTGTAGCCAAGTAACCCCAGCCTGTTCCATACCCTGTGGCCCTGGCCTGTTCTGTAGCCATGTAACCCCAGCCTGTTCCATAGCCGTGCGGCCCCGGCCTGTTCTATAGCCATGTAACCCCAGCCTGTTCCATAGCCCTGTGGCCCTGGCCTGTTCTGTAGCCATGTAACCCCAGCCTGTTCCATAGCCCTGTGGCCCTGGCCTGTTCTATAGCCATGTAACCCCAGCCTGTTCCATAGCCGTGTGGCCCTGGCCTGTTCTGTAGCCAAGTAACCCCAGCCTGTTCCATAGCCCTGTGGCCCTGGCCTGTTCTGTAGCCAAGTAACCCCAGCCTGTTCCATAGCCCTGTGGCCCTGGCCTGTTCTGTAGCCATGTAACCCCAGCCTGTTCCATAGCCGTGTGGCCCTGGCCTGTTCTGTAGCCAAGTAACCCCAGCCTGTTCCATACCCTGGGGCCCTGGCCTGTTCTGTAGCCATGTAACCCCAGCCTGGTCCATAACCCTGCGGCCCCGGCCTGTTCTATAGCCACGTAACCCCAACCTGTTCCATAGCCATGTGGCCCCGGCCTGTTCTATAGCCATGTAACCCCAGCCTGTTCCATAGCCGTGTGGCCCCGGCCTGTTCTATAGCCAAGTAACCCCAGCCTGTTCCATAGCCGTGCGGCCCCGGCCTGTTCTATAGCCAAGTAACCCCAGCCTGTTCCATAGCCGTGCGGCCCCGGCCTGTTCTATAGCCAAGTAACCCCAGCCTGTTCCATAGCCCTGTGGCCCTGGCCTGTTCTGTAGCCAAGTAACCCCAGCCTGTTCCATAGCCCTGTGGCCCTGGCCTGTTCTATAGCCATGTAACCCCAGCCTGTTCCATAGCCGTGCGGCCCCGGCCTGTTCTATAGCCATGTAACCCCAACCTGTTCCATAGCCGTGTGGCCCTGGCCTGTTCTATAGCCACGTAACCCCAACCTGTTCCATAGCCATGTGGCCCTGGCCTGTTCTATAGCCATGTAACCCCAGCCTGTTCCATAGCCGTGTGGCCCCGGCCTGTTCTATAGCCATGTAACCCCAGCCTGTTCCATAGCCCTGTGGCCCTGGCCTGTTCTGTAGCCAAGTAACCCCAGCCTGTTCCATAGCCCTGTGGCCCTGGCCTGTTCTATAGCCAAGTAACCCCAGCCTGTTCCATAGCCGTGTGGCCCTGGCCTGTTCTATAGCCACGTAACCCCAACCTGTTCCATAGCCGTGTGGCCCTGGCCTGTTCTATAGCCATGTAACCCCAGCCTGTTCCATAGCCGTGCGGCCCCGGCCTGTTCTATAGCCATGTAACCCCAACCTGTTCCATAGCCGTGTGGCCCTGGCCTGTTCTATAGCCACGTAACCCCAACCTGTTCCATAGCCATGTGGCCCTGGCCTGTTCTATAGCCATGTAACCCCAGCCTGTTCCATAGCCGTGTGGCCCCGGCCTGTTCTATAGCCATGTAACCCCAGCCTGTTCCATAGCCCTGTGGCCCTGGCCTGTTCTGTAGCCAAGTAACCCCAGCCTGTTCCATAGCCCTGTGGCCCTGGCCTGTTCTATAGCCATGTAACCCCAACCTGTTCCATAGCCGTGCGGCCCCGGCCTGTTCTATAGCCAAGTAACCCCAGCCTGTTCCATAGCCCTGTGGCCCTGGCCTGTTCTATAGCCATGTAACCCCAGCCTGTTCCATAGCCGTGTGGCCCCGGCCTGTTCTATAGCCAAGTAACCCCAACCTGTTCCATAGCCATGTGGCCCCGGCCTGTTCTATAGCCATGTAACCCCAGCCTGTTCCATAGCCCTGTGGCCCCGGCCTGTTCTATAGCCATGTAACCCCAGCCTGTTCCGTAGCCACGTAACCCCAACCTGTTCCATAGCCGTGTGGCCCCGGCCTGTTCTATAGCCATGTAACCCCAGCCTGTTCCATAGCCCTGTGGCCCCGGCCTGTTCTATAGCCATGTAACCCCAGCCTGTTCCGTAGCCACGTAACCCCGGCCTGTTCCATAGCCGTGTGGCCCCGGCCTGTTCTATAGCCATGTAACCCCAGCCTGTTCCGTAGAGCCACGTAACCCCAACCTGTTCCATAGCCGTGTGGCCCCGGCCTGTTCTATAGCCAAGTAACCCCAACCTGTTCCATAGCCATGTGGCCCCGGCCTGTTCTATAGCCATGTAACCCCAACCTGTTCCATAGCCGTGTGACCCCGGCCTGTTCTATAGCCGTGCAGCCCTGGCCTGTTCCATAGCCCTGTGACCCTGGCTGTCTGCACAGCCCACGGCTTTGGTCCTAGAAGGCCCCAACTGGGGCTTTTCACCTTTGTGTCTCCGACACGTCAGTGCCCAGCAAATAATGAGCACTTAATTCATATTTGTTGAATGAATGAATAATAAAAAGAGCAATTATTTTCATTGAGCCTTCGATTAATTGAATTTAAGATATTATAGTTTGAGTTTGGACTGAATGTTGCCTTCGTCATGTTGCAAACACCTGGAATCTCGGGAACTTAAGTCTAGTGAACCAGTTATGTATGACACAAGTCACCTGTTTCTCAAGAGAAATGCTCAAAGGCATTCAGGAGATTCAGGAAATTCACTGACGCCCAAGGGCTGGGTAGCGTTTGATTCACAAACGGAAAAATGATCGAACGATGCCTCATGTCCTCGTGAAGCACATGTTAATTTCTGAGCATAGGAATAGTTGAGGATGGCTACTGCATTCTGCATTTTTTAAACACTTGGCAAAGTGGTTTCTTTAATTGTACTATTTTCTCCAGAATCAAAATAAAAGAATGCATAGCAAGAGCCTAAACTTACAGAAACGAATAAAAGATCTCTGTCCTTTGGCTTTCTTTTGTGCCCTGAACGAATCCCGAATTGCTGTGATGATTTGATTTACCTGCCCAGATCCTTCGCTGTGCATGGAAACACGATCCTCCCTGAGGTGGCCTCCTGGAAGCCGCACGTGATGCCTCCCATTCCGGGGGAACCAAGAAGCAGCGCTCGCAACAGCTGTCCTCAGTCACCTGCACCGTAACTTTGAAGAAAAAAGTGCCAAACTCTGATGGAATCCATTGCACAACGCTGCAGCTTTGGCTTTTCAATATGCACCGGGAGTATAAAAGCATTCGCAGAGAAAAGAAAGAAAATCAACCTAAGCCACAAATGACAGACTATGCATGTTAAAAGTCCAAAACAAATTAAGATAAACTGTTAGAATTTAGTAAGGTTTCTGGATAAAAGGTCAAATTTTTAAATGTAATTATATTTCTATAATCCAGAAACAAACAAAAAATAAAACAGCACTACAAAATATTTAATACCTGGAACAAATTTACAAACTATGTACAGGGCCCACTGACTCAATGTTGTGAAGGTATCTTTTACTGCCAAATAAATCTGTAGATTCAATGAATTATCATTAATTGCCCAGAATTTGTGCTTGTAAAGTTTTTCAAATTCTGAAATTTATATGGAATTGCAGAAGCCGAGGACAGGTGAAGGGGCTGGGAAAGGGGCCCAGGGCACTGGCTGTGCCCTGAAGGTCCTGACCCCAAGACCAGCAAAGCGGGTGCGTGGAGAAGCCTCGCAGCCAGGCAGGCAGGGACACCCACCTGTGACGGATGTCTCTGAAAGCCTCCACCCCACGGCGCTGGATCATCAAACGCGCGTAGAGAAAAGAAGGAAACTCAACCCACCTCAGGCTCACACGAAACAAACCCCAGGTGGATTGTGGAAATGAACAGGGAGGGTGAAAAAACAAAGATCCTACAAGATAACCTTGGAAAATGCCTTTATACTGGGAAAGAAAAAAATTTTCCTGGCAAAACACAAACGTTGTGACCATAAAGGAAAAGATTTATAGCCAAACTATATTAAATAGTAACATAAATAATATAAATATAAATGCAAGTGCAAATGTGCATGTATTTACACACATATACACACACACCAGGTGCAGGTTAAAATTCTCAAAAGGAAAGATGCAGGATGTAAAATATTTCACAGGCGTCCGCACACCTCCGTACTAAAATGATTTGAAAGCATCACAGTGAATCCCTGCACAGCGTTCTGGTATCTCCCTGTGCCATCCTTCATCTAACCTGCCCCTTCCTTAGCTTCCGCAGGTAGAGGGGTCCCAGGCCGTGGCAATGGCTCCCATGCCCGTTGGCGGGGTGGGGAGGTCACTGGGTGGGAAGACGAGGGCTCCACCTGCTTCTGGGTTCCAGGAGGGCACAGGCCATGTGCAATGCACATCTCAGGTTCTCTGTCTATAAAACAGGAACAAATCCTATCTGCCCTATTTCTGCCCAATATTTACGGAAGAATCAAGATAATAGCATTGCAATACTCTATAAACGCTATGTTAAATTGAATGAGGAACAAGCATGTCACTTCGTACAGATCATTTTAATTTTGGTTGTCACTCTTGCCATTCAAAATTTCAGCAGCAAACTTTCCCAGGCCTGTGTCCTAGTCAGCCCAGGATACTGTAACAAAATACCATGCACTGGGCAGCTTGAACAGCAGACATTCGCTTCCCACAGGTCTGGAGGCTGAGGTCCAAGACCAAGGCACTGACAGGGCTGGTTTCGCCTGAGGCACCTTCTCTGGGGGCCACGGCCACCGTCCTGACTGCACCCACAGGGCTCGGCTTCTCTGTGTGGGCCCAGGAAGAGAGGGAGCCTGTGGGATCTGGTGCCTCTTCTCACAAGGACACTCGCCCCAGCACGAGGCCCCACCCTCACGACCTCATCAAACCCTAATCTCCTCCGCTGAGGGTGAGGCTGCAACCTACGAATTTCAGAGCGACACACACATTCCGTCCATAACACACTTGTCCGTTTAAGGGCATATTTTCCTTCTAGTTCTTCACTAGAAATAGAAAACATAAAAAAAAAAAAAACTGGTAAGAGGATAAAAATCTCGGTCATCCCAGTTGGCCCAAGATTTTCAAAAGAACAATCCTAACTCTGAGAAAATGCTCAGGTTTTGTTTTCCTTCATTCTGTACTTATGGTTCCACACTTAGGCAGACTCGGCTTAAACCCATGTGGCTCTGTGGGGTACCTGCCCCCAGTCCAATCAGTGTGTGGCCCTGGGACAGCCACAGGGTGAACAGCCACACTTTCCAAATGCCGTTTGCTGTCACTCCACAAAGAAGCCACCTGCAGTGCAATTCCACTGACAGATCCATGACAAGACCAGAATAACACATCATTAATGACTTAAGCCAAAGGAAAAGGTATCAATAAAGCAGATATTTTATAAAAAGACAATAATTAACCAAACACCCACGTGCTGGCAGACACTGTTATTTCACAGCAGATTCAATGTGGTGGCAACACAGCTGATTTGGGAGTGAAATAATTGATGCTTTAGGCATACGTGGTGCTGAAAACAGGATTTTCTTCCATTTGAGAGTGGAGCTGCACTGCTGACTAAAAACATCCATTTCTATAATCAGCAACCTGAAGGCTTTCTTAACACAGAAGGGCCAGAGAATATTCCGTCTCCACGGTCGCCCCCGCCTGAGCATCTGCGTTGAGGCTTCCTGTGTTCAGTTGTTGGACATCACTCAGCTGAAGCAGCTGAGAAATCAGCTCCATTACTGCACCCACAGCTTCGCAACTGGACATTTAAAATGAAGCAACATAGGCCGGGTGCGGTGGCTCACACTTGTAATCCCAGCACTTTGGGAGGCCGAGGCAGGTGGATCACTTGAGGCCAGAAGTTCGAGGCCACACTGGCCAACATGGTGAAACCCCGTCTCTACTAAAAATACAAAAATTAGCCGGGTTTGGTGGCACATGCCTGTAGTCCCAGCTACTCGGGAGGCTGAAGCAGGAGAATCTCTTGAACCTGGGAAGCAGAGGCTGCAGTGAGCCGAGATCGCCACTGCACTCCAGCTTGGGCCACAAAGCCCAGGCTGTCTCCAAAATGAAATAAAAGAAAAAAGTAAAATGCTGCCATAGAGATTAATTAAATCTAGGCTAATATCCTCCCAAGTAATAAACATAAAGTTACTTAAACAGCTGAGCCAGGCGCCCGCCAGTGTCGAGGGTGCTGTAGTGAGACAGGTGCACAGTGAGCATCCAGGAAATGTGGAGAGACCGCAAAACGAGGAGGCACAGAGGAGACGCGGGCCCCAGCGGGGGGAGTCAGTGACACGCCATGAAAACACACAACACGGACGTGGAAGGATAGAATATGCCAACACCGGGGAGGTGTCGACTGCGCTGTTAACTGAAGCGTACAACAGATAAAAGGAACTACAAAGCAACATTGTAAGTTCAAAAGGTGGCACAAGCCACTGAGAAAGGTTTCGAGTGTTAGGTTATATTCGCGGCAGATGTGGGGGTCTCTGGTGAGAGGAGGCCGTGGAGACCCTCAGAGCCTGACTTCACAGGACACGAGGCTCAGTGCAGGGGTCCACAGACCACAGTGAAGGCGAGAGCTGGGACTGCCAGCGAGTCCAGGAGCACAGTGGGTCTGGAGATGAGATGAGGCTGCAAATAAGGAAACTGACAAAGCCATCCAGGCTCCATGGCAACGGCACAGCTTCCGGAAACACGTTTCTTTCTGAATGAGAGGCTGCGGGAGGCAACAGGGAGGAAACCGGAGGTGGAGGCCGCCCCACGCGTCTGCCCAGCACCTCCTGGAGGGTGGATCTCCGAGCTGGGGGCCTCATCTGAAAGGGGCTGGAGTCTTTCACAGTTGGCATGGCAATGAAAAAAGGTATGAAAAGGCAGTTAACACATTTCAGGACAAGCAGATCAGAGCCAGCCCTGCAGGCATCTAGGCAGATGAGTAGGTACTTTTGGAATGTGGAGTTTGAGTGCAGGCTGCATGAGATCGCTTGGGAGCAGGCACCTTCAGCCTGCCGTGAAGTTTGACTGCCTAGTAAGCACATGCCTGCACCCTCAGCCTGTCGTGAAGTTTGAGTGTGTGGTAAGCTCGTGCCTGCACCCTCAGCCCGCCGTGAAGTTTGAGTGTGTGGTAAGCTCGTGCCTGCACCCTCAGCCCGCCGTGAAGTTTGAGTGCGTGGTAAGCACATGCCTGCACCCTCAGCCTGTCGTGAAGTTTGAGTGTGTGGTAAGCACATGCCTGCATCCTCAGCCCGCCCTGAAGTTTCAATGCGTGGTAAGCTCGTGCCTGCACCCTCAGCCCGCCGTGAAGTTTGAGTGCGTGGTAAGCACATGCCTGCACCCTCAGCCTGCCGTGAAGTTTGAGTGCCTGGTAAGCACATGCCTGCACCCTCAGCCTGCCGTGAAGTTTGAGTGCCTGGTAAGCACATGCCTGCATCCTCAGCCCGCCCTGAAGTTTCAATGCGTGGTAAGCACATGCCTGCACCCTCAGCCCACCATGAAGTTTGAATACCTGGTACGCACATGCCTGCACCCTCAGCCCCCCATGAAGTTTGAGTGTGCGGTAAGCACATGCCTGCACCCTCAGCCCACCATGAAGTTTGAATACCTGGTAAGCACGTGCCTGCACCCTCAGCCCACCGTGAAGTTTGAGTGTGTAGTAAGCACCTGCCTGCATCCTCAGCCAGTCGTGAAGTTTGAATGCCTGGTAAGCACGTGCCTGCATCCTCAGCCCGCCCTGAGGTTTGAGTGTGTGGTAAGCACCTGCCTGCACCCTCAGCCTGCCTGTGAGGTTTGAGTGTGTGGTAAGCACATGCCTGCATCCTCAGCCTGCCGTGAGGTTTGAGTGTGTGGTAAGCACATGCCTGCACCCTCACCCCGCCGTGAAGTTTGAGCACACGCTTACCACATGCCAGGTTCTATGTTAGGCTCCAGCTGCCCAAGAGTGAGCAGGGGGAAGCAGCCGCCCTCACGGGACCCAAAGTGTAGCATGAAGGTCAGTTGTGAGCTGGCGTGAATTCGGAAACCAGCTTCCGGAGCATTGAGCGAAGGTTCGCCTTGTGAGCAGCGCACGTCGTCTAGATGCTGCCCGTGGATCTGTGCATTGCGCCTGCGTGCGCCCTTTCCTCTTTGCAGTGACCTGCGTGCGCCCTTTCCTCTTTGCGGTGACCCCACCCGAGAGGCTTTCTCTTCTGTACATCCACGCTTCTCAAGCATGTACCAGTTTTTCCGGCACGTGGGAACTGCAAAGGCTCAAGTATCTTTGTTGGTTGGTTTCTTCAGAACTGAAAGCTGGACATGCTGGGGAGATTGTCTGACTCTTGCCAGTCCTGGTTCTAACTCGGGCTGTGTGGAGCTCCAGGCTCCTGGTTGGCTGTGGAGTCCAAGCCCAGGGCCTCCCACCTCCACCAGCCACAGCCCTGATGGACCCCTGTTCTGTGCTCCTCGTCCTCCCTGCTCTGGGAGGCAGGGACAGCGGAGCCACGCATGATGCCAAGAGCTTCCCTGCTGGCCTAGAGTCACAGACGCTTAGAGGTGGGACGGATAGGCCTCTCGCCTGCAGGTGGGAGACCGAGGTGGAGACAGGGCGAGCACTTGCTCGATTTCTTAACTGACTGATTCCCACCCCCCTTCGCTGTTTCTGGGGATGGTCACTGATGTTTCTTTTTTCACGGCCCATCAGCACAGTGAAGCTGAAATCCCATCCTCCCATCCGTAATCACAGCAGGAAAGGAACAAAAAAGGAATATCCTGGCATCCTGTGGCCTTTCAAAACTGGGTCTGGGTAAAATGGAAATAACTTTTTGATTTTATCTATACAATACCAGGACTTCCTGGGTGTGACAGAGAAGCGTTATGTCAATTATGTGAAAGAGAATTATCCAGGAAGATATCTAGGACTTCTATAGCAACAACTCAGGTTTCTACAGCTCCTGGGTGTCTCAAAATGCTCTCACCTGACTCATCTCCTACCACGCCCACTTTCCCACCCACCTCCCAGCTGTGTATCATCATCTCTAATTTAAAGAAAAAGTACCCCAAAGTGTGAGGGCCTTCCCTCTGCCGCACATCATCGAGAACACCAGGAACAAGCCCAGAATGTTAGACAGCATACAGCGCAGCTGGAACCATCTCTCCACCCACATCACCGAGAACCCAGGATGTTAGACGGCACACAGTGCAGCTGGAACCATCTCTCCACCCACATCACCGAGAACACCAGGAACAAGCCCAGAATGTTAGACGGCACACAGCGCAGCTGGAACCATCTCTCCACCCACATCACCGAGAACACCAGGAACAAGCCCAGAATGTTAGACGGCACACAGTGCAGCTGGAACCATCTCTCCACCCATATCACTGAGAACACCAGGAACAAGCCCAGAATGTTAGACGGTACACAGTGCAGCTGGAACCATCTCTCCATCCACATCACCGAGAACGCCAGGAACAAGCCCAGAATGTTAGACGGCACACAGTGCAGCTGGAACCATCTCTCCACCCACATCACTGAGAACACCAGGAACAAGCCCAGGATGTTAGACGGCACACCGTGCAGCTGGAACCATCTCTCCACCCACATCACTGAGAACCCAAAATGTTAGACAGCACACAGCACAGCTGGAATTATCTCTACATCTCAGGAACACCTCGGGGGTGGCCGTCGCTTACTGGAGCATTCACCTGCAAGACTCCACAGGGCCACTGAGGACTCGACTCAGTTCCACTGCTGATGAGAGTGGCGTTCTTCCGTCTGAAATCAGGCATCCATCCCTGCCCCACGACGACAAGCACGGAAGTCCTGGCAGCCCTGGCACCGGCTCTCGCCTGAAACCCTCACAGAGCCGGCTCTGGAATGCTGCTCTGTACTGCACCCTCCAGTTAATCCCATTCCCAACACATGTCCAGGAAAGATGATAAACAAAGTGAATATCCATGCAAAAGAGATCACTTAAAGGTCTATTTAAATTGTGTGCTCTTCTCTTTTATTTTCCTTCATATGTGATCTTTCCCCTAGTCATACAGAAATAGCCATTTGCTCAGGGAGATGTGATTGTCAGGGTGGAAATGCAAATTAAAGGAAGAGGCATCACTGCCGCCCTGACTGACGGAACGAGATAACTGAGTTCCCACCAAAACACGTGTAAAATCATGGCTGTAAGGAGAAAAGTAAGTGGATAAATAAGTACTTGTATGAACTCACACACACACATACACACGCATGTACATATACACATACATATGTACTATCTAAATCCCTTGAACACCCACACACACATACACACACGTGTACATATACATACGTACTGTCTAAATCCCTTAAACACACACACACAAGCACATGTACATATACATATGTACTGTCTAAATCCCTTAAACATGCACACACACACGCACGTGTACATATAGGTATGTACTGTCTAAATCCCTTAAACATGCACACACACGTGTACATATACGTATGTACTGTCTAAATCCCTTAAACATGCACACACACATACACACATGTGTACATATACGTATGTACTGTCTAAATCCCTTAAACACGCACACACACATACGCACATGTGTACATATACGTATATACTGTCTAAATCCCTTAAACACGCACACACACATACGCATGTGTGCATATACATATGTACTGTCTAAATCCCTTAAACACGCACACACATACACACATGTGTACATATACGTATGTACTGTTTAAATCCCTTACACACACATACGCATGTGTACATATACGTATGTACTGTCTAAATCCCTTAAACACGCACACACACATACGCACATGTGTACATATACGTATGTACTGTCTAAATCCTTAAACACGCACACACACATACGCACATGTGTACATATACGTATGTACTGTCTAAATCCCTTAAACACACACACGTGTACATATACATATGTACTGTCTAAAGCCCTTACACACACACACGTACATGTACATATATGTATGTACTAAATCCCTTAAACACGCACACACATATGCACGTGCACATATACGTATGTATTGTCTAAATCCCTTAAACACGCACACACACATATGCACATGTGTACATATACGTATGTAGTCTAAATCCCTTAAACACGCACACACACATACACACACGTGTACATATACGTATGTACTGTCTAAATCCCTTACACACACATATGCATGTGTACATATACGTATGTACTGTCTAAATCCCTTAAACACGCACACACACATACGCACATGTGTACATATACGTATGTACTGTCTAAATCCCTTAAACACGCACACACACACGCACATGTGTACATATACGTATGTACTGTCTAAATCCCTTAAACACGCACACACACGTACACACATGTGTACATATGCGTATGTACTGTCTAAATCCCTTAAACACGCACACACACATACGCACGTGTACATATACGTATGTACTGTCTAAATCCCCTAAACGCGCACACACATACGCACATGTGTACATATACGTATGTACTGTCTAAATCCCTTAAACACGCACACACACATACACACGTGTACATATACGTATGTACTGTGTAAATCCCCTAAACACGCACACACACATACGCATGTGTACATATACGTATGTACTGTCTAAATCCCTTAAACGCGCGCACACACATACGCACGTGTACATATACGTATGTACTGTCTAAATCCCCTAAACGCGCACACACATACGCACGTGTACATATACGTATGTACTGTCTAAATCCCTTAAACATGCACACACACATACGCACGTGTACATATATGTATGTACTGTGTAAATCCCCTAAACACGCACACACACATACGCATGTGTACATATACGTATGTACTGTCTAAATCCCTTAAACGCGCACACACATATGCACGTGTACATATACGTATGTACTGTCTAAATCCCTTAAACACGCGCACACACATATGCACGTGTACATACACGTATGTACTGTGTAAATCCCTTAAACACGCACACACACATACGCACGTGTACATATACGTATGTACTGTCTAAATCCCCTAAACACGCACACACACATACGCACGTGTACATATACGTATGTACTGTCTAAATCCCTTACACACACATACGCACGTGTACATATACGTATGTACTGTCTAAATCCCTTACACACACATACGCACGTGTACATATACGTATGTACTGTCTAAATCCCTTAAACACACACACACACATACGCACGTGTACATATATGTATGTACTGTCTAAATCCCTTAAACTTCTCTTGACATACCAAGAGCCAGGCCTGGAGGAGTTTTCACAAAGTCCTGGGTGGAAAACTGGGGATGTGATCAAGGAAGTGTCCTGCCCAGAAAGTCCCTGATGGAGAAAGATGGAGATGGACGTCTGGAGTGAAAGAAGGTGGGACAAGGAGCTCACAAGCCGGGTCTTTTCTTTCCTGATGCTAAGGACGGAATCTAAAGGCAGAGCATTCAGAGCAGGGCCTCGGAGCGGCTGCGGGTGCCTTGTGGGTGCCTGTCGGCCAAGCCACAGCCCCGGCTCAGACCTGCAGCCGCCTCTGAGTCAGCATTCCTAAGTAAGTCAGGGGGTTCCAGTGGAGACCACGTGCAGTGGCTGAGGAGGCCGTCTGGGGTGTCGAGGCTTTGCTCCAGAGGGTCCCCAGCCAGAGGCAGTGGCAGGAGCACAGTGTGCTCAGCCCCCAATGGTGCCCACCTGCCAGGAGCCACCAGATTTCAGAGACCAGATCCCGGCCTCCACGGCCAGCCCAGACCCCGGCCTCCACGGCCAGCCACAGACCATCCCAGGACCCCCTCTCGCCCGCAGCAGGGAAGAAGGAGCTGCAAGAGGTGGAGTATTCGCCCCTGGAAGCTGAGTCCGCCTGAAAC
The DNA here is from genome assembly GCF_000001405.40 of Homo sapiens. Taxonomy (NCBI): domain Eukaryota; kingdom Metazoa; phylum Chordata; class Mammalia; order Primates; family Hominidae; genus Homo; species Homo sapiens. The sequence continues at coordinate 387,984 of NC_000002.12, read as the reverse complement.
TCAAAGAACCTGAAATCCTCGTAGTAGCTTCTGTCTCCTCCAGCTGCAGCCAGTGTGTGAGGAGGAGTCAAGCACAGAAAAGCAAAGAATACATGAGGAAGCCGACCATAAAATTATAAAAACTTGGATTCTTCTTCCTCTCAATGAAGGCTTAACACCTATGTGACAATAGGGAGTTATGCTTATAATCGAGTTATAAACATGAAAAGCAGATAGGTAGTCGCCTGTATGTTATAGAGATGACTATACAGATATGTAAGTGTAGAGAAGAAATTTAAAAATTACACTGAAATATTCGCGACGGTTGAATTATGATGTTTGTATTGTTCAAGGTGATTTCATCTTTTTTTCTATTTTGTATAGTTTTTATAATATGAAAATAACATTTCTTTGAGTCTGCATTTTCTCCTGAAAATCAGTTTCATATACATAAAGTTAATTTTGCTTTCCTCCCAGAAGTTGTCTTGCTATTTAGACTTATGATCAGCTATTTCCTCCATCTCAGACAGGGACATTCACAGAAAAATATTAAGAAATTTGACTGATTACCTTGGTGTGCTGGACAAGTCAGAAAAACCCTTTGGCTATAATAAAATACTTTGTTTTATTCAGTTGTAGGTGATAGTTGGTCTAGAATTTTTTCTTTTTAAACATATTTTGAATTTTACTGAAAACTCCTAGGAATACACAGTTAATGTTGAGTAGGGGAGCTACACAAGGATGTAAAATTTAACCAAATCATCTGATTGTGAATTCAAAAATTAAAAACTTACCATGGGTCCCATGAGGAGCCAATTCCACTCCATAGTCTGAATTTTCTAAATAGGAAACTGACAAGTCGGGTAAAGTGATTGCAGTTGTCCTGATCTTGTTGATATTAGTTTCAAAAAATCACTGTTTGGAGAAAGTGAAGGGGGGAAAAGCTGGAGTGGATGCAGAGAGCGGTGAGGGGGGCAGAAGCCCAGGACAGAGAAGGGAGCAGGGCAGAGGCGACAGGGGAGAGGGGAGAGGGAGAAGGCAGAGGGGAGAGGACAGAAGGGAGAGCGCAGAGGGCAGAGGGGAGAGGGCAGAGAGCAGAGGGCAGAGGGCAGAGGGGAGAGGGCAGAGGGGAGAGGGCAGAGGGCAGAGGGCAGAGGGGAGAGGGCAGAGGGCAGAGGGGAGAGGGGAGAGGGGAGCGGGCAGAGGGGAGAGGGGAGAGGGGAGCGGGCAGACGGGAGCGGGCAGAGGGCAGAACCTGGCTCCTGCTCTCAGGTAAGTGGTGAGCAGTGGGGCGCCTGCAGGGAGACCCCTCTTGCTGATTTGCAGGATGGAGTGAAGGCCACTCAGAGCCACCCCAGGACAGAGGACAGGAGTCTGAACCGCCCCCCATGGAAGGGGAGCCAGGGAATGGGGAGGAGTTGGGCACAGCATGGGGGACCTGGGGCCTCAAGCACAAAGCCCTCAAATCTCCTCTCATGAGGTCAGCCATGAGGAGACATGTTCTAATGATTCGTTCTTGTCAAGGTAAAGGTATTGCTGAAGAATTTAATATAAGAATAAAACTGAAGTTCAGAAAAGGGAACAGGTCCAGCTCTGAGAGCTGCTGTTCTGAATCCAGTGAGCCTTGTGTCTGTCAAAATTAGGAGACATTGCTTCTTTTTCCTATGACGACTGCACGGAGCAAATATATCCCTCTCTGCCCAGCCCTGTGGTCCCACCTCCTCTCAGGGAAACTGGCTCTTTGGACCAGGAATGGATAAATGGTTTTATGTTTGGCGTTTTTTTCATCAAAGAATTGCTTTCTCCGGGGACTGCCTGCCACTTTGGGGATTTGGCCCCAAGGCGGCCTCATTGGGAGGGCTGGATGATTTCTATTAGCCAGAGAGAAGAAAACAAAGTTGTAGAATCCATACACACTTCCTGGAGCTGCTCTTAAACACTGTAATTACCTTTTCGTTCAGAAAGAGCACTTTGTAAGCCTCCGACATCCAGTAACTCAAGTCCTGAGCAGGCAGCAATGATCCCAGCTGTGGGTCATTAGCCATCTCCCTGTGGGAGGAAAGGGGAGCAGGATTTTAATTCACCCTGTTCCACCTTCCCTCCAGAGAGGGAGGAGAAAACCCTCACCCAGCCGAGCCCCACACCATGTCCACATGGCTTGTGAATTGTTGCAGGACTTTCTAAACGTATTTGGCCACATTATCTCAAAGTATAAATTCGGATTTCAGTTTTGCACTCAATTCTTATTCCATATTTTATTTCAGAACATAAGAGGACAACACAATATAAAAGTGCTATTTAAAAATACGATTTCCTTCTTTATAAAATGCACCAAGTCCAGCACTTTGAGCACTTTATAAAGAAGGAAATCGTATTTTTAAAAACTGTTCGCAATTACAATAGTGAACCACTCACTTTCCAAATGATTTCTCAAAGGGGGTTCCAAGAATAAAGTCCAGCCACTCACAGACCCTTGACTAAGAAAATGTCCTCTCCTCTGTAAGAGTGTCCTCAGCCAGCTCTGACTCTCAGGAGGGACAGGGGGGACGGAGGGTGGTAGGTCCCAGGCTCCAGACCGCAGGAGCCACCAGGAACCCGTGCAGGCCCCACGTGCACCCAGTAGTAACATCAGGTGACAGCAGGCGAAAGGCCAAGGACCTTGAGGGAGGTTCACAGTCAGCTACTGGGTGTGTGGAACTCTGCAAAGCTTTCTTTATGTGACAAATGCTGAATGCCAGGGTGAGAGGGCTGCCTCAGGGTGGCTGGCTGGGCTGGAGGGGGTTATGGTTTTAGAGGGGTCTTGCCGAATAGAGACAAGAGTTGCCATGCTCATAGGTGCCTCGGTGCAGGTTGACATTTGGGGGTTCAGGTTTGAAGGTGAAGAGTGTTCCCGCCCTGCTACAGCCCTGAGCAGGAGAGCCTGAGTGGGGCGTGAGTCTCTAGGTGGGCCTGCGGTTGCGCTTTCTGAGATGAAGATTAGAAACGTGGAATTCCCAAACCTCTCTTTTCATAAACCACCTATTCATTAAAATTATTACACTTCATTAGTTTTTCAAGCCTTATGTTAGAAATAATACCTATACATCATTTAAAGAAAAACAAAGCAAAAGATGGCTCCCTCTCTGGCCTTAGCTGATATTTAAACAACATAACTTGATTAATAAGATTAATTTATCCTAACATTTGACTACCATGATCTTTTTTTTTTTAAGACAGGGTCTGCTGTCTTGCCCAGGCTGGAGGGCAATGGCACCACCACTGCCCACCTCAGGTTCAACCTCCTGGGCTCCAGCCATCCTCCTGCCTCAGCCTCCTGTGTAGCTGGGACCACAGGCATGCGTCACCATCCCCAGCTAATGTTTATTAGTAGAGATGAGGCCTTACTATGTTGCCCAGGCTGGTCTGGAACTCCTGGGCTCAAGTGATCCTCCCGCCTCTGTCTCATTACAGGTGTGAGCCCCGCCCGCAGCCTGATCTTTTCTATCACATTCTGAGTCCTGGTTTCAGAGCTAGATCCTTCTTCATTGGCCCCCAGCTCCACAACTTCAAAACCACTTGGAATCAAAGTACATATACAGTTATTGACTATCTATATGCATTTCCACTTAACTGGTAAGTCCAAACATTCCCCTTTGTTATAATCTGCTATAAGAACAATTCTATCCAAATTCTGCACCCTCAAATCCTACTATTCCTTGCATGAAAGAAAGGATAAAAAGATACAGAACTTTAGCGTCACTGAGTTCCAGAAATGTTGTCCGTTTCCCTGCATAGGAAGAGGGCACAGCACCCAGCACATGAGGCCTGGCGGGACCTCCCCATCAGGGATGCAAGCATCACTGCCCACCCGGCTCCTGCTGCATCAGAGCCTCCATCCTGGGCCCTCCCACCTGCACCTGCAACTGGGCTCCTTGTAGACACGCCGTGGCCGCTGAGTCACAGGGTCACAGGCGGCTGCCAGCCCTGCAGGGTGGGGCTGGCTTCATCACGGAGCCACACCCCAAGGATCTGTTGGCCGGCATCTGGAAAAAGCCCAGCACTCAGGACCTTTACCCAGAAAGTAGGAAAACCTGGATGGTAATAATTTTCCATATCAAATTATACAACTTTCTACTCCCTTTTTAAAAGGACAGAAACACTCTGTGCCCAAGTAGAAATTTTCATGGCAGCTTCTTACTAGGCATTATGTGAAAAATAAATTCCTTGACTTTCATCTTCAGTTCAGGCTGTCGGAAGGTAGTTTTAACTGGCACAAATAATGTAAATTTTATTAGCAAAAAAAGTGCAGTTAAATTGTCTAAGTGTGTGCGTATGTGTGTGTCAGAAAAAATATTTAAAATAATTGTTTAAAATAATTCAAGTATTTTGATTACACTCACACAGTCACGCTATTGATTAGACTTGCAATCAATAGTTGATGAATGCCGAACTGTCTTAAGCCACGTTGGCTTACACTGCAAGACAGCGTCAGGGAGGAGAAAACTAGGAGAAAGACACAAAGCAAAGCCAAGATAAACGCTGCCCTCATTTTTCTCAGAGAAAACAGCGCCAGGGAAAATGGAGCCAATGGCTGGTAATGGCTGTTTTCAGAGCCCGTTCTGCCCGTGTGAGGACACAGTGACCGTCCCTGAGCCGCGCAGGCTCTGCCCGAGCTCAGCTCGCCCCTGCAGGCTTCCCGGGTAAAATACCAGTAATTCAGTCCCATCTCTGGCGATGCTTGCTGCAATAATGGATCTTTTCTCTTTTGCTTTACTGCATATTTGACTCTGGGTTTTTCTTATTAACTATGTTCTTATAACTATTTTCTTATAACTCTTAATTATTTTTATAACTACTTTTTCATATTTTTTTTCTCTTACAAAGTCAGGTTTGGAATCTCTCAGCCACATTTCTATGAATGGGTATTTCCCATATATATCTATGTGCCATATCTAGTTTCCAGGGTTATTCATCGGTGCCTTTAAAAGGTATGATTCTGTGTTTTCATCAACATGCATCTCGGAAAAGTGATGTGGGGAGCTGGGAAGTGTGTGAGCTTCCGTCTGGGACATTCGATGTAAATCCACCGGCACTCCCCAATCGTGTGGCCACAGTCGATTTGTTCAGTATGTCTCAGGCTTGGTTTCCTTATCTGCAAAAGGGGAGTGTAGTAATACCTACATCACAGGATGAAATATCTCATCTCCTGCACATTTATGTTCAGTTTGAATAAACACATTGAACAACTCTCCTGCGTTTCAGTGCCTGGGGCTCAGGCTGGGTGAGATGGGCAGTCTGTGGCCTATGCCAGGGTGCAGGTGCTTTGAGAAGCTTCTGCTTCTGGGATGGCACTGAGAATCACTGCCTCCCATGAATGTGGCCAGCTGAAGGCCACAGGGACACAGAAACGCCAAGCTCCATGGACAGTCATGGGTTATTATATCTCAAACTATGTGTTTACATGTCATCATTTGTAGAAAACTGTTCACAATGTATATCCGAAAGGTTTCTGGCTGGAACACACATGTGGATAACTGCACGTCAGCTCCACACTTCCGCTGGGGCTTGTCTGGTGGTTCGGGTGCTACTCTGCAGTCCCTCAGAGCCTGAGAAGTGCTGCATCTCAAACGCCCAACATTTTCACCCCGGCTACAACCCCCAGGCCTCCCCGTTTAGGAAGCCGCATGTAAGCAGCGCTCCTGGGGAGCCATTCACAAAATCCTCTCTACTGCCGGTTTTTCCACTTTGCTGACTTCCAGGTAATAGCAGTTTTAAAAGGATGTTTTCCCGGAGCTTCTCGGCCCACCCAGTCAGAGGTTGTTATTGTCGGTTTTATTGAATGTGTGTATTTTGATCTCTGTAGGATTTTGCATTCACGGTAGAGGGGGAGGACTGCACAGCAAGATCGCATGAGCAGGGCTGCAGCTGTGAGGGCCGGCGGAGAGCGCACACAGCCCAGGCCATTCCTCCGGGCTAATTCTCCACACTTTGCTGCCCATTTTTATTTAATAAGAAATAGGAAAATACCTGCTTTTCTCCATGTTCTGTGTGGACTATTTCCTCAGCTCACATAGAATGGTTTCCAGAATAAGGCACATTAACAGGGTATAGACTATCCCCAACGTAAAATGGTTTCACTTAGATTTTTTGACTTTACGATCACGTGAAAGTGACAGGCATTCAGTAGAAACTGTTCTGTTTTTCACTTTCAGTAAAATATTCCACAAATCACATGAGAACTCAACACTTTAATATCAAGTGGGCTTTGTGGGAGATGAGTCTGCCCAACTGTGGGCTGATGTGTGTTTTGAGCGTGTTTAAGGTGGGCCAGGCCAGGCTGTGATGCTCCCTAGGTAGGGGGTACTAAATGCATTTTCTACTGACAGTATTTCCAAGGAATACGCTGGGTTTACGGAGACATGGAGACATAACCCCGTTGTAAGTTGAGTGTCTGTATATTGAGGTCAGTAAATCTTTTATCATCCTCCTTGGCAGCACGGAAAATCATAGAACCCTTGGGGATGACAACCAACTGGTAGATGGAACTGACAGAAATTTCAAACAGACTGACTTCCGATGGCAACGGCTCCCCTGGCCAACCCAGGCAGCAGCAGGGCAGCCTCATGCGGTGGGAAGTCTCGTGACTTCTCCAGCTCCGCCGGCTGCAGCACGTGACCCAGCCAGGGTCCGAACATCCCAGCACTCAGAGCACCACCTGGAAATGACAGACCCAAAGATCTACTTTACTTTTAAAATTCCACCATCCTAAGAGTGAGTCATCCATCCTGGCAGGCCGTTCACATAATGGAGCTATTGGGTTGCCTCTGTTTCATGCTCTAAGATGTATTCACATTTATTTCCATGGAGTTGTTGCTATTTTTTAATAAAAACACTATTTTTAAAAAATCATGTCATTTTTTCCAGCTTTATGGCATAAAATTGACAACGTGATGATTTGATATATGTGTACATTGTGAAATGGTGATGACAATCAAGTTAATTAAGACATCCATTGCCTCACATAGTGACCTTGGAGGGTGTGTGTGTGTGTGCGCGCACGTGTGATGAGAGCACTGAATTTCTACCCTCTTAGTGAATTTCAAGTATGCAATACAACGTCACTAATCATAGTCACCCACTGTGCCTAGGAACCCCAGGACTTAGTCACCTGCATAACTGAATCTTTGTACCTTTGACCAATGTCACCTCATTTCCCCACCCCAGCCCAGCCCCTGGGAACCGCCGTCTACTCTCTATTTTTATGAGTTTGAATTTATTAGATTCTACATACAAATGAGATCATGTGGTGTCTGTCTTTGTGTGTCTGGCTTACTTCACTTAACATAACGTCCAGGTTCATCCATGTTGTTACAAACAGCAGTATTTCCTTCTTTTTAAAGGCTAAATAATATTTCCTTATATGTACGTATCACATTTCTTTATCCAGTCTTCCTTTGATGGACATAGGTTGATTACATGTCTTGGCTACGGTAACATGGAGTGCAGACATCTCTTCCAAATGTGATTTTCTTTCCTCTGGATAGACACACAAAAGAGAGACTGTTGGATCATATGGCAGGTCTATTTTTAATGTTTTGAGGGAACTCCATACTGTTTTCCATATGGCTGCACCAATTTACATTCACACCAACAGCATGCAAGGGTTCCCTTTCTATCACTGCCTCCCCTAAAGTTGTTACTTTTTGTCTTTTTGATAGTAGTTCTAACAAGTGTGATGTCATAGCTCATTGTGCTTTTCATTTGCATCTTCCTGATGATCATGATATTGAACATTTTTTCATATATGTATTGGCCATTTGTATGCCTCTCTTGAGAAATATCTTTCAGGTTCTTCGCTCATTTTTAAATTGGGTCTCCTTGGGTCTTTTTCTTCCTGTTATTTTGAGACAGCGTCTGGCTCTGTTGCCCAGGCTGGAGTGCAGTGGCACAATCTCAGCTCCCTGCAACCTCCGCCTCCCAGGCTCAAGTGATTCTCCCACCCCAGCCTCCCAAGTAGTTGGGACCACAGGCGCATACCATCACACCAGGCTAATTTTTGTAATTTTTGGAGAGACGGGGTTTTGCCATGTTACCCAGGCTGCTCTTGAACTCCTGAACTCAAGCCATCTGACCACCTCAGCCTCCCAAAGCACTGGGATTACAAGCATGAGCCACGGCGCCAGCCTAGCCCTTTGTTTTCTTGTGATTGACTTGAGTTCTTTACATAGTTTGGATATTAACTGCATATAAGATGTATGGTTTGCAATTATTTTCTCCCATTCTGTAGATCGTCTCTTCACTCTGTTGATCATTTCCTTTGTGTGGGCCGAAGTGTTTTGGTTTGGTGCAATCCCACTCTGTTGGTCATTTCCTTTGTGTGGGCAGAAGTGTTTTGGTTTGGTGCAATCCCATTTGTCCATGTTCGCTTTTGTTGCCTTGTGCTTTTAGTATCATATCATTACCCACACCAACGTCAAGAAGTTTTTTCTCTCTGTTTTCTTCAAGTAGTGTTGCCATTTAAGGTCCTATGTTTATGTTGTTAATCCATTTTGAGCTGATTTTGTGTATGATGTAAGAAGAGGTCCAATTTTGTTCTTTTTCATGTGGATATTTGCCTTTCCCAACACCATTTATTGAAGAGATTATTCTTTCCCCACTGTGTGTTCTTGATGCCTTTGTGAAAAATCAGTTGGCTGCAGACGCACGTGTTTTTTTCGAGGCTCTCTATTCTGTCCTGTTGGTCTGTGAGTCTGTTTTTACGCCAATACCATGCTATTTTGGTTACTACAGCTTTGTGGTATACTTTGAAGTCAGGTAGTGTGACGCACCCAGCTTTCTGTGGCTGTTTTTATTGTTGTTTGTTGTTTTATTCTTGCTCAAGATGCCTTGGGCTCTTCAGTATCTTTCATGATTTCATATGAATTTTAAAATTACTTTTTTTTTATTTCTGTGAAGAACACCGTTGGTAGTTTGAAAGGAATTACATTGAATCTGTAGATTGCTTTGGGTAGTATGGACATTTTAACAATATTAATTCTTCCAGTTCATTAACAATGGATATCATTCCATTTATTTGTATCCTTTTTAATTTCTTTAATCAGTGTTTTATAGTTTTCGGTGTAGATATTTTTCACCTCCTTAGTTAAATTTGTTTCTATGAGTCTTAATTCTTCATCTCTGTTATAAATAGGATTCTGTTTTGTTGATTTCTTTCCCCCCATTATCTATTTCTAGTTTCATACCATTGTAATCAGAAAAGATACTTCATATGACCTCACCTTCTTAAATTTGTTAAGACTTGTTTGTGACCTAATACAGGATCTATCCTGGAACATTTTTCTTATATGCTTGAGAAGAGTGTGTATTCCATTGCTGTTGGATGGAATGTCCAGTACATATCTGTCAGGTCCATTTAGTCTGTAATGTTATTCAGGATCTCTGTTTGCTTATTGATTTTCTGTCTGGATGATTTATTCATTGTTGAAAGTGGGGTACTAAAGTTCCCTACTATTACCACATTGCAATTTCTCCCTTTAGTTCTGTTAACATTGACTTTATACATTTAAAGTGCTCTGATGTTGAGTGCATATATATTTGTAACTGTTATAGCCTTTCAATGAAATGACCCCATTGTCATTATACAATGCCCTTCTTTGTCTCTTGTTATAGTTTATTCCTTAAAGTCTGTAAGTATACCCTCCTTATCTCTTTTGGTTACCATTTGCATGGAATATCTTTTTCCTTTCCTTCACTTTCAGCCTGCAAGCAGCATAGAGTTGTATCTTCTTTTAATATCCCTTCAGCCACTCTATGTCTTTTTGCCAAGAGAAGTTAACCATTTGCATTTAAAGTAGTTATTGATAGGTAAGGAGCACTATCGCCATTTTGTTTTGGCTATTCTGTATCTCCTTTCTTCCTCACTTGCTGTCTTTCTTTGTGATTTGATCATTTTTCAGTGGTATGCTTGATTCTTTTCTCTTTATCACTTTTGTTCCTACTATAAACATCACTGTCCTTTAGGAGACTTATGTATGTGAGGAGACTTTTTTCTCTTGCTGCTTTCAATATTCTCTATTTGTCTTTCACTTTTAAGAATTTGATTGTAATATGTGTCTATGAAGATCTCTTTGTGTTTAACCTCTTTGGGGCTTCTTTGGGCTTCATGCGTCTGGATGCTCATTTCTGTCTCTAGATTTGGAAAGTTTTCCATCATTATTTCTTTAAATTAGCTTTCTGTCCCCTTTCTATTTTTCTGCTTCTTCTGGAATTACCATCATGCATATATTGACTTGTTTGATGGTGTCTCTTAGCCCTATAGACTTTTTTCAATCTTTTGTTGTTGTTGTTCCACTGAGTAATTTCATTTGACCTGTCTTTGATGTCACTGATTCTTCCTTCTGCTTGTTCGAGTCTCCTGTTGAAGCTCTCCATGGAATTTTCCAGCTCAGTCATTTTGTTCTTCAGCTCCAGAATTTCTGTTTGCTTATTTATAACGATTTCAATCTATTTCTTAACTTCTCATGTTGCTTATGTATTTCCTGATTTCATTCAGTTGTCTATCTGTGTCCCCTTGTCACTCATTGAGGTTCTTTAAGATGATTGTTTTGAATTATTTGCCAGGCAGTTCATATATCGCCATTTCTTTAGAGTTGTTGGGCCTAGAGCTTGGGGCTTCAGGGGCTAGTCTGGCCCTGAAATTTTTGGAGGTGGGCCTGGTCCTGGGGCCCATGGCAAAGTCAGATGCCTGCTGCATCCCCCACCCTCTGGCAACAGAGGGTATAAGTCTCTGTGCTGTGCTGTGCAGGTTTGGTGGAAGAGTGACGGGTAACATGAAGCTGTCTTTCCTACCCTCTTAAATACATTTTTGTTTCTTTATTCCACTAGGTACTTTAGTGCCTAACGTTAGCCCTTATGAAGGTATTTTCATGTGTGGATAATTGTCCAAACTGATGTTTCTGTGAGGGGAAGAGCACCAGGAACTCCCATTCCACCATATTGCTAACATCACTTTTTCTATACAGCTGTTTTTAAACCCTGCATTTTTATAATTCACTGAAATTTATTATATAACCTACATTTACAAAATCTACTTCATAAAATTACTACATTGTTCTGACAAGAATCTTCCTGTTTAGAGAGATTCAGAAAATGTACATTTGTGTCTTCAACAATGACAGGGAATACCTACCTCCCAGTTATATCCACCTGCCATAAAAATCTGATATTTCCTCCGTAGTAGTAGAAGAGTGGGACCAGAGTTGTTATTTTTCAGAATCTTTTCTAATTCTTTATAATTTTACTGTATGTGTTGAGTATAATATTTAAAAGAAAATAAAATAACAATTGGTAAATTTATATCTACATCAGAAATATCCATTTTGTAAAAGTATATATGTCTGAAAATACATTTTAAAAGTCAATAACAGGCCAAACAAAAACATCAAACATTTTGAGCTAAAAATGATTTTTAAGAAACAAGAGACAAGCAGATTGAAGATGATGGGTAAAGTTCACAATTACAATCTTTATTCTTCCAACAGAATTATGCACATTTGGTTTTTAAGAGAAAAAAAGGAAGTATTACAGAAGCTCTTCATTTTATCTGAGCCAAAAACAGACTTATCTTCACAATAACGATTAAATTTCATTAATCTGATGTTGTTCCACTATATAAGTGCATTTCAAAAATGAATTTTAAAATAATAATCATCATCATAAATTAAAAACCCAAGCTTTCACTTTATTTTTAGTTGTCTAAACTTAGCCTGAACCCTCTGGCTGGTTTTTGTAAGCTTGAAAACAAGCCAGTCTCTTTAGAAAAAGAATTTTTTTTTCCTTAGGGATTTTATGGCTCAGGAGATCAGTAACATGATATGCAGACTTTTTTGTGTATTACACGTAAGCCCTGAGCATACCCTAGTTTGAAGCTCTAGAGAAATGTACCATAAATTGAGTGCTGGACACAAGTTGTGTGTGGTTTGATCTGTGATGCTCAGCTCTGTCACGATCAGGTAGTCAGCACTAAGTCAAGGTTTGTCAAATGGAGGAATGAAGGAACTACTTAATGCCGTTCGTCCTCTGAGAAACTGTCTAGCGGCTGCTCCATGCACAGGTAACGAGTTAGCATGACAGAGACTGATGACTGAGGGCACCGGAGCCTTCAGCACAGAGGGTCCTTGGCCTGGCTGCCCGGTTTCAACTTCCAGGGCCCGAAGTAACAGCATCACAGGAAAGGGGAGGCCATGTGGGGAATGTCTCCTCCGTGACGTGCCAACAACACCAAACATGCCCTGAATTGCCACTGTCCTCAGACCCATAGGAAACAATAATGCATTGTTACTGGGAATAATATCAAAGAGGGAGAAACAGGGAGGGAATTTTCTAAAGAAAAACAAAACAAAATCTCAGTGTGCCAAGACTTTAGGGCATGTAACAAATTGGACAGATTCCCACAGATTTACCTAAAAATAATTTGGCCCAATAAAATTTGCTTGGTCTGAGAAAACTACAAAAGCCCTCTCACTTAATGAAATCCCAGCCAACACAGCACTAATAAATCTAACCTCATCTTTCAAAACTGTGTTTTTGGACAGGAGAACTTCATAATACTGGATAGAATCCACAGTAAACTGATTCTTCTGAAGGCGTTAGTGAATCTGTGGTCCTTTACCATGTGAAAAACACACAGTTTGGGGTGTTAGGGTTTTGTAATTGAATCAAAGCTCAAAATATGTTGACTAAGATAGACACTGGTGTGAAAAATATTAATTAATGCTCAGAGAGAATAAATGCCAGGTAGGCTGTTATTCTAAAAAAATCTCAGAATCAGCTCATTAATTCAATATAAACATGGTGTCTTTAGTCTTTATATAGCGACTCTTTGTATTCCAGATGTCTTTGTGCTTATGAACTGCCTTTGACACACATCTGTAAGAGATCCATGGAGCAAACAGCACTAAGGGAGACAGCTGAGGCTGGGGATTCGTGGTCAACCAAAGGAACTTTTAGAAGAAAACACCTTTATACTCTTTGCTCCAAGGCTTATAATGAAAGCAAATATCTGAATCAGAATTCATGTCTCTAAAGAGAAAATACTTCATGTAAGACTCGGCAGTGCGCTTTGGAAAGCAGTGATTTTCTAGGGAGCAGCCGGTCTTTAGCCACGTGTGACAGAAGGAACACGGAACTCGGAATTCGGGCGCCTGGTTCAGGATGGGGTGTGGAAGACACGGATGGATGTTGAAGGAGGAAGCGAGACCCTGAGTATTTCCTAGAGGAAGAGGAAACCTTGTTTCAGGTTGGCTGGTGTGGGAGGGTGTGGACAGCCATGGAGGGCTGCTGAAGAAGGCAGACACCCTTAGAAATGTAGGTGAGTTAAGGATGCAGTGTAAGTGCAGAACCCGCTTGGGGTGTGTGTTCATAGAAATGTGCTTGCACAACGTGTGACACAAAGACGCCATTAGGATGCAATACGGTCAGTATTCCACCTCACTGTACAACACGTGAGCCGTATGAGACAAAGACGCCATTAGGATGCAATACGTTCAGTATTCCACCTCACTAAACGTCACAACAAAAAATCTCAATTTGCTGATTTCTTTTGCTCCTGCAAGGTGGTTTCTCTGTCCTGCTTTTTATTGGTTTTGTCCCCGTGGCATATCCTCCAGCCAGTGGTAGCTTTCTAACATAGTGTTAACCTTGCACTGCCATTCTGGGTATTATGAAAAACTCAGGCCATGGGTTGCAGATGAGGTATCTTCCTTTTGTTTATCTTGAGACTGGTCTGTATCTGGGTCACTATTCACGTAGCTGCCTTGTATACTACACTTAACTGCTGCGGTTCGCAGAGCAGTTGAAGAAGCTTCCTCAGAGCACATAGCACACAATGGCCATCCACTCCACCCCGCAGAACCTGTAGGAATATGGTAAACAGGAATGCTGTCATCTCGTGGGTCAGAGTGGCTTTGGATAACCATAATTTCAATCCTAATACTGCCATCAAGTTAATTTGTGATTTTGGAGCAGTCGTTTATATTACTGGTCTGGCTGGGCGCAGTGGCTCATGCCTGTGATCTTGGCACTTTGTTTGAGAGGCTGAGGTAGGAGAATTGCTTACGCCCAGGAGTTTAAGACCAACCTAGGTAACACAGGAAGAACCGTCTCTATAAAAAATTAAAACTTAGCCAGGCATGTTGGTGCATGCCTATAGTCTCAGCTGCTCATGAGGCTGAGGTGGGAGAATTGCTTAAACCTGGGATTAAGAGGTTGAGGCTGCAATGAGCCATGATTGCACCACTGCACTCTAGCCTGGGCAACAGAGTAAGATCCTGTGTCCAAAAACAAGACTGTTTGCCACTTGTTTGTCAAAAATGCAAACCATGAATATCAGTTGAGCCAAATACTGATTTCTAAGCTAAAAAAAAAAAAAGTAGACTTACTCGTTGTTATTTGATACAGAAATTTAAAAGTACTAAAAAGATGTTAACAGGACACCTACCTGAGTCCAGGTTGGCCAAGGACCTTAGAAGATATCAGCTACCTTTGCAGACAGTGTTGCCTGCTTGCACAGGAGTCACCCACTTTTACATCCCAAATCCACCTCAAACTCAGCAATCTCTGATCAAGTGCAGCAGCTTCTCCTGGCTCCTGATGACCCCTGACCTTCTGTGAACTCCCTGCTTCTGCGGTATCACCAACCCCCATCCAGTTACACAGACCGTGTCCTCTGCCTTCGTCCTCATGGTCCATTTTCCACCTAAATATCTCTTAATACCACTCCTTTCTGCACACCTGCTCATCCCAGCCATCATCTTATGTTTGTATTGGCCCAGATTTAACTCTCAACATTCCTCTGAAATAAAGACGGTTCTGCTAGAGTTGCTAGTGTGGGCCTTGGGGTGAATTCTCAGTACAGCTCTTTGATTCAGTCAATAGTCTTTCTAGTGCCTCAGGAAAATTAGAATGATGAACAAAGTTAATACGGCAGGAGGGGGCATGTCAGGAAGACTGGGTTTGTCAAAGGTCCTGATGGCTTTGCCAGACATTTGTACAATGCTCCTCTAGTCACTACAGGGACCTGCTGACAAAGCACATGAGCCATTTGTCAGAAATCACTCAACTTCATGATGCATGTGCACAAGTGAATACCATCCAATAGCTCAATCTAAACACTGTCTGTGTCCTGGCATCTGGTAATTCATTCTTCCAATGCATAAACAACTTCCCTGAGCAGTAAATTTACCCCTTACTTTTTAAAAGTTAGGTAAGATCTCTCCTGTAGGGAGAAGCTTTGTTACAAAATAGCATCCCAGCACACTACTTCTTAAGAAAGTTCAAGGAAATCAACAATGTGACCAAATATTATTCCACGGTAAACACCTGGGGAGCCCCAGCCCTCCACTCTCAGAATCCCCTCAGACTCCATTCAACCTTCTTTCTCCTCCTTAGTTATCCAAATCGTTCAGAGAAAAGAATCCGTGTGAAGAAGGTGAGACTTCCCAGTCACAAACCTAGGAGGTGGCAAAGCCAGGGTTCCAGTCCAAGTCCACACAATGCCAAAGTCATGCTCCATGCCCTGTGTCATACCTTTGAATTAGTCTGAAAATAACCTGTATTAATCATTAAGAAGAAGAGTCTAACCTGAACCCAGGTAGTCATCACAGCTGGTGGCATTTTTCAGAGGTAATACTTGCCGCATAAACTGTAGCATGCGTAGGAAATCACAAGGAATACAACATCTCAGGGCCCCAGGATGAGGATGCATCAGTAAAACTTCCTTAGGAGCCACACTCCACCTGTGCTGGTACAGAGCAGTCCCCCCACAGCTGAACACAGCTTCTCCTCAAGCACACGCAGAACACTCTTCAGGACAGAGCACATGTTCAGCCACGGATAAAGTTCTAACAAACTTAACAAGACTGAAATCATAACAATCACCTTTTACAAACACAATGATATTAAATTAGAAATCAATAACAGGAGGAAAGCTGGAAAATTAAAAAATATGTGGAAATTAAACAATGCATTCTTGAACAACCAAAGGGCCAAAGAAACTTTTTTTAAAAATTAAATATCATGAAACAAACAAAAGTGTTTTCATCCTCCCCAAAACTTTTATGCAGCACAAGTAGTTCTGAGAAGGAGGTTTTTAGTGATGAATGCCTACATTAAAAAAAAAGATCTCAAACAAACAAATTGGATAAAACAAATTGGATAACCTAGAAGAAATGGATAAGTTTCTAGCAACATACAACCTACCAAAACCAAATCATGAAGAAAGAAATCTGAACAGACCAATAACAAATGAGAGAATCAATAATCAAAAATCTCATCAAAGAAAAGCCCATGATCAGATGGCTTCAGGATTGAACTCTAACAAACATTCAAAGAAAAATTAGTGCTAACATTTAAATTATTCCAAAACCTGAAGCTAGAGAAAATACTTCCAAATTCATTTTATGATCCCAGCATCACCCTGATACCAAAGCCAGACAAAGACACCACAAAAAAATGATAGTCCAATATCTCCAAGACCACAAGAAAATGATAGTCCAATATCTCCAAGACCACAAGAAAATGATAGTCCAATATCTCCAAGGAACATAGATATAAAATTCACTATAAAATACTAGGCAAAGAAATTCAACAACAAATTAGAAAGATTACACATCATGACCTTGTGGGATTATCCAGCAGATGCAGGGTGGTTTAATACACAAAAATCAATGTGATGCCCTCCTTTAATAGAATGAAAAATAAAAAACTCCCTCTCGTCTCAATAAATACAGAAAAAACATTTGACGAAGTTCAGTTCCCTTTCATGATGAAAACTCAGCAAAGCAAGTTTAGAAGGAAATTTCCTCAACGTAATCAATTCCACTTATGAAAACTGTAGCTAACAGCATAGTCAATGGGTGAAAATGGAAAGATTTCTCTCTAAAATCCAAAAGAAGGTAAGGATGCCCACTCTTACCACTTATTTTCAACATAGTCCTGGAAGTACTAGCATGAGCAATCAGACAAGAAAAAGGAATAAAAGGCATCCAAATCAGAAAGGTGGAAATAAAAACATCCCTACTGTGGATGACATGATCTGGTATGTAGAAAACCCTAAAGATTACACACACACACACACACACACACACACACACACACTGTTAGAAGTAATAAATGAATTCAGAGAAGTTGCTGAATACAAAATCAACATCCAAAAATCAGTCTCATTTTTTTACATGAATATTGACCTATCCGAAAAAGAAATCAAGGAAATAATTCCATTTATGATAGCCTCAAAAAGAATGAAATACTTATGAATAAATTAAACAAGGAGTTGAAAGATACGTACCCTAAATGTAAATTAGTTCAACCATTGTGGAAGACAGTGTGGCGATTCCTCAAAGATCTAGAACCAGAAATACCATTTGACCCAGCCATCCCATTATTGGGTATATGCCCAAAGGATTATAAATCATTCTACTATAAAGACACATGCACACGTATGTTTATTGCAGCACTGTTCACAATAGTAAAGACTTGGAACCAACCCAAATGTCCATCAGTGACATACTGGATAAAGAAAATGTGGCACATATACATCATGGAATACTAGGCAGCCATAAGAAAGGATGAGTTCATGTCCTTTGCAGGGACACAGATGAAGCTGGAAAGCATCATTCTCAGCAAACTATCACAAGAACAGAAAGCCAAACACTGCATGTTCTCACTCATAAGTGGCAGTTGAACAATGAGAACACATGGACACAGGGAGTGGAACATCACATACTGGGCCTGTTGGGGGGTGGGGGTCAAGGGGAAGAAGAGCATTAGGACAAATATCTAATGCATGGGGGCTTAAAACCTAGATGACGGGTTCATAGGTGCAGCAAACCACCATGGCACATGTATGCCTATGTAATAAACCTGCATGTTCTGCACATGTATCCCAGACCTTAAAGTAAAATAAAATTTACAAAAGAAAGATATGTACCCTAAAAACTATAAAACATTAGTGAAATAGAAAGACATAGAAGAAGACACAAATAAATGGGAAGGTATTTTATGTTCATAGATCAAAAGAATTGACATTGTTAAAATGCTCGAGAGGCCAAGGCAGGCAGATCATGAGGTCAGGAGATCCAGACCATCCTGGCTAACATGGTGAAACCCCGTCTCTACTAAAAATACAAAAAATTAGCCAGGCGTGGTGGCGGATGCCTGTAGTCCCAGCTACTCAGGAGGCTGAGGCAGAAGAATGGCAAAAACCTGGGAGGCAGAGCTTGCAGATTGCGCCACTGCACTCCAGCCTGGGTGACAGTGAGTCTCCATCTAAAAAAAAAAAGTCATAATACCCAAAGTGATAAAGAGATTCAATGCAATGCCTATCAAAATTTCAATGGTATTTTCCACAGATATAAAAAAGTCCTAAAATTCATATGGAATCGTAAAAGACCACAAATAACCAAACTAAGCCTAAGAAAGAAAAATAAAGTTGGAAGCATCACACTTCCTGATTACAAATTATATTAGAAAGCTAAAGTAATGTAAATAGCATGGCACTGGTATAAAAACAGACACATATGCCAGTGGAACAGAAAAGAGAGCCCAGAAATAAACCGTGGCCAACTAATTTTCAACAAGGGCACCAAGAAGACCCAATAGGGAAAGGATAGTCTTGTCAATAAATTGTGCTGGGAAAACTGAATATCCACATGCAGAATAATGAAATTAGATCTTTATCTTGCACATACATGAAAACACACTCAGAATGGATTAAAGACCTGAAACTGAAAGACTCTAGAAAAACAATTGGTTTTGCTCCTTGACATTGGACTTGGCAATGATTTTTTGAACAGGACAGTAACAGCACAGGCAACAAAAGCAAAAATAAACAAGTGGGATTACATCAAACTAAAAAGTTCCACACAACAAAGAAAATAATAAAAAAAAAGGCAGCCTACAGTTTAGGAAAAAATATCTGTAAAGCATATAGCTGATAAAGGTTTAATATCCAAAAAATATAAGAAACTTACACAACTAAACAACAACAGCAACAACAAAAACCCATGATCCAACTTGACCCTTAGTGTGGTGGTACTGGGAAGTGGGGCCTTTGGGAAAGTGATTAATGCCCTCATAAAAGAGGCTTCAGAGAGAGTTCATACTCTTCCTACCCTCTGGCCCTCTGTCCCTCCCTCCATGTGAGGACACAGCCTCCGTTCCCCCGAAAAGCAGCAGCAGTAAGGAACCACCTTGGATGGAACCCCTAGGGCCTCACCAGACCCCAGTCCTACTGGTGCCTTGATTTTGCACCTCCAGCCTCCAGAGCAGAGAGTTAAATTGCTGTTCTTTATAAATTACCCCATCTGAGGTATTTTATTATAGCAACACAAAGAAGCCAGGGCAGCTAGAAAGGAAATGAGCGAGACCACAGGAGGAGGTGCTCACGCAACACCCTCTATGTGAGGGCACACAGGCTCGGTGGGAAGAGCTAAGGAGGGCATCTCAGGTCAGCTGAGAATATTCCTCACCAGCCACTGATAATGAGGGGCTCTCGCTGGCAAGAGGCCAAGCACGGGTGTTTCTCCAGCTCTCAGGAAGCATTATAAGAGTTATATGAACATGTATTAGTCTGAACCATATGAAATTGCTATTTGACCATTTTTGATGCCAAAAATATGGATTTGATAATATTCAACTTTGTGTGTCTTCTTGACATTTCAGTATTTTTGTTGTTAAATAAAATTGTTATTATTATATTTTTTCATACTTCATATTGTTTATATTGATAACTAAATATTTATTTTTCAAATCATAATCATTTCTTTTTTATTTTTGAAATTTGTTATTTTTATTTTAAAAATAACTTACTTCCTTGTATATATAGTAGTTTTGTAAATGTTATACTTTGAGACAGAGTCTCACTCCCTTACTTCTTCAACCAGGCTGGAGTGCAGTGGCATGATCACAGCTCACTGCAGCCCCGACCTCTCGGGCTCAAGGGATCCTCCCACCTCAGCCTCCTGAGAAGCTGGGACTACAGGCATGTGCCACCATGTCCTGCTAATTTTTGTATTTTTGGTAGAGACAAGGTCTCACCATGTCACCCAGGCTGCTTTCAAACTCCTGAACTCAAGCAATCCTCCTGCCTGGGCCTCTCAAAGTGCTGGGATTACAGGTGTGAGCCGCCATGGCTGGCCACATTATAGTTTTATAGCTCTTTATTCCCTAGTTTCAACTCTCCTTTTATTGTGATTTCATTCTGGTTGTTGTGTTCCCGAGAGCTCTGAAGCGACACCGAAGGGTGAAGATTGCAGAGGCTTCAGGCCATCGACGGGGCTGCCCGAAGCCTCTGCACTGCTCACCCCCACCCTTCTGTCTCCACCAATGATCGATGATAAATTTTAAAAATAAAATAAAATCTTAACATGGAGAATCATAACCCCTACCTGCATATATTCTCTCCATGACAAAAGTGCCCCTGAGCTCCTGTTACATCACACGCATCACCTGGACTTGGATTTGCAAACTCAGACCCCTGCAGACACAGGCAAGGAATGACGTGCCTGTGGCCGCTGGTCTGTGGCTCTGGTCAGCTGAGTCAACGCTGGGGCGGTTTGGATATTCTGGAGTCAGAATCATCCTGTTTCAAGGAAAACTGGCAATAGAGTTTTTTACATAAACTCCTGATTTCTGAAAAATGTTAGCCTACTTTTTAATGCTGTGAGGGCCAAACAAAATATGTGTGTAAGCCATATTTGCCCCCAAGGCCTCCAGGAGGCCCCTGATGAGAAACTCTGAGACTCTGAGGGCCTTGGTGGCCTTCTGCCATGCAGATTTCTTAGACATTGGCTTAGCCAAGGAGAGAGCTACCAAAACCCCTGATAATAAGGTCACAGATGCTTTCTCCTGGTCAGGATTGAGGAGGTTATTCCTCCTATTTCATAGCAAAATGCACAAACCCGCACTTACTAAGCAGGGAGAAATGGGTGGGGAGGGAAAAGGTAAAACAAGTAGAATCAATCTTTGCAGGTTTCTTCAAGCGAAGTGCACAGAGGTGGCAGCCGGCAAACGCACGCTCTGAGCTGCTGGGAACGGGGCCATCCTCTCGTGAGCTGGGCCAGCCTGTTTGGAAGCCTTGAAACGCCCTTTGCTCTTTTAGTTTAAATCTAGACAGAGGCTGGCGTGCACCGCTCCAATCTTTCCTTGGATCAATCACTGTGTGGGAAGAAGTCTGACCAAATTAGACCCATGGAGATGGTAGAAGGAGGAGCTCCAAGTGCAAGTAGGGTTTGAAAGGAAAAGCAGCGCAGACAAGGGTGCAGGTGCTGTTCTCTTCAGAGCTGCCTGCTCATCCTCCCCTTCCCGCACGGGTCATCTCCAGCATGCGGTACGAGAGCACGGCTGAGGATACGTCCACTGTGAGATTGTTGATCGTGTCTTCCTCGAATCTCACTTTTAGTCAAAGATAGTAGGGGGTAAAACTATTGTTTTTTATTTATTAAAAATTAAAATACTGTGAAACAAGGGACAAAATTCATATACATTTTAATATAACATATCAGTGTTCAAATAATCATCCTAATGGCACCCAAATGTTCTCTGGCCTCAGGCTCTGTGGGTCACAGGTCACTCCTTGCCTTCAAGCGCATCAGTAAATTGATGCCAGACAGCACCTTCCCCACAACCGCAAGTTTCTTGTTTGCTGTCAACAAAGAGAAAATATGTTTTCTAGAATCCGTGTCTCAGAGAAATCTGGAGGAGCCCTTCTGAGAGTTTGTTCGCAACAGCCCATCAGGATTCACTTCAGGGGTGGCTTTCAGTCATAGGAAGGTGCTCATGAAATCTGCCAGGCTGCACTGAGGATCGGGTTTTGGTTTTGTCCGTGCAGGCCGGACCCCCATGATAATGTGGCCCCGCCTGAGTCCTGGCGAGGACGCTGCCTCTGGCTCTCTGTCTCTCTCCTGCCCACTGGCTCTTCCTCACACCTGACCTCTGACTCCACCCCTCACATCGGCCGCCCTGGCTCAGTCTCTGCTGTTATTGGGACGCACACAGTGGGTGCCCCTGGGACCCCCCACTTGTGATGACGGCCAAGGTCCTCCAGCCTCAGCTTCTGCCCTGAACTCTTGACCTCAGCACACAGTCGTCTACCTCGCCTCTCCTCTTGAATATCCAGTCACCTAAAACTCAGCATCCCAGACGGAGTCCTGGCCGCGGCCTCGCCCCAGCCTGCAGCCCCTCTTATCCAGCTCATGGCAGCTCCGTCTTGCAGGTGCTCTGGCCAAGCACTGGAGCATCCTTCATTCCTGTCTCTCTGCCCCCCAAATCCAATCTGACCGGAAATGCTGTCTTATCTGCTTTTAAAACATTTCTGGGAGCCGGGACACTGCCCACCTGGTTCATGGCACAGCACCCAAAGGCTGTTCCTCTTCTGCCCTTTCAGGCTGAGCACAACAGCGCAAACCCACCGTGAGGCACAGCCAGTCACTTGCGCAACGTCCTCAGGTCTTGCTGGGGTAGGGACGGCGCTTCTGATCTTACTCAAAATACCAATTACATCCTTTTCCTAACTTCCCTGATCTGGTGATTCTTATAACTCTCAATTCCTCGAACACGAGTGTGCCTGGAGCACCAGTGCTGGAGACTGATGTACTGACACTTCCCTAGAGGAGATGCGACAGGGTATTGAACATGCCTTCTTTCTTGACACATGGAAATAAATGTGCAAGAAAACAAAAAGATGCAGAGAGAGCCACCAAGGCCTGGAGATGAGAGCCATGGGGCATCAGCCCAGGCGAGCCCCGTCCCCTCCCTCCCTGGCCTGAGCTTTCTCATCGGCAACATGAGCGGCTCTGGCCGGGATTAGGTCATCGCCGGTCTCTGTTCTAGGCCAGCCGTATGGGACTGATGAGGCTTCTAAATCTGCTCTATGCTCATCGAGGTTTCTCAGATGCCAGGCAGAGAATAAGGCGACGCTGGAGACCCTTCTGGTGGTGAAGTTACCTGCGTCTCCCTCTCTCTGTAAACTGTGGACTCTCAGTTTCTGTTTGTGGCTTGTCTCTGTAATTAATTAAGATTGCACCGTATTGCTCAGGGCTCAAATGATGTTTGCAACAAAGTATAATGTATTGATGGAGCTAATCAATGTCACTTAGCATTGATTTCACAGCCCCGTTCTCAGGGCTTGTATTCATCCACTGATAGGCAGTGTCTGGGCACTGTGCCTCTAGATAAGGGTGTGACCCGATGGAAACATTTGGCCTCTCACCTCAGGGTCGCCTTATCCAGGAGGCAACATGGGCATAGTCACCCCCAGAACCATGAGCACTTCAAAGTTAAAAAATGGCTTCAAAACCGGAAAAATAAGCTACAAACTTAAAATTAGCACCTTAATTATTAGTCAAAAAAGTTACCTTTTTCATCTTAGCCACGTGATTGCAACTCAACTAACATATTTCTTCATCAGTTGTATTTATCGTGTGATGCCACTGCATTTGACGTGCGATCTGCTGTGAGGTTTGGTGCTCAAGGCCTGGGAAAGCCTCACAGAGGTCCTCCTCCAGCCATCTCCCTACCCATCTCTACACTCTAAGTCAGGTTCAATCATCAACCGGGAGACCAGCCGTTCAAACCCGTTCACTTTCATCTCTAACACTGTAAGTCGGGTTCCATCATCAACCGGGAGACCAGCCGTTCAAACCCGTTCACTTTCATCTATAACACTCTAAGTCGGGTTCCATCATCAGCCAGGAGACCAGCCGTTCAAACCCGTTCACTTTCATCTCTAACACTCTAAGTCGGGTTCAATCATCAGCCAGGAGACCAGCCGTTCAAACCCGTTCACTTTTATCTCTAACACTGTAAGTCGGGTTCCATCATCAGCTGGGAGACCAGCCGTTCAAACCCGTTCACTTTCATCTCTAACACTGTAAGTCGGGTTCCATCATCAGCCCGGAGACCAGCCTTTCAAACCCGTTCACTTTCATCTCTAACACTTTAAGTCAGGTTCAATCATCAACAGGGAGACCAGCCTTTCAAACCCGTTCACTTTCATCTCTAACATGGTAAGTCGGGTTCCATCATCAGCTGGGAGACCAGCCGTTCAAACCCATTCACTTTCATCTCTAACACTGTAAGTCGGGTTCCATCAGCAGCAGGGAGACCAGCCGTTGAAACCCATTCACTTTCTGCAGCCTCATGATGTCTTCTTGATGTATTTCCACATCAGTTTGGAGGCAAGTAAGTTGCTGACTTAAGGTTCTGACATTTTCTTGGTCTTAATCTTGTTGTTGAGGTTAAAACTCTGCACCGATAACTTAGTTTCTAAATTTGAGTAAAAAGCACATCAGCCTCCCTGTCTAATCCTAAATGCTCTGAGCATTCCATGCTTGAAAATTAGGTGGCCAGTTTTCAAAATATGGGTAGCAGACAGGCAGCATGATATAAAGATAGAAAACGGTTAACAATTCAATCGTTATGCACACTTATCTCTACTACACAATCATTACAGACATTGATCTCTTCATTTCCTTAAAGGAAAAAAGTGGAATCACTAAATAGAATTACCAGCTTAGGCAAGTTAGGCATTGATTTGCCAAACCACTCTCTAGATTAATAATAAACTTCAAGTTTCTAGGATGTTGGACTCTCAGATCAATACCTTGTACCTTTAAAATACATCTTTTGTCGCTTTCACTCACATTAAAAGGCATTGTTTTCTGGCTTTAGTCCAACAGAAGTCATGATTTTAGAAGGCTGAAATAGTCTTTCTCAGTAGATACTAAAATTGCTTTGCAGAGAAGGAATCATGTGTCTCAGGTCTTGACTTCACAAGCCCTTGTCCTCAGTTCCTCACAACATAAGGTCCGAGTGGTTGGTACCAAATCCCCCAGGGCCTGGCACTGTGCCGAGTAGAGCTCAGTAACCTATTAAAATAGCCAACTCAGTAAAATAGAACAGGTTATGAATGAACAGGCTGTGATGTCTGAACATGGAGATGGAAAGTGTAAAAGGAAACCTTCTGCATGAACCTTTATCTTCTGTGTGAAACTTTATCTTCTGTGTGAACCTTTATCTTCCGCATGTCCCTTTATCTTCCGCGTGTCCCTTTATCTTCCGCATGAACCTTTATCTTCGGCGTGAACCTGTATCTTCTGCGTGAACTTTATCTTCCACGTGTCCCTTTATCTTCTGCATGAACCTTTATCTTCTGTGTGAACCTTTATCTTCTGCATGAACCTTTATCTTCCGCATGTCCCTTTATCTTCTGCATGAACCTTTATCTTCTGCGTGAACCTTTATCTTCCACGTGTCTCTTTATCTTCTGCGTGAACTTTTACCTTTTGCGTGAACTTTTATCTTCTGCATAAACCTTTACCTTCTGCATGTCCCTTTATCTTCTGCATGTCCCTTTATCTTCCATGTGAACCTTTATCTTTTGCGTGAACCTTTGTCTTCCACGTGAACCTTTATCTTCTGCGTGAACGTTTATCTTCTGCGTGAACCTTTATCTTCTGCGTGTCCCTTTATCTTCTGCATGAAACTTTATCTTCTGCGTGTCCCTTTATCTTCTGCGTGAACCTTTATCTTCTGCATGAAGCTTTATCTTTCGCATGTCCCTTATCTTCTGCATGAACCTTTATCTTCTGTGTGAACCTTTACCTTCTGCGTGAACCTTTATCTTCTGCGTGAACCTTTATCTTCTGCATGTCCCTTTATCTTCTGTATGAA
The DNA here is from genome assembly GCF_000001405.40 of Homo sapiens. Taxonomy (NCBI): domain Eukaryota; kingdom Metazoa; phylum Chordata; class Mammalia; order Primates; family Hominidae; genus Homo; species Homo sapiens. The sequence goes on along the minus strand of NC_000002.12, from coordinate 362,298 downwards.
CCTTTATCTTCTGTGTGAACCTTTATCTTTAGCATGTCCCTTTATCTTCTGCATGAACCTTTATCTTCTGCGTGAACCTTTCTTTCGCATGTCCCTTTATCTTCTGCATGAACCTTTATCTTCTGCGTGAACCTTTATCTTCTGCATGAACCTTTATCTTCTGCATGTCCCTTTATCTTCTGCGTGTCCCTTTATCTTCTGCATGAACCTTTATCTTCCGCATGAACCTTTATCTTCTGCATGTCCCTTTATCTTCCACGTGAACTTTTGTCTTTTGCGTGAACCTTTATCTTCCCCGTGAACCTTTATCTTCTGCATGAACCTTTATCTTCTGCGTGAACCTTTATCGTCTGCGTGTCCCTTTATCTTCTGCGTGAAACTTTATCTTCTGCATGTCCCTTTATCTTCTGTGTGAATCTTTATCTTCTGCATGAACCTTTATCTTTCACGTGTCCCTTATCTTCTGCATAAATCTTTTATCTTCTGTGTGAACCTTTATCTTCTGCATGAACCTTTATCTTCTGCATGTCCTTTTATCTTCTGCATGAACCTTTTTCTTCTGCGTGAACCTTTATCTTTTGCAAGTCCCTTTTTCTTCTGCATGAACCTTTATCTTCTGCGTGAACCTTTATCTTCTGCATAAACCTTTATCTACTGCATGTCCCTTTATCTTCTGCGTGTCCCTTTATCTTCTGCATGAACCTTTATCTTCTGTGTGAACATTTATCTTCTGCGTGAACCTTTATCTTCTGCATGAAACTTTATTTTCTTCATGACCCTTTATTTTCTGCATGAACCTTTATCTTCTGCATGAACATTTATCTTTCACGTGTCCCTTTATCTTCTGCATGAACCTTTATCTTCTGTGTGAACCTTTATCTTCTGCATGAACCTTTATCTTCTGCATGTCCCTTTATCTTCTGTGTGTCCCTTTATCTTCTGTGTGAACCTTTATCTTCTGTGTGAACCTTTATCTTCTGCGTGAACCTTTGTCTCTACCTTGGCAGGCACCTGCCTCTCTCTTGGCCTCTGGTTCTCCCCCACTCTCATTAACTGTACTCAATTTTCTCTTTAATATATTGAACAGTTTGTGTTAGGACAGTCCAAAGTTGATGCCAAGTGGCAAATTTTCTAAAGCTTTGGATTTTTCCTATATGTACATTAAGATAAAATACAGAAGAGGAATACAGGAAAGAATTGCCAAAATGTCTGTCACATAATATTGTAACGTTTAAAACACACACTTTATGTGTAGTGCAATGTGGAAAATACCTTCAGAAGTATTGATAGTATTTGTGAGAAAGCCCTCATTTTTACTGTATAAATAGATATTACATAATATTTATCATTGTAACCATTTTTAGGTGTGCAGTTCAGCAGCATTAAGTTCATTCACATTGCTGTGCAATCAGCCCCACTATCCACCCCCAGGGCGTTTTCATCTTCCCGAAGTACAACTCTGTATCTGTTAAACCATCACACTCCTCCCCACTCCCCCAACCCCTGACAGCCTTCATTCTACTTTCTGTCTCTGTGAATTTGACTCCTCTAGGGAACTTTGCACGGAATCACATATGTTATGCCTGGCTTCTTACACGTAATGTAGCGTCTTCAAGATTCATCCATGTTGAAGTATGTATCACAGCTTCATTTTCTAAAGGCTGAATAATATTCCCTTGTGTGTATACACCATGTTGTGTTTATCTGTTCATTCGTTGATGAGCATTTAGGTGGTTTCTACCCTTTAAATACCATGTAAAATAGTGTTTTGAACACTGTTGGGCACACATCTGTTCAAGTTCCTGCTTCCAATTATTTTCAGTATATAACCAGAAGTGGCACTACTGGATCGTGTGGGGATTCTATGTTTAGTTTTCTGAGGAGCCCCGATACTGTTTTCTGCAGCTGCTGCACCATTTCACATTCTCATCAGTGTGAAAGGGCTCCAATTCCTCCACATCCTGGTCACACTTGCTACTTTCTGTTTGCTTGATAAGAGCCACCCTGATAGTTGTGAGGTGGTATCGTGTGGTGGTTTTGATCTGATTTTCCTTTGACTAGTGGTGTCAAGCATCTTTTCACGTGCAATAAAGTTATTGGCCATCCATGTGTCTTCTTTGGAGAAATGTCCACTCAACTTCTTTGCCCATAGTTTAATTAGGTTGGTCCTTTTCTTTACTTGTTGCGCTGTAGGAGTCCTTTATATATTTTGGAAATTAATTCCTTATCAGATTTATAATTTGCAGATATTTCTTCCAATTATATGGATTGCCTATCCACTATGTTGATAATTTCCTTTGCTGCACAAAAGTTTTCAATTTTAATAAAGTCCAATTAATCTATTTTTTCTTTTGTTACCTGTACTTTTGATGTCATAACCAAGAAACTACTGCTAAATTTAATATCATGTAGCTTTTCCCTATGTTTTATTTTAAGAATTTTATACCTTTACTCTTACATTTAGGCCTTTGAACCATTTTGAATTACATTTTTGTATGTGGTGTGAGGTAAGGCTCCAACTTCATTTTTCTGCATATGGATATCGAATTTTTCCAATACCACTGATTGAAAAGACAGTCCAGAAGGTTCTCATTTAAAAAAATAATATTCAAAGGATGCATTATTACCAGTTTTTAATTTAAATGCTAATTTTTATGTTAAAATACAAAAATGTTTATCATTTTTCTGCACTTACCCTATGCCAGGCACTATAGTAGACACTTTGTACCTATAATCCCTAAGGCTCGCAGAAGCCCTTGGAAGTTTATTCTTTTAACAAATATCTGTTCAGTGTCAACTTATTTACCAGCTACTTTTATGAACACTGGATTTAGCATTGATTAAAAAGCAAATGAAAATCCCTGGTTTCTTGAAGATTAATTCTAGTTGGGGATATAAACAATAAATCAAGAAAATGTAGAGAATCATAGCTAATTAGTCCTGGGAAAATAAACAAAGGAAAGGTGATAAGGAGTGCAGGGCAGTGGGGGATGCAGTTTAAAACGCAAGCCCTGGGGCTCACAGCAGATGCCTCTGACTGTGGACCTGGAGCTGAGAGGAAGCTAGCAGGGGAAGTGGGAAGGTCACGTCATCCACAGCCTGGAGAGCAGGTTCAGGGAGGGAACAGGCCAAGTCGGCAGCAGCAGGAGGGGTCAAAGATAAGGTCAAAAAGTTAGTGGGGTAGGGGAGGGTGCAGACCTGCAGGGCCTGGAAGCTGATTCGAAAGACCTCGAGAGATAGGGGTTGTCATTCTCATCATTCTCCAGCACCCCACTTTACGCACCCCACACAGCTTTGAGAGGTTTGGTATCATGCCAGGATGCCACAGGGAGCAAATCCTGCAGGTGGATGAGAACCCAGGTTGGCCTCACTCCACAGCCTACACTTTTTTCCACTGGGCCCTACTAACCAGCCCCAAATGAGAGGGACACAGTGACTTTTAGGAAGTTGATTAAATCACAATGTGTTCACTGATTGCAGAGTGAAAGAGTAGCTTCTATTTTTTATCACCCAATACAGGGAATGTCATGCCTTCTGCCTGGAGTGCCCCTCTGGCCCTCTCTCACTAATTAATTTGTATTCATCTTTCAAGTGACACTTTTTCCAAGCACTGTCCTTGACCACTGGATCTAAATCAGTGCTGCTAATCACACCTGCCTGTTTACTAGCACCCTTGTTATAAATTTCAATTACATCTTGATCTCTGGCTTTATTCGAGTAACACATTCCACGGACACTGTGTTGGGAATCCCTAAGACCAGAGCCTGTGACTTGCTCCCAGGGTCTCCAGTGCCTCCACTGCTCCAGGGTCACCGTGGATGCTGGGAAAGGCAGAGCTCAATGATGTGTACAGGAACATACAACGCCAGACATGAGCCACATTGTCGGGCCCTGTTAAAACACGGGTACCTGGTATCTATTTAGAAGATCGTGATGTTTACACAGCAGCTTTTATTCCATGCCATGGTCGTGTGCCACTCAGCCCGAAAAATGCTTCCTTTCATCATGAATCTCAGCCCCAGCAAACACGACACTCCCTTAATGCCACTGAGCAGGACATCAGGGGCCTGGCTCCCGTAAAACACAGGAATCCTTACAATAATGAGCTGTGTTACAAATCCTACTGCATCCTGACATAAAATTCTATTTTCTCAACAACCACATTTTTGATGTGTGTTTTTCAGATACAATAAATATATTTTAGGATCAAGTAATGTCAATTAGTTTTGAAAACACACACAGGAGTGAGTCTGCTTCCTAAAACTCTTTTTTCACGACGGAACAGAGGAAGCAGCTCAGTGGGGATGGAGATGACCTGCAGGCTCTGGGGCCCTGGCTGCACCCTGGGTACTGCTGGGACTGACCTTAGGACTTGCTGTTAGGACTTACCCTCTTGGACCCAGATACTGGACCTAAGATACTGGGACAGTCTGCCTGAGCATCTTGAATTTTGTATGATCCCTAAACCTTTTTGCAGCTCAAAATTTTCATGATTCTAATTACATCACCCTCTGAAATTCCTGGTAATATTGTCATTTGTAATATGATATTGGCAAAGTCTCAAGCTAAAAAATATTCATGAAAGAGCCTTTTCCCCCTTTCCATGTGGACCATATGGATTTAGAGTCACTTTCAAGTACAATATTAGGGTTTGGGAACAAACTGCATTATTTTTTGGAACAACTACAGCATTTTTTTATGTGTACTTTGAGCATTTGTGGAAAAAATATACATACTAAAAAAATTGAACTGGTCTTCTGTGCTATTGAAGCTTTATAGCTCCATCAAAGATAAATTCAAAGGCATCAGTTTCTCAGCAAAATGACAGACACTGGAGTCATCAAAGGCAGAAAGAACCACACCACAGTTCATCGACCCACATCTGCCTCTCAGCCTCAGCATTGCTGACCATCTGGACTGGATGCGTCTCTGTTGTGGGGGATGTTCAGCCGCATCCCTGGCCTCCATCTAGTAGATGACGGTGCCGCCCCCGGCGTTCCCAAACAAAATGTCCCTAAAAAGGGCCAAATGTCTCCTGGCAAACCTGCCCATAGTTGGGAACCCCTGGATTACATGGAATGACTACATGCCCCATACCCTTGGAAGAAAGCCCCCTACCTGCCCTCCCACAGAGTGACAAAGGTGAACACAAGTCCTTGTCCCCACACGAATGCTCAAAAGACCACTTGCTGTTGCAGACTGTAGGTGAAATGAGTCCAGTACCTGCTGCCCAGTGCAACTGGCCGTACCCATGTAAGTAAGTCAGTTGCTGCAGCCTGTATCCGAGATTTAATTAGAAATCCAGAGAGGCTGACACAGCTGTCAAAAGTCACACAGCCAGTTAAAATTATTAATGTAATCTGTGTTCTCTCTAGATTATAAACTAAACCCCAAATTTTAGACTTGGAGGATCAAGTTAACAAAGTAGCTCAAACAAATAGTGAAAGCCTCTTCTTTATCATTAGAAATTTAAAATGTTACTGTTTCTAAACACTTAAATTTTTATGTAGTAAAATATTTTAAAAGTTTAAGTTCTGTCATATGAATTGACATTTATCAAATAATTACATGCCCAGGTTTTCCTAAATATCAATAGAATTTTGACCTAATTCAATTGTCTTTTCCTTCTCTAAGTTCCCCAACCCAAGCAAGTGAGAAAGGGTGTGGGCAGAAGACAGTGAGCGGAAGCGGCAAGTAGGAATTTAGGGAGCGACGTAAATGCAGTCGTGACACCGGAAGCGGCAAGTAGGAATTTAGGGAGCGACGTAAATGCAGTCGTGACACCGGAAGCGGCAAGTAGGAATTTAGGGAGCGACGTAAATGCAGTCGTGACACCTCTCCAGACTCCCTGAGGTCTCCCCCTCCTCCCCATGAAGCCATGAGTGAAAGGAGAAGCCAGAAGTGTGAACACGGAAGGCAGGGTCCACCCTGCAGGGCACAGACCCACAGCATCTTTCCTCATCGTGCGGCCGACGGAGCCGCAGTACAGAAAACATGCCCAGCTGTCCCTCCTCCCTCCGAGAACTCCTTCTCCTACAGAGAGGAAAGGAGCCTTGGAGCTCTCAGCAAACCTCCCTCCCTATGTCCAGATGCCTGTCATCCTCATTCTGTCATGTTTTGAGCTCTCACAGCAGCCAGAACACCACCTGCTTCTTGGCCTGCACAGCCTTTCTTGGACTATTCAGAGGCCACAACCTCAAGCAAACTTTGGGCAGGAGCGTGTGTGTGAAAGCCACGAGGGTGGTGTGGACCAGCAGTGTGCGGACCCCAGGGAGAGATAGTCACCACAGGTGCACGTGTGTACCGGGGCCGGGAAGAGACCAGAGGGGCAGTAGCATGTGTGGGGACCATGAGCAAGAATTCCATAGCAGCAAGAGGCATGCTCAGAAAGTCGTGAGAATGAAGTGGGCATCTGTAAGAACAGGAAATAGAATCTTCCCCAGGATCACCTGTGATCCATGGAAAGGGACTGGAGACACGGAAAGACAACAGGCAAAGAACGGGCGACTCCCCGGCGTTCACTCACATTCCCGCCGGCGGTGCACCAGCAACTTTTCTATCAGATGTCCACAGCTGTAAGCCTCTTTTGGGCCAGAAGAAAAGTGGTAACCTAACAGTTGACCTTCTCATTGCAAAATTATCCCCTTGAAGACACCCAATCAGTTTCTCTTTCTGAAATCATTCTTGGAAGGGTGGATTGTGTGATCGTACCCTGTTATTTCTTCTCCTCCTTTAAGATGATGCACAGCTCTGCTCATTGTCACCTGACTTGCAAGACTTTATTTTTTATTTTCACAATGCACATAGTTTATTAGGTGATTAATTATCCTTCTGTGGGGGAAAATCTTGCATCTGATGCTGTGTTTCTAGTCCAGTATGAATTATAGAGGCTTCTCAGGAAACTAAGAGTAAAATAGAACTTAGAAAAAATATGATCCAGCAATCCCACTGCTGGACATCTCTCCAAAGGAAAGGAAATCAGAATGTCAAAGGATGCCCGCACCCCACGATCAGCGCAGCAATGTTCACAATAACAGAGACATGGAATCAACCTAAGTGTCCACCAGCGATGGACGGGTAAAGAAAATGTGATATACATATGTACACACAAAAACATGCACACACGCATACACTCCTGTGCGTGCGCACACACAAGCACACATGCACACACACACATGCATGCACACAGACACACACATGCACACACAATGGAATACTATTCAGCCAAAAAAAAGAATGAAATTCTGTCATTTGTAGCAACGTGGATGAAACTGGAAGCATTAGGTTAAGGGGAATAAGCCAGGCACAGGAAGACAAACATCACATGTTCTCACTCGCATGTGGGAGCTGAAAAAGACGATCTCATGGAGGTAGAGGGTAGAACGATGGATACCAGAGGCTGGGAAGGGTGTAGGAGTGGAAGGATGAAAATAGGCTGGTTAGCGGACACAGTTAGATGAAAGGAATACATTCTAGTGTCTGTAGAACAGTAGGGTGACTATAGTTAACAACAATATATCGTGTATTGCAATATAGCTAGAAGAGAAGATTTGCAATGTTCCCAATACAAAGAAATAGTAAGTATTCACGGTGATGGGCATCCTAAATACCCTCATTTGATCATCACACATTCTATGCATGTATGCAAATATTGCATGTGCCCCACAAATATGTACAATATTATGTATCAATAAGAAAATAAAAAACCAACCATCTTGGGCTGAAAAGAATGTGTGCCGTCATTCCAGACCAAAGCAAAACAAACCAAAAATAAAAGATCAGTGAAGACTGACAACAAATAGAGTCGTGTGTACAATAATAACAAAGAAAAGTCTAAAATCTACCAGCAACTGGGCAAGGAGGACAATTGCCTACCCAGCAACCAAAACTTCATTTTTCCCCTAAAAGTTAAGTGTCAAAATGTCATGAAACAAGGCCTCCCAACATTTGGAAGAGAACGCATGACTACAGAAAGTTTTAAGCAGCAAGATGTGTTTCATCCAATAAGCATAGATAGCAGTGCTCAAAAACGCTCCCACTCGTGGGCCCTTCCTGAAAAGTATCCTCTAAGGGAAGTTCCCCTCCACCATGACGTGGATCAAAGTGAAAAGACCAAGAATGAAGAAATCATGATAGGAAACAACTACTAGTGAAAATCAGAAACAATTTAACATAGACATGTCTAAAGAAATCTGTTTACAAAGGCAGATTCAGACTTCAGAAGTCTGTTCAATCATGCACTAGATGATGAGAAATATCAGACTTTCTATTAAGGAACGGATTGCGTCTGCCTCCCCGCGATTTTTGTGTGGAAGTCCTGAATGCCCTATTGGAGACGGGGCCTTGAGGAGGCATAAAGCTTCCAGGAAAGCATAAGGGTGGGGCCCTCATCCAACAGGACCAGCGTCCTCATAAGAAGGGAAAGAGACACCAGAGATGAGGTGCACAGAGGAAAGGCCATGGTAAAAAGTTAATTCTAAATCATTATTTAAAATGCAAGCAGTTGACCCATATACAAACTGATATTGAAATGTATTTTAACATTGTAATAATTTTAAAAGTATTATAATTGTACAGTAACTGATAAATATATAAAAAGAACACACTTAAAATACATCCAAGGAAATATATAAATGTTTTTATATGGTTAATATAGTTTTTTCTCTCAATATATAACATGAATTAAAGCATTAAGTATAATAAACGAAAAATTCTAAAATTATTTTCAAAAAGATTCATGACTATGGAGTCTAACTGTAAGGAATTTATTTTCAGAATGACAGATTCATTTCTTTGAAAAGAGAAAAAAGTCTAAATGAATGAGACTGTGGAGCTGTTAGGAAACACATAACGAGAATTGTTTAATTTTACTCTGATGATAAAAGAACTCATTGATTATAGAAGATCTCCAACCTGTATGAAACTATAAGGTAAGAATATAAAAAACATTGTAAATAAGAATTTACAGTGTAATTGTAAAAATAAACATTGTAAAAAAGAGTAAGCTAACTTCTCAGAGTAGCCTTTGCTAATATTTGGGTATATTTGTATTTTTTGTTTAGGAATAATAATGATAATAGTAATGAGAACTATAATAACAATAAAAACTACCATTCATTGAAGAGTTGTTGTGCACTGGAAGCCAGGTCTGTGATTTCATTTAATGCAACATCAATTCAAGGATGTAGGTAGCAGATGGGGAAATTGAGGCTCAGGAGGCAAGCGAGGCTCCATTCAGTCAGGGTGCTGGGGCTGGGAGCCACACTTAGAGCTCTTTCTGACCACAGACTCACTCAGCCACAGCAGCATCCCCACATCCTGCAGGCATCTTGGAAGTCATTGAAAACTGCTCTGCATACATTTTTTCTGATTTTTTACTAGGCAATCTGCCATGAGCAGTTACACATGGCTTTAAATGGTTTTAAAAAATATTTATGTCTGTACAGCATTCCATTTTAAGCTATGCCATATTATTTTTACTTTTTCTTCCATGGCTGGACAGCTAGGTGATTTTCCATGCATTAGGCTACAAAAATGCAACACTGAACAACTTCGTAAATATATAAACCCACAGAGATGTGCACACGCCTCTGACTATTAAGATATATTTCTAAAACTGGAATTACTAGGTCAAAAGGTGTGCACATGTTTAAGACTAAAAATATTTTGTCTAATTACCTCCCAAAATTTTGACCAATCTGCATTCCCACCAGCTGTTTATGAGAATGTGCATTCCGCTGCGTCCTGCAGCACATTGATGAGGACTACTGTGAGAACCGTCCACTTGGTGATGTAGCCAGATTTTAACTTTAATGTATTTTATTTCTAAGAAGCATACATGTTTTCTTACTTTTTAAAGCAATTTATTTTATTTTTGAAATTTTTGGTGATTCACTTGTATTTTTCTTATTAATTTGCAATGGTTCATTATATATTATGGAAATTAACATTTCTGTTTTGCATATGGACAAATATTTTTATTAATCCATTATTCATTCTTAAAACTGTTTTGATGTTTTGAAGACAGATTTTAAGTTGTAATATATGTTAAACCTTGATGTTTGGTTGCTATATATACCTAAGCCCTAAAATATATACCTTACCAAAAATCTAAGACACAGGCCACTGCTTTCAAAAGATTGTGGTTCCCTGCTTTAATAGAAAGTAATTCCATCTCTACCAGTCAATAAATTCATACATAAAAATTGGCTGGGTGTGGTGGCACCTGTGGTCCCAGCCACTTGGGAGGCTGAGGCAGGAGACCTGCTTGTGCCCAGAAGTCTGAAGCTGCACTGAGTCGTGATCACACCACCGCACTCCAGTCTGGATAGAAAAGCCAGATCCTGTCTCAAAAAAAAAAAAAAAAAAAAAAAAGAATGAAAGAAAAAGAAAAAGGCAATTGAATTTCCACATTCTTTTTCATCCTAAATTTAATTTTAAAAAAATCCCAACCAAGTTTTATAGCTTTAAGCCTCATATCTTTAGTCTATTTTACATTGATTGTTGTCCATGGTATGAAAAAAAAGGCTCTAACTTCATTCTTCTGGACATCCAGTCTCCCAACACCATTTGCTGAAGAAACTGTCCTTTCCCCATTGTGTGCTCTTGGCACCTTTGTTGAAAACCAATAAACTATAAATGCACGAATTTATTTCTGGCCTCTCAGTTCTGTTCCATTGGGCTTTGTGTCTGTTTTTATACTAGTATCATGCTGTTTTGATGTGTATATATTTACAGGTTTGTAACATATCTTGAAGTCAGATAATGTAATGTGCCCAACTTTGTTCTTTTTGCTCAAGACTGCTTTAGCTATTTGAGGTCTTTTGGGGTTCCAAATTAAATTTTAGGAATACTTTTTCCATTTCTGTGAAAAATGTCAGAGGAATTTTGATAGGGATTGAATTGAATCTACAGATTGCTTTAAAGAAATTATGGGGGACACACTCCATGACATTAATCTGGGTAATGATTTTTTGGAGATGACCCTAAGAGCATGGCAAAAAAAGCAAAAATAGACAAATGAGATTGCATCAAATTAAAAAAAAAAAAACTTCTATACTGAAAAGGAAACAACAGCATGAAGAGAAAACCCATGGAATGAGAGAAAATATTTGAAAACCATACATCTGATAAGACGTTAACATCCAAAATGCATAAGGAACTCAAAAACTCAATAGCTATAAAACAAATAACCTAATTTAAAAATAGGCAAATATCTGAAGAGACACGTTTCCAAAAAAGACATACACATGGCCAACGGTTATATTTTTTTAAATGTTCATCACTAATCATCAAGGAGATACAATAAAAATCACAATAAGATATCATCTTACACCTGTTAGAAAGGCTATTATCAAAAAATGGAAGATGAGTGTTAGTAAGGAATTGGTGGAAAAGGAATCTTTGCACACTGTTGGTGAGAATGTAAATTGGTACAACCATTATGAAAAGTGATATTTTTGTTTTTTTTTTAGACGGAGTCTCGCTCTGTCCCCCAGGCTGGAGTGCAATGGCACTATCTCGGCTCACTGCAACCTCCACCTCCTGGGTTCTAGCAATTCTCCTGCCTCAGCCTCCCCAGTAGCTGGGATTACAGGCGCCCCCCACAACATCCGGCTAATTTTTTTATTTTTAATAGAGATGAGGTTTCACCATATTGGTCAGGCTGGTCTCAAACTCCTGTCTTCAGGTGACCCACCCACTTCAGCCTCCCAAAATGCTGGGATTACAGGTGTGCACCGCCGTGCCTGGCCCTCATTATGAAAAGTTTTGAGTTTCCTCAAAACATTAAAAATAGAACAAACATATTACCCAGCAACTCCACTACTGGGCATATCCAAAGGAAATAAATCAGGATCCAAAAAATATCTGTAGTCCTGTGTTCATTGCAGCATTGTTTACAATAACCAAGGTGTGGCATCCACCTGAGTGCCCCCAATGGATGAACTGATCAAAGAAACATGCATGGTGCACAATGGCATACCATTGCCATTCAGCCTTGAAAAGAAGGAAATCCTGTCATTTGTAACAACATGAGTGAAGTTGGAGGACATTATGTTAAATGAGATAAGCCAGGTACAGAAAGACAAATGCCATATGATCCCACTTCAACGTGGAACCTAAGACAGCTGAACTCAGAGAAGCAGAGAGTGGAAGGGTGGGTACCAGGGCCAGGGAGAGGGCAGGGGAGATGTTGGTCAAAGGATGCAAAATTCAGCTGCACAGGAAGAATGAGTTCCAAGGTCTGTTGCACAGTACGGTGACTATAATTAGTAGCAACTTAACATATACTTGAAAATTGCTAAGACGGTATATTTTAAACGTTCTAACCACAAAAAAATGGTAAGTATGTGAGACAATGGATGTGTTAATTAGCTTGATTTAGCCATTTCACAATGTATGTATATAAATATGTATCAAAATATCATGTTGCCCATCATAAATATATAAATTTTACAATTAAAAAATTAACTAATGTTAAAAATTTCAATGCAATATAAAACGGTCATTGAAAAATAATATCATAGTCAAGAAAATGCAGTAAAAACTGATTTGTCTGGGTTTTGTCATCTGGAGTTCTGTTACTTCTAAAGTTGCATATCTGACAAATTATTTTGACATGCAGAGATAAATTTTAGGTAAACAACCGGACATTGGGGTTTTGGGTGAGGCAGTATCTCCTAGGCTGCATGATGGCGTCACTGCAAATAGACCAGCTTTCTCCCGAGCATGATGCTGACCCTGCAGTGCACTATGATTCAGGTTCTTTGTATTTTCATATATTTGAATTATTTTTTTTTTTTGAGACAGGGTCTCTCTCTGTGGCCTAGGCTGGAGGGCAGTGGTGGGATCACAGCCTACTGTCACCCTGACCTCCTGGCCCCAAGTGATCCTCCTGCCTCAGCCTCCTGAGGAACTGGGACCACAGGCACACACCAACACACCCAGCTAATTTTTACAGACATTTTTAGAGATGGGGGTCTCACTATGTTGCCCAGATTGGTCTCAAACTCCCGGCTCAAGCGATCCTTCCACCTCAGCCTCCTAAAATGCTGGGATTACAGGCATGAGCCCCCATGCCCGGCGTCTTTGAATTCTCTGGGAACGAACTGATGGTGACGTCGGGCTGTAATGTAGCCACCGCTCTTCCCTGCACTTCTCTTCTAGCTCCACCTCTACCTTCCTTCAGGACTCAAATAAAACATAGTCTTCATCAAAAAGAATTGCTATTATATTCTTAATTATTCAGATAATTTATCTTCCTCAGCCAGACTTGGAAAAATATTATTTTTTACTTCAATATGAGTGTTAGAGTTTGAATATTTATTTTCAAAAATACAGCTCCCATTTTCCAGGGCATATTTTTATGAAAGAATTTGTCTGTTTCAAAGACACATGGGTGGTGTGGTTTTTTATGGTTTTGGTAAATTGCAGCTGACAAAATAATGAGGATATTAAGCCTGCGTCCTCGGAGAATATGAAGAATGGCGAGGAGGGGAAGAGTCTGACCAAGTGTGAGATACAGCCAGCTCTGGTTCTCGGTCTGACCTCTGACATCTGAGGTTTGGATTCGTTACTCTTGTGAATTCCTTGTTCTAAGAACAACTTGAGAAAAAATGAGGGATGTCTCCTAGGCATTGAAGGGCTCTTGAAGGTCAAAGGCACATGACTCAAATTTGCATCAGACGAACAGTTCTTTGTGACTAAAGGAAATGTCCTAGATAAAATATGCTGTTGCTGTGTTTGACTCACGTGTGGAAAAGCCATAGAGTCACCGACAAGAAATCATGTTTGAAAGGGTCTATTTCATCCTAGGTGCCCTCTTGGGGGTGAGGAGATTTTACTGTTTTCTAATACCCAACCAATTATATCTCAGTTGTCAAAACAAGCAGGCTTCAGCCTAAGAATGAGGATGTAACCAGAATGTAAAGGATGTAAAGCAGTTACCAAATTTTCTTCTGGTAACAAATCAGGATTATCAAGGTACATTTATTATATTCTCAATTATGTTATTTTTTATTTTTGCAAGATACTGTATGAGAAGTATAGGGATACTATGAAAAGGAAAGTATTTCAAACAATATCTGGAACTACAGAATTTATACAACGATATCTGGAACTTCAGAATTTATAAAATTCATTATTCAATTCAATCAAGCAAACTAAATATCATAGCATTTTAGGATACAATCAAAGGCATATATTAAAATAGATTATCTGGATGGGAATAAGATATAAAATCACTACTTAAGGTACACGATTTTTCAACAAACATCTAGGAAGGAAAGGTGGCAAAAGAATGGGAGAGTTGAAGAAAAACAAAGAAAAAATAAGAAGAAAAGAAACAGAAGATGAGGAGGAAGAAAGAAGGAAATTACCGCATGCCAAGCCCTGCACTAACTTAGAAGGGGAGACAGAAGTGAAGACCCAGCCCTGAAATTAAGAAACTGACATTGGAGCCAAGTGGCAGACACTGGAAAAACTCACAGCAATACAGTGTGGTAAGGAGGGAAAAAGACTTTACATACACACACATTTCATTTTAATTATTTTAATTGTCCTCATAGCGAAACTGTATAGTACGATAAATCAAATTCTAACAGATAATTACCTAAAATGAAAGAAAATTAAAAATTGTATTTGATTTTCATCTATTATTGGAAGAGATCACTTTCAAAAGTGTAAAATGAGAGTTTTACCCTGTAATATCTTCAGAAGCATATGAAGAAAGAAGAAATACACCAACTTAAAGAAAATAGATATAAATTTATATGCATGCACAACAGTTTTTTAAAGAACATCTTAGGAAAATATAACTACTTTAAGAAAGATACTATTTTTTATAAAGCCCTAAATATTATTAACAAAGACATAACTGTAAGAAATCATTACTTTGGTAACCCAAGTGATAAGTGGAAATTAACTTCAAAAGGAAAACTAATTCAATAGCTGAAGATAATGTTACAGAGAAAAATCAAAAGTCAACGAATGTTATGCTCTTGATACATACAAAACAAAAGCATAATAAAATAATACTTAGGAAATATTTAACGAGAAAAAAGCTAAATGTGATTCGAAATTACTATTAGAAAAAAGAAAAAGTAACCGTTCATATTAAGTCACATTTCATATGTCTATACGGTCTGTAAAAGAAGTTAGATAAAAAAGACAAATGTTTCACTATTCTCATATTTTAAAACCTATAAATCTAGTATGTATTCATTGCAGCATTACAGAGTTGCTGACCACGTATAGTAAATAATCTATTATGGAATTGAAAATGCCTAGAAACAGAAATCCATTTATGAATGCCTGTTTTCCTTAATTTGATTAATATCCATTTCTGTGAAATGCCCAACTAGCAAATGTGTGACCAATGGCTACACAAGTAACTAGCTTTGGGTCTTCACCTGAATTATTTAAATACAATTCAGTCTAGGTGACATGACAAAGATGTTAACATTTTTAAAGATTAGCACCATCACTTAGCACACTGAATCCATCAACACATCAAAAGGATTGTATACCATAAAGGGATTAGATAACAGGAGATTTATCCCCAGAATGCAAGGGTAGCGCAATACAAAAAAATCAATCAATGTAATCACATTCATAGAATAAAGGAAACACACACACAAGCAACTCAATAGATGCAGAAATAGCATTTGACAAAGTTCAATGACATTTTATGATAAAAACACTCAACAAACTAGGAATAGAGGGGAACATGATAAAGGACAATTTCAAAGTCCAAAACTAACCTCATATTTTATTGTGAAAGCTTTCATCCTAAAGTCCAGAACAAAATAAGAATGAACATTTCACACTTCTATTCAGTATTTTCCTGGATATCTTAAGAGCAATAGGTAAGAAAAAGAAATAAGAGCATCACATTCAAATTGGAAAGGAAGAAGGAAAACTATATTTGCAGATGACAGGACTTTGTATACAGAAAATCCCATAGAATATACACACACGACACACATGCCCACAAAACAAACAAGCAAAAATCTACTAGAGCTTCTAAACAAATCCAGTGATGTTTCTGGGTTCAACATCAAGATCAATATCCGAGAAACAGCTGTGCTTCTATACAACAGCTATAAATAATTTGAAAAGGAAAGTAAGAAAGCAATTCCACTTACAATAGTATCCAAAAGATTAAAATACCTAGAAAGAAATTTAACCAGAGAAGTGAAAGACTTGTACACTGAAACTACCAAACATGCTGAAATTAAAGATCTAAATAAATGGGAAGATATCCCATGTTTATGAACTGCACTTAATATTGTTAGTATGAGAATATTCACCAAAGTGATCTACAGATTCAATGCAATTCCTGTCAAAATTCTAATTGTCTTTTTTGCAGAAATGGAAAAGGTGATTCTCAAATTCATCTGGAAATGCAAAGAGTCCCAAATACCTAAAACGACCTTGAAAATGAAAAACAAAGTAGGAAGACTCACACTTCCCAATTTCAAAACTTTCACCCTAAGGTCAAGAACAAGATAGAAGAACACTGCGGATGAGAATGTCATATGAGGCAGTCACTGTGGAAAGTAATCAAAACGGTGTCATCCTGGCATAGGGATAGACGTGGACCAATGGAATAGAATTGCAGTCCAGAAATAAGCCCAAACATCTATGGCCAAATGATTTTTCACAAGGGTACCAAGACTGAATGGGGAAAGAAGACTCTTCAATCCCTACCTAACATACACAAAAAGTTAACTCAAGGTTAATCAATGACCTAACTATGAGCTAAAACCAAAAAACTCTTAGAAGAAAGCACAGGTAAACCTTCTGATGTTAGATTTGGCAATGAAGTCTTAGATTTGGCATGAAAAGAACAGGCAAGAAAAGAAAAAAACAGATACATTTGACTTCATAAAAATTGAAAACTTTTGAACATCAAAGAACATTATCAAGAATATGAAAAGGCAATCTACGGAATGGGTGAAAACACTTGCAAAATTATATATGTCATAAAGGTTTCATATTTAGAGCAATTTTAAAGAACTCTTACAACTTAACAACAAAAAAGGCAAAAAATATTTTAAAAATGAGCAAAGGACATTTCTTCACATAAAATATACAAACGGTCAACAAGCACATGAAAAGATGTTCCCTGTCACTGGTCATTAAAGAATTGCAAATCAAAAACCACAATGAGATACCTACTGCTTCACACCTACTGGAATGGCTTTCATTAAGAAAATGAAGAATAAAAAGTGTGGACAATGATGTGGTGAAACAGGAGCAAGAACACTGCAGATGAGAATGTCATATGATGCAATCGCTGTGGAAAACACCCCAGCAACTTCTCAAAACGTTAAACACGAGATTATTATATAATCCAGCAGTTACTCTCCTAGATATATATCCAAGAGAAAT
Source organism: Homo sapiens (assembly GCF_000001405.40). Taxonomy (NCBI): domain Eukaryota; kingdom Metazoa; phylum Chordata; class Mammalia; order Primates; family Hominidae; genus Homo; species Homo sapiens. Next base: position 344,904 of record NC_000002.12, on the reverse strand, counting down.
AAAAACATGTGTCCACACAGAAACTTGCACACAAATGTTTATAGCAGAATTATTTACAATACCCAAAAGGTGGAAACAGCCCAGATGTCCATCAACAGATAAATGGATGAACAAATTGTGGTGCACATTCAATTAAATATTACTTAGTCATAAATATTATTTCGCTATAACATGGATGAATCTTAAAAACATTATGCCCAGTAACAGAAGCCAGGTACAAAAGGTCACATAGTGAATTATTTCTTCTATGCGGTTTATCTTGAACAGACAAATCAATAGAGACAGAAAGTGGATTAGACATTACCAGGGAGAAGAGACTCCCTCTATTTCCCATCCTCTCATTCTAGAATTCTGGTTTATTAACATAGTGGAGTGCCAGCACTAGTCGTCTAATTTGTGTATGTTTTTCTTCCCTATTTTTCATCTCTTTGTCTTTTAGCTCTAGCTTCCAAAAGATTTCAACAATGTTTTCCAACTCTTTCACTGAGTCATAACTTTTTGTCATATATGGTTTTAATTTCTAAATGTTCATCTTTATTCTCTGAATGTTTCTGTCCCATAATATCTCATTGCATTACATGATTACTTAGGTACAAAGTGTTTTTCTGGGGTAATAAAAACGTTTTTAAAATACAAGTTGCTAGAAATTGCACAACATAATGAATGCACTATCACTGAATTCCACTTTAATAGGGTTGATTATATGTTATGTGAATTTCAACTTGATAAAAACATAAATAAATGGAAATGGAATATTTTTTAAATTTTCCTTTTAAGACAATCTTGTTTTCTGATAAATGCCACAGGTTAAAATTACTACTTTGAAGAAAAAATAGACAAGGATTCTGTTCTTGCATAAAATAACCATTCTGTGGGGAGCTGTACAGAGCCACCTGGGACAAACCTCAAAACTTTAAAGAAGAGAGGGTGGGAAAGGAGGAGCAGGAATAGGAAACCCAATTTGTGACTCACGAAGATGAGCTCCCTAAGTATGATTCTACCAACGCTGTCCACACATCGAGACTTAGTCCAATGATGCCTGTTTCCTCTCGATATGCTACAGGTAAACATATTATATATTCTACATTACTTAGACATATACTGGAGAAATAAACTTTAACAGAATAAAGTTGTCAAATTATACAAGTATGAAATAAACTGAAGAAATGAATCAGAAAAGAAAAACGAAACCAGAAAATGGCACTAACTGACCCCATCTTTGGCCCTAGGATAGAAGGTATTTGCGAATTCACCTGCTCACTAGAATTTGGTGGCAACCCCAGCATCAACATTTGCAGTACTTCCTGGGTCACTCATGGCCAAGTGCAGAGTGGTGAAAACTCTGAGCCTCCCGCATGCATGTTCACACGCCTGCCTCTTGCTTCTGCTGCCTTCTGTAAACAAGCATCCTTTTGCAGCATATTTCCTGCCACATTTTTGCATTTTTGCACTTTTTGTTGCTGATTTCTGTCTGGCGTGCCTTCCCCAGGCCTGATGCTGAAGTGCTGTCTAGCATCCCTGAGCAGAAAAAGTCAAAGTCTATAATGAAATCACACTCACATACACACAAACAACTTTGTCAGGAGGGTTTATCTTTCATTTGTCTTCATGTATTTTTAGTTTTAATCTTTATTTTTTACCAAAGCTATCCTTGCACAGAGGCAACCCTTCTTCCTCCTTTACCAACACTTTGGACAATAGCTCCCTCTTTCTATATCACATGCTTGCGATGACCCTTTTCTCTTGAGCTCCTACCTAGGCAGCCCAGGACTCAGCCTGCTCCCGCCCCCAGGCCCCATCATCCTCAAATGGTTGCACTGTAACTTGGGTTAGATCAATATTCAACATTTACGCTTTTGTGGTTGTACAAATTCAGTTGACAGATACAATGCAGAATAAACCATGAGCCTGTTATTTAACAAGGATTTTGTTGTTTCAAGAGTTAAGAATTGTTTTTAATTTGGTTATTCTCAACTAATACAATGCTAAATCTTCTCTCAAAGATTTCAAACACATGCAATTTCTCCCATTTCTTCCTGAAGAGGGAAGCATCTAGACAAGCTATCCTCCACTGGATGCACAGACACCATTCTGAGACCTCCCTGACCCACCATCCTGGGAAAGCCCTTTCCCCTTTCTCAAATCCCTGCTTCCTTCCTTCCTGGTCTTCCCTCCACTTTGGTGAGGTGCCTGCTCCAGCGGCTTCCTCAAAACGAGTGTAGAGGTGAATGTTGTCTGAAAATGCCTGATAATACCTGAGAATGTGTGTAGGCTGATTGAGAGTGGGCTAGCTGTAGAATTTGCAGGTGGAAACCCTTTCACGGCCACGCTGGGCTGGCCTCATGGCTGCCCTGCAGATGGCTCATTGCTGGGCCCACGCGTTTATCTGCAGCCTCCACAGCTTTGCACACTAAACTGAAGCTTCCCAGTGTTGTGTCTTAGGTTGGGCTCTTGTTTTTTTATTTCAATCAGAAAAATAATGTCTTTTAGTTCTGGAAATTTTTTCTTGAATTATTTTAATGATGTAATTCCCTGTATTTCCTCTGCCTTCTCCTTCTGGATTCCTTATTTATTAACATAATGAACCTCCAGGACTAGTTGTTTAAGTTTTGTATTTTTCCTTTCATATTTTCTGTCTTTGCCTTTTAGCTCTGGCTTCCAGAAGATTTCTTCAACAATATTTTTCAACTCAAATTTTAACTTGTGATCACAGGTTTTTAATTTCTAACAGCTCCTCTTTATCCTCTGAATGTTTCTAATAACATCTTGTTCTCATTTGATGGTTATGACATCATCTCTAACCCTCCTCGGGATATTAATGATTATGCATTTTAGTTTTCTTCTGCTTAAAAAGTCTTCAAATTTTTGTATTTGTTCTTTATTGTTTATTCCATTCTCTATCTTTCCAGCTATGAATTTTCCTAATATGCGCAGTAACTGTTGGTGCTCTGTTCCTAGTTTAAATGAGAAGTATTAAACAGCTGACTGATCAGGAAATACAGACACACTGCATTCCAAGGCACCGTGTCCCCCCTGCAGTGGGCCCCAGATACATTCAGTCCTTCAGAGGCGGAGCACAGACTTCCCTTCAGTTGCTCATTGAAACCTGAGTTCTAGCAATGTTCTTTCTCTTCAAGCATCTCCAGGACTAGATTTGGAAAACGCAGCCTCTCTGCTTCCTTCTTTAAGGCGACCGACTCCCTGAGGGCTGGGAGGCTGTCATTAACCCCTCTCCAACCACAGCTTTCTTCCTCTGGGGCCAGTGGAGTGAACGCTGCCATCCATGATGCCGAGATTCATCTGTCCCAGGATCATCTGGGATGCAGCCTGAAGCGTCTCTTGGTAAAAAAGAAGAACTACAAGTTAAACTTCTCTAAGGGAGTGGGAGGCTGCGCGTGGTGGTACACGCCTGTAATCCCAGCTACAGGGGAGTCTGAGGCGGGAGAATCGTTTGAACCCAGGAAGTGGAGGTTGTAGTGAGCAGAGATTGCACCACTGCACTCCAGCCTGGGTGACAGAGCAAGACTCTGTCTCAAAAAAAAAAAAAAGAGTGGGTGTAGGTGGGAGAGGGGAGAGAGTGTGGGGGTGGGGAACAGCTCAAGTGCAGGTTGGCATGCCCGGAAAGGGACTTGGTCCCTGCACTCAGGATCAGCCATGCAGCTTCCTGAAGCCTCCACACCAGCCCACCCAGAGTACGCTGGCAACCACCCAAGTCCAGGCAGGCACCTGCAGGGAGATGCTGCCAACAGGAAGAAGATTTGGATGCTTGGTCGATTTCAGAGAAAATAAAATTTTATATAAAATTCATATACACACAAAGAGTTTTAGAATCACTGTCAGGTGGAACATTCTACAGAATCAATACTGTAAATAGGGATCAGTCCAGCGACACTTGTGCTGCCTAGCACGGAGGGCTGTCATTCAACGTGCTTGCCCTTTCTTCAATCGCAGTAAACAGAGGCACCACAGCCTTGGAGTGCAAAGCACCGGCTTTTCAGGAGACCCAGCTGAGAGGTACAGATTGTGTATCCATAGAATTACATTTTTAAACATGTTCAAGATTATTTTTAACCTTTTATACTCCTTTCTGGTTTTCACTGTTCAGAGGCTATTTTAAAGCTCTTCCTCCTTCATTAACTATTGGAATGCAGAGGACACTTAACTGCAAATTGTGAATGAAGGAGGAAGAGGCCACCACAAGCAGGGAAGCCTCTGAGCTGATTCCAAGGAGAGAGGGGCACACCTGAGTGAAAATAGCACACCTGGGTCAGGGGAGGGGCACACCTGGGTCAGGGGAGGGGCACACCTGGGTCAGGGAAGGGGCACACCTGGGACAGGGGAGGGGCACACCTGGGTCAGGGAAGGGGCACACCTGGGACAGGGGAGGAGCCCACCTGGGTCATGAGAGGGACACACCTGGGGCAGGGGAGGGGCACAGCTGGGTCAGGGGAGGGACACATCTGAGACAGGAAAGGGCCAAGGCGGCGGACAACCCCCTGGATCACTGTCCATCCAGACCCCATCCTAGTTCTCATGGCCCCTGGCTCCAGTGTATCACCTGTGCTGTGACCCCCTTGGTATTCTGTTCCCATGCTGGCCTGGGGCACTGGCCCCAGCTTATGTCTGCCTGCAGTGATTGTATCTGTGTGACGTGCAGTAGCAGCATCTTAGATTTTCAAGTTTGTCCTCTGTTTCTCCCCCTGCAAACCAGACTGCATCATTGCTGGTGGTTGCCCCACTGCACTCTCTCTTGCTGCTGAGCCTGGCCTCCTCTAGGGGGTGGTTTCAGTCTGCACTCTGGAGCCTCTTCACTGCTAGATTTGGGGTAGGCGAGGGGGTACTATTCATGCTTTCTCATGTAATAAAAACTGAGTAGCATCTTGTTTTCGTAAACATTCTTTAGGAATCTTCCATCCTGGATGCATCTTCTTTCCCCTTTAAATTCCTCCATGCTGTGCTCAGGCCTCACCTCTGCTGTTCCACTGCCTGGGCCGCCTCTCAAGGAATCTCACTCCTTCCAGCTTCATCTTCACTCCTCTTGGATGCAGTGGTTCCACTGCTTCTTTGCGAGCCTCAGCTGAAGAGAGACGTTGTGGACTTGGATGTCATCGTGAGAGTTTGGAAAGTGGATGGAGGGGAGGGAGTACAGGGGAGAGGGAGGTGCACAGCACTGTTCCCCCTACTCCTACAGTGGGGAGCTGACTGGTTAACACAAACTGGGATGGAACCCAGCAGTGCGGGGGAGTCTGAGAAAATAAGAATGAATATTAAACAAAGATGTGATGATTGGAAGAAAGTGAGATTTGACAGGTCCAGCTGAGGATTTATTTCACTTTAAAGCATAAGAACCAAACACAAAAGTAACGTGTCTTAATTCCCTTCAAAAGTGTGCATCAGACATTGTGGACTCCTATTTTGTGTGAGTGTGTGTGTGTATGTATTTCTATATCTAAGTACAGATCAGATGCTGTTACTTATTTTTTGTGGTTTTACTTATTTTTTGAGATATTTTTAATTATTTTTTGTTTTTACTTATTATTGTTTTTCAGAGTTTTTCTTTTTCATTGAAGTAAACTACTCATGCAGTCAAATGCCCGTATCTGAAGGGTACATGTTGGAGTTTGGTGAACACATGCATTCATAGAAATACCATGCCAGTATCTGAAGAGTACATGTTTGAGTTTGGTGAATGCATGCATTCGTGGAACTATCATCCCAGTATCTGAAGGTACATGTTGGTCTTTGGTGAACACATGCATTCATGGAACTACCATGCCCGTATCTGAAGGGTACATATTTGAGTTTGGTAACAACTCATGTATTTATGGAACTACCTTGCTAGTATCTGGAGGGTACTGTATTAGTCCATTTTCATGCTGCTAAGAAGAAACACCTGAGACTGGGTAATTTATAAAGGAGAGAGGTTTAATGGACTTACCATTCCACATGGCTGGGGATACCTCGCAATCATGGCAGAACGTGAAGGAGGAGCAAAGACATGTCTTACAGGGTGGCAGGCAAGAGAGCATGTGCAGGGGAAATGCCCTTTATAAAACCATCAGATCTCGTGAGACTTATTAACTATCAAGGGAGCAGCATGGGGAAACCCACTCCCATGATTTGATTACCTCTCATTGGGTATGGAAACTACAATTCAAGATGAGATTTGGGTGGAGACACAGCCAAACCATGTCATTCTGCCACTGGCCCCTTCCAAGTCTCATGCCCTCACACTTCAAAACCAATCTTGCCTTCTCAACAGTCCCCCAAAGTCTTAACTTATTTCGGCGTTAACTCAAAAGTCCACAGTCCAAAGTCTCCTCTGAGACAAGGGAAGTCCCTTCCACCTATTAGCCTATAAAATCAAAAGCCAGTTAGTTACTTTCTAGATAGAATGGGAGTAGAGGAATTCGGTAAATACACCCATTCCAAATGGGAGAAATTGGCCAAAACAAAGGGGCCACAGACCCCATACAAGTCTGAGATCTAATAGGCAGTCATTATACCTTAAAGTTCCAAAATGATCTCTTTTGACTGCATGTCTCACATCCAGGTCATGCTAATGAAAGAGGTGGGTTCCCACAGCCTTGCGCAGCTCTGCCCCTGTGGCTTTGCAGTGTACAGCCCACCATCCTGACTGCTTTCACAGGCTAGTGCTGAGTTTCTGCAGCTTTTCCAGGTGCATGGTGCAAGCAGTCAGTGGATCTGCCATTCTGGGGTCTGCCTAGACCCCAGCTTCACTAGGCAGTGCCCCAGTAGGGTCTCTGTGTGGGGGCTCTAATCCCACATTTCTCTTCTGCACTGATTTAGCAGAGGTTCTCCATGAGGGCTCTGCCCCTGCAGCACACCTCTGCCTGGATATCCAGGCACTTTCATACATCCTCTGAAATCTAGGCCAAGGTTCCCAAACCTCAATTCTTGTCTTCTGCACACCTGAAGGACTGGAATCACGTGGAATCTCCCAAGGCTTGGGGCTTTCACCCTCTGAAACCATGGCTCAAGCTGTACATTGGCCCCTTTTAGCCATGGCTGGAGCAGTTGGAATGCAGGGAACCAAGTCCCAAGGCTGCACACAAAAGGGGGGCCCTGGACCCAGTCCAGGAAACCATTTTTCCCCCTAGGCCTCCACTCCTGTCATGAGAGGAGCTGCTGTGAAGGTGTCCGACATGCCAAGAGACATTTTCCCCATTGTCTTGGTAGTTAACCTTTGGCTCCTTGTAACTTATGCAAATTTTTGCTGCCAGCTTGAATTTCTCCCCAGACAATGGGGTTTCTTTTCTACTGCATCGTCAGGCTGCAAATGTTTCAAAGTTTTATACTCTGCTTCCCCTTAAACTCTTTGCTGCTTAGAAATTTCTTCCACCAGATACACTAAATCATCTCTCTCAAGTTCAGATTTCCACAGATCTCTAAGGCAAGGGCAAAATGCTACCAGTCTCTTCACTAAAGCACAGCAAGAGTGACCTTTACTCCAGTTCTCAACAGTTGTTCATCTCCATCTGAGACCACCTCAGCCTGGACTTTATTGTCAATATCACTATCAGCATTTTTGTCAAAGCCATTCAATAAGTCTCTAGGAAGTTCCAAAGTTTTCCACATCTTCCTGTCTTCTGAGCTCTCCAAGTCTCTAGGAAGTTCCAAACTTTCCCACATTTTCCTATCTTCTTCCGATCCTTCCAAACTCTTCCAACCTCTGCCTGTTACCCAGTTCCAAAGTCACTTCCACATTTTTGGGTATCTTTACAGCAGCACCCCACTCCCGGTACCAATTTACTGTATTAGTCCATTTTCATACTGCTGTGAAGAAATACCTGAGACTGGGTAATTTATAAAGGAAAGAGGTTTAATTGACTTACAGTTCAACATGGCTGGCTATGCCTCACAATCATGGCAAGAAGGTGAAGGAAGAGCAAAAGCATGTCTTACATTACAGCAGGCAAGAGAGCATGTTCAGGGGAACTGCCCTTTATAAAACCATCGGATCTGGTGAGACTTACTATCATGAGAACAGCACAGGAAAAATCCACCCCTGTGATTCAATTACCTCCCACCAGGACCCTCCCACAACATGTGAGGATTATGGGAGCTACAATTCAAGATGAGATTTGGGTGGGGACACAGCCAAACCATATCAGGTACATATTTTAGTTTGGTGAACATATGCATTCATGGAACTATCATACCAGTATCTGAAGGGTACATGTTGGTTTTTGGTGAAAACATGTATTCATGGAACTACCATGTCCATATCTGAAGAGTACATGTTGGGATTTGGTGAACACATGGATTCATGGAACTATCATGCCAGTATCTGAAGGGTACATGTTGGGGTTTGGTGAACACGTGTATTCAGGGCACTACCATGCCCGTATCTGAAGGGTACATGTTAGTGTGTGGTGAACACATGCATTCATAGAACTATCATACCAGTATTTGAAGGGTATATATTAGTGTGTGGGTGAACATATGCATTCATGGACCTATCATGCCAGTATCCGAAGAGTACATGTTAAGGTTTGGTGAATGCATGCATTCACGGAACTACCACTCCAGTTGTGTTAGTTTCCCATGGCAGCTTTAACAAATTACTGCAAATTTCATGGCTTAAACGAACACACATTTATGCTTACACAGTTCTGGCAGCTAAATGACCAATGGGTTTCATTGGGACAAAATCAAGGTGATGGCAGAGCCCTGCTTCTTTTGGGGGCTCTAGAGTCCATCTGCTTCCTTCCCTTCTCCAGCATCTGGAGGTCACCTCATTTATTGGCTTGGGTCCCTGAACTGCATCACCTTTTCTTTCTTGTGTCCATTGTTTTCTCATCTTCCTCCTCATCTGTCTGCAAATCTCCCTCTGCCTCCCTTTCATAAAGACACATGTGATTACATTTAGAGCTCACTGGGGTAACCCAGCATGATCCACAAATTTCAAGCTCCTTAACTTAATCACTTTTGCAAATTCCTTCATCCATGCAACATTCCCAGGTTCTCAGGATGTCTTTGGAGGCCATTCTTCAGATGACCACACTAGTCAAGATGGGTAAACATCTCTGTTGTCCCAGGACATCCCATTCTGCTCCAACTGCATCAGGAAACAGCCAGCAACTCCTGCAGACACTGAGGCTCTGGTTCCTGTCAAGACAGTGTCTGTTCTTAAACTTCCTATCAAGAGAATCATGCAATACTTACTCTTATGCCTGGGTTTTTTTTCCCGACCATATTTTTCAGATTGTGTTGTTGTGTGCAATTCCTTTATATTGCTCAGTAGTATTTTGCTGTATGTATGATTGTATCATCTTTTTAAAATCTGTTTTCAGATTGATGGGTACTTGGATTGGTTAAGTCTTTGGCAATTATGAGTAAAGCTACTACAAACATTCTTGTACAAGTATTTTTGTGGATGGTTATTTTTATACTTTTGGGGTAAATATCAGTGCAGTAAAAGAGTCATAGAGCAGGTGTATTTTTACCTTAATGAGAAAATGCCCGTTTCCAAAGTGCTTGCAAGTTCTATGGCCCTTCCTGAGCATCTGTGAGTGTTTAAGGTGCTTTGCAACCACCTCAACAATCAGTGTGGTTGAATTTTTAATCTTAGCAAATGGTATACACTATGCAAAGTGCTATCAGCTGACATTAATTACATTACCCTCATATCTAATATTTTTGATATTTTAATGTTTTTATTGAACACAAATATATTCTTTAGTGGAATATATGTATAAGTCATTGAGTCATTTGTATTTATTTATTTTTGTTTGTTGGAGCTCTATATGTTCTTTACAGAAATGTTTTGCATGATATGTGTATTATGAATATTTTCTCTAAGCCTGTTTTGCTTTTGTGTTGTCTTAATGATCTGTTTTAAATAGAAGAATTTTTAACTTTGATACAGCTTAATTTTTCAATTTGTTCCTTAGGTAAATGCCTCATTTCGTTCTCTGTAAGAATCTTTTGCCTACTCCAAGGTTGCCAGAATATTCTCCTATGTTTTCTTTTAGAAGCTTAATAGTGATAGCTTATATTTTGTATTAATCTATGAACCATAATTTACATGTGTAGTGAGAAGTAGGGATACAGGTTGCTTTTTCTCCACGTTTTCTTTCAGTTACTCCAGCACCGTCTAAAAGAAAATATTCCTTTCTCCATTTAACTTCTCTAGAACTTTTGTCAGAATTAAATTTACCTCCCATGTGGGTGTCTATTCAGTGCTTCTGCTTGTTTCATTGATGGAATGGTCCATGTGTGTACTAATATCACACTGTCTTTTTTTTTAATTTATTATTATTGTACTTTAAGTTTTAGGGTACATGTGCACAATGTGCAGGTTAGTTACATATGTATACATGTGCCTTGCTGGTGCGCTGCACCCACTGACTCGTCATCTAGCATTACGTATATCTCCCATTGCCATCCCTCCCCCCTCCCCCATCCCCCCACCCCACAACAGTCCCCAGAGTGTGATGTTCCCCTTCCTGTGTCCATGTGTTCTCATTGTTCAGTTCCCACCTATGAGTGAGAATATGCGGTGTTTGGTTTTTTGTTCTTGTGATAGTTTACTGAGAATGATGATTTCCAATTTCATCCATGTCCCTACAAAGGACATGAACTCATCATTTTTTATAGCTGCATAGTATTTCATGGTGTATATGTGCCACATTTTGTTAATCCAGTCTATCATTGTTGGACATTTGGGTTCGTTCCAAGTCTTTGCTATTGTGAATAATGCCGCAATAAACATACGTGTGCATGTGTCTTTATAGCAGCATGATTTATAGTCCTTTGGGTATATACCCAGTAATGGGATGGCTGGGTCAAATGGTATTTCTAGTTCTAGATCCCTGAGGAATCGCCACACTGACTTCCACAATGTTTGAACTAGTTTATAGTCCCACCAACAGTGTAAAAGTGTTCCTATTTCTCCATATCCTCTCCAGCACCTGTTGTTTCCTGACTTTTTAATGATTGCCATTCTAACTGGTGTACACTGTCTTTATTGCTGGAGTTCTATAGTAAGTATTGAAATTAGGTAGATTGTGTCCTGCTGTTTTGTTCTTCCTTATCAGAAGTATTTGGGTTATTCTGAGTCCTTTGCATTCCACATAAATTTTAGATTTAGCTTGTAATTTTTTTCAAAAGCATACTGTTGAGATTTTGATTGGGGTTGCATTGAATCTAAAAATCTATTTGTGGATATCTGAATTCTTAACAAGATTGAATGTCTAAATTAATGAAAATAGTTCTATCTCCATTTGCTTAGGTCTCCTTTAATTTCGCTATATATGTTTTGCTCATTTTTATAAAATATGCTCCTAAATACTTTGTTTTTTCATTCTATTAGAAATAACATTTAATCTCATTTTCCACAAGATTGATGCTATCATATGGAAGCATCAATTTTTATATTTATTTTGTGTCTTATAGCCTTGCTAAATTCACTTACTAATTCTCATAGTTATTTTGTATATTCCTTAGAATTTTTTGCATAAATAATTGTGACACTGTGAGCAAAGACAGTTTTGCTTCTTTCTTCTCAATCTATATACCTTTTTATTTCTTTTTCCTGTGTGATTGCACTGACTAAAAGCTCTGGTTCAATGTTGACTTGACATAATCAGAAAGAATATCTTTGTCTCATTCCTGACTGTAGGAGGAAAGCCTTCAGCATTTCACCATTAAATGAGCTGTAGGTTTTTCATAGATGCCCATTAACAGATTAAGGATGTTTCCTTTTATTCTATGTTTACTCTTGCTGAAAGTTTTCTTTAACATGAATGCATGTTTAATGTCATCAAATATTTTCTACATATATTACAATGATCGTATCATTTTTCTTCTTTATTCTGTTAACATACTGATTTTTACTGATAGATTTTCAAATATTAAATCAACCTTGTATTCCTGGGATATATCCCACTTGATAATGATCTTTTATCCTTTTATTTGCCAGTATTTTGTTACAAGGCTTTTGAGATTATGTTCCTGGAGAATAATGCCTTTGTCATGTTTGGTATCAGGGCTGCGTGGGCTCACAGAATGTACTGCAACGTGTCCTCTACTGTCCTCTACTCTGTCAGAGTTTAAGTTTCTGTTATTCCTTCCAGCATTATTCTAGATAGCGCCACCTAGACTCAAAGCATCTTTATGGCAAGGTTGTTTTTATAAGCTTCAATATCCTTTAATACAAAGGTTCAAATTTTTTACTAGACATATGGTTATTCAAATTTTTAACATATTTTTGTGCCATTTTTATTAAGTTGTATGTCAAGGAATTTCTCCATTTTCTCCAAGTTATCAAATTTACTGGAATAATTTTGTTCATAATATTCCCTCATAATATTTCTAAATTTTTGTAGAAATTGCAGTGAGATCTGCTTTTTTATTTCTGATGATAGTAAGTTTGCATTTTCCCATTTTTCTTGATTGGTATTTCTAGAGGCTTGTATTTTTTTTTCTGTTCAAAGAACCAACTTACAGTATTTATAATTGTCTTTATTGTTTACATTTCTCTATTTTACTTATTTCAGCTCTTTATTATTTATCTTATTCTATTTATTTGGGTTTAATTTTTTTCTTTTTCTAGTTCCTTAGGTGGAAATATAGAATACATTTATTGTTATTTTCTAATATCAGCATTAAAAGCTCTGGATTTTCTTATAAACACTGGTATTGCTATGTTTATTTTCATAGAGTTCAAATATTTGTAAAAATGTTTCTAGGGCTTTCATCCTTTTCCCGTGAGTTATTAAAAATGTGTTTATTTAATTTCCAAGAATTTGGGTGTTTTCTAGATTTGGGGGCAGTTGTATCAATTTCTGAGAAACGATGTTAAAAATCTTCACCATAATTTTGTATTTGGCTTTTTCTCCTATTCATTCTATCATGTTTCTTTCATTTATTTTGAGGCACTATATTTAGCTACCTACATCACTAATGATTATTTGGTCTTCCTACAAACTTGAAGTTTTTATAACCATTAAACACTCCTTTTTATTTCTTGTAATAATTCCTGCATTTAAGTCTACATTGTCTGGTACTAATATAGCCAATTTAACTTTCTTATATTGATTGCCTGGTATTTTTTTTTCATCATTTTACTTTCAACTTATGTTTCTTTATATTTAAAGTCTCTTGCAGGCAACATGTAATTAAGTCTTACATTTTTATTCAGTCTGACAATCTCTGCAATTTAATTGTAATATTTGGCCCATTTACAATTACCATAATTATTGATATAGTTGGGTTTCCAACTTGGAATCTTAAGACTGGCATGCGAATGAAGCTAAGCTATCTTGATAAGTGAAAAAACAGATGGTGAATAAATAAAAAACCTCAGCTAATAATTAGCTAACCCCTGGCCAACACCCTGCCAAACACCAGACTCTTAAGTGAGGCCATCCTACATCATGCATCAGCTGCCCCCAGCCACCAACAGACCTGCCAACTATCCACTGAATGAAAGAGCCCTCCAGAGAGTGGCCGAAGAACCACCTGTCTAACCTACATAATTGTGAGCTGAATACAATGACTATTATTTTAACTACTAAGTTTTGAAGTCATTTGTTACCTAGCCAAAATTAGCTGATACACTATCTCACTGACTACTGTTCAATTAATTGACTAATTTAATTATACTTTCCTCTGATTATCCCACCTCTAATTTAGTCCAAATTTTTTTTTGCCTGATAAATTTCCCACATTATGGATCTATCAAAAAATCTGTCAAGCCCACTTTTTGATTAAAAAAAATTTTTCCTAAATTTCACTTAGTGGATGATTTGAGATTGTTTGAGATTGTTTGATGTCTAAGACTTCTTCCCATATTTGAGAGATGACATGTTTTCTCAGATCATCACACTTTACCTACCTAAGCTTTCATTCTAATAATTAGGAGCCCTATTTTTCTTTTACTATATTTACTCATCCTTTACCTTTCCCATCCTTTCAAAAACGTATCTTCAATATTTTATCAATTATAGCACCTTACCTAGGCAACCAAAACTCTCACTCATGTCTACAATTGAATCAGTACTTAGGTAGGGACTATAGTGTTGCTAAGAATTAATGGCCCTGAAAATCAAAATACATGGGAATACTTGTATATTTATATATGGTCATCCTGAAAATATTCCAGGGAAAGAATGAGACCCTTTAAAAAGTGTTGCTGGTCATCAACCCACAAATATGTCTAAACATAGTAAGTTTGTGGATATAGGTCATGGGCACATTGTCGTCAATATATGTCACTGATGAGAAAAACTAGCTCTCAAGCTTACTTCCATCCTACAGATAAATCAGGATATAAACTGAGAACTTTGCCACAGCCAGTGCAGAGGGCACTCAACTGCAGTCACATGCTATCAATACTGGTGAGAGTCCCATGTTCTTGCTGATTATGGCATAAAACAAGATTTTGCACAAAAATGCATTTATCATTTTATTTTATATATATATATGTATATATGTATATGTATATATAAATTTCCATGTTACTAACATATTTGGAGCCCCAGAATAATTTTTTACTATAAAATTCAGGGTGCCTGAGAAACAGCTCCAAACACCAGAATATGAGGTATTGCTGTTGGCTAAACTATATTTGTTTTCATGCCCTCGCATTCTCAAAGCACAATGTTTTATTTATGGGAACTCTATATAAAACTTGGAAAATTAAACAAAAACAAACAGATATGGTTTGAGTCATGGGAGTTCAAAAATTACCAGCTCAAAATGTGTTCATGGGACCTTCATGACTCTCATCTTTTAAAACAATATCATGATAGACGTGGCAAAGATACTTAATACATGCCACCAATCCCACACCATCACTCCACTTTTGATATGTTTCTCTTGGACCTGACATAGCAAGAGAGAGTTCCAGGTTCAGCAGGAGGCATCCCAAGGGTGTGGAAAATAAGAAACCATGAAACTTGGTACATCTGGAAACATTGAGCTGTATGTTGCAAGACAGGGGTGGAGAAGTTGACAGAGGCCTATAAGTAATCTTTGCCAGCCAATTTGGCTCTATGAAGAAATATCTCTTCATCCATCTTCTTCTCATGATAGCTGTTGGGCATAACTATGGAACTTCAGAACTTAAGCTAAGTTCAGCAAGCAGAGATTCATTTTCATATTTACCCTCATAGATTCTAAAACACCCAATAATTGTTTTAGGTATTCTAATTATTTATATAACCCTGTAAAGTCTAGAGACCTGCATAGAAGGACTGAAGGTAGAGACAATGTCGCCTAGCTGCACAGGATCAGTTTAAACCATTTTTAGAATCTTGTTCTAGGTACCAAATGCCAATCTGCAAAACTCTTAGAGAGCCTGGGAACCCATGCTTAACCAAAAAATCCACACAAGAACACAAAAGCTCCATCTAAAGGAAAGATGTTTCCTGACAGCACGCTCTCTCTGAGCTCAGCAGTTGCTGTTCTCTGACACTGATGTCCACTCATCTGGTCATGTGGCTTACTCTCCTCTGCATATCCTTCTTTCCCTCCATTTTCTCCCAAAATGTAGAGAATGACAAAAGACATAAAAAACAAATGTGGGCCCTGGGACATGAAGAGGACAGAAATGAAACACTTTATCCTTCACACAAATGTCTATAAATTTCTGAAATAAGTTGGCTTTTTCACACCAGCACTATCAAGATTTTGTAGAAACACCACACGGATGGAAGGAGGAAGACAGAAGCGGAGGAGATAAAAAAAAATGGCAGACAGGAGGCAGGATTAACTTGCAGCTCCCACTCGGATGAACAGAACAGCATGTGGAGACCCACATTGTGAACTTTTGCTCCAAGAACTACTGCAAAAACATACCAAGAAAGCCGAGAGAATCCACAGACTCTTTAAAGGAGGTGGATTGCTGCTGCAGGCTCCATGGAACATCTGAGGAACTGTGAGTCTGCTTGCTTTCTCAGCGGGAGGCTTGTAGCCTGGGGCAAGTTCTCAGCCCTGCTCACCAGCTGCCTAGAAATAAACTCAGTGCTTTTGTGAGGCACAGCGTGAGTGAGACTAGCCTTTCAAGCTGTGGGCTGTGTAAAAGCTGGGTGAGGCTTGGCTGCTGGCATTCACCCACCTCCATGGCAGCCTGTGTGATACAACAGAGATGGCCCCTGGGAACATAACTCCATTGGCCTGGGAACCACACCCCTGTCCCCCACAGAAGCCACAGCAAACCCCGCCCAAGAAGAGTCTGAGCTCAGACATGCCTAACTCTGCCCCCACGTGATGGTCTTTCTCTACCAGCCCTGGTAGCCATAGAAAAAGGACATAATATCTTGGGCTCTCTATGGCTCCATCCACCACCTGATCTTCCCTATACTACCACAGCTGATGTGCTCTTGAAAGCACCACCTCCTTGACGGAGGCCAACCAACACACAACCAGCACACTTAACAAAAATACAACCAAGGACCCCTCACAGAGCCCACTTCAGCCCCCTGCTACCTCCACTGGAGCAGGTGCTGGTATCCATGGCTGAGAGACCTGAAGACAGATCACATCACAGGGCTCTTTGCAGACACTCCGCAGTACCAAGCCAGAGCCCAGTAACTTCACTGGGAGGCTAGACCCAGAAGTGAAATAACAATCACTTCAGTTCAGCTCTCAGGAAGCCCCATCCCTAGGCAAAAGGGGAGAGCACCACCTCAAGAGAATACCCTGTAGGACAAAAGAATCTGTACAGTAGCCCTTGAGTCCCAGATCTTCCCTCTGACATAGTCTACCCAAATGAGAAGGAACCAGAAAAACAATTCCGGTAATATGACAAAGCAAGGTTCTTTAACAGCTCCAAAAGATCACACTACCTCACCAAGCAACGGATCCAAACCAAGATGAAATCTCTGAATCACCAAAAAAAGAATTCAGAAAGTCGACTATTAAGCCAATCAAGGAGGCACCAGAGAAAGGTGAAGTCCAACTTAAATAAATTTTTTTAAAAAAAGATACAGGATATGAATGAAAAATTCTCCAGTGAAATAGATAGCATAAATAAAAAAACAATCACAACTTCTGGAAATGAAAGACACAGAGGATTGCAAAATGCACTGGAAAGTCTTGGCAATAGAATTGAACAAGTAGAAGAAAGAACTTCAGAGCTTGAAGGCAAGACATTTAAATTAACCCAATCCAACAAAGACAAAGACAAAAAATTTTTTAAATGAACACAGTCTCCAAGAAGTTTGGGATTATATTAAACAACCAAACCTAAGAATAATTGGTGTTCCTGAGGGAGAAGAGAAATCTAAATGTTTGGAAAACATATTTGAGGGAATAATCAAGGAAAACTTCCCCAGCCTTGCTAGAGACCTAGACATCCAAATATAGGAAGCTCAAATAACACCTGGGAACCTCATCACAAAAAGATCATTATCTAGGCACGTAGTCATCAGGTTATCTAGAGTCAAGATGAAAGAAAGAATCTTAAGAGCTGTGAAGCAAAAGTATCAGGTAACCTGCAAAAGAAACCATATCAGAATAACAGCAGATTTCTTAGGAGAAACCCTACAAGCTATTATAGAAAGGATTGGGGTCCTATCTCTAGCCTCCTTAAACAAAACAATTATCAACCAAGAATTTTGTATCCAGCAGAACTAAGCTTCATAAATGAAGGAAAGATACAGTCTTTTTCAGACAAACAAATGCTGAGAGAATTCGCCACTACCACACCAGCAGTATGAGAACTGATAAAAGGAGCTCTAAGTCATGAAACAAATTCTTGAAATACACCAAAATAGAATCTCCTTAAAGCATAAATCTCACAGGACCTATAAAACAACAACAGAATGGAGGAAAAAAAAAAAACAGGTATTGAGGCAACAAATAGCAAAACGAATAGAATAGTACCTCACATCTCAATACTAACATTGAATGTAAATGGCCTAAATGCTCCACTTAAAAGATACAGAATGGCAGAATGAATAAGAATTCACCAACCAAGCATCTGCTGTCTTCAAGAGACTCACCTGACACATCAGGCTGACATAAACTTAAAGTAAAGGGGTGGAAAAAGATATTCCAGGCAAATAGACACCAAAAGCAAGCAAGAGTAGCTCTTCTTGTATCAGACAAAACAAACATTAAAGCAACAGTAATTAAAAAGACAAAGAAGGACATTATATAATGATAAAAAGGACTAGTCCAACAGAAAAATATCACAATCCTAAACATACATGCACCTAACACTGGAACTCCCAAATTTATAAAACAATTATTACTAGACCTAAGAGATGAGATAGATAGCAACAAAATAATAGTGGGGGTCTTCAATACTCCATTGACAGCACTACACAGATCATCAAGACATAAAGTCAACAAAGAAACAATGGACTTAAACTATATCCTAGAAGAAATGGACTTAACAGATATTTATGGAACATTCTACCCAACAACTGCAGAATATACATTCTATTCATCAGCACATGGAACATTTTCCAAGATAGACCATATGATAGGCCACAAAACAAGTCTCAACTAATTTAAGAAAATCAAAATTATAGCAAGTAGTATCTCAGACCACAGTGGAATAAAACTGAAAATCAACTCGAAAAGGAACCCTCAAAACCATGCAAATGTATGGAAATTAAATAACCTGCTCCCAAATGATCATTGAATCAACCATGAAATCAAGATGGAAATTAAAATATTCTTTGAACTGAATAATAGTGACACAACTGCAGCACTCAAAGGAAAGCTCATAGCACTAAAGGCCTACATCAAAAAGTCTGAAAGAGCACAAATAGGCATTCTAAGGTCATGCCTCAAGGAGCTAGAGAAACAAAAACAAACCAAACCCAAACCAGCAGAAGAAAAGATATAACCAAGATCAGAACAGAACTAAATGATATTGAAAAAAAAAAATACAAAAGGTAAATGAAACAAAAAGCTGGTTCTTTGAAAAGACAAATAAAATTGACAGGCCATTAGTGAGATTAACCAAGAAAAGAAGAGAGAAGATCCTAACAAGCTCAATTAGCAATGAAATGGGAGATGTTACAATCGATACCACAGAAATACAAAAGATCACTCAAGGCTACTATAAACACCTTTACATGCATAAACTAGAAAACCTAGAGGAGATGGATAAATTCCTGGAAATATACAACCCTCTTAGATTTAACCAGGAGGAAATAGAAACTCTGAATAGACCAATAACAAGCAGCAAGATTGAAATGGTAATTAAAAAGTTACTAACAAAAAACAGTCCAGGACCAGACGGATTCATAGCTGAATTATATCAGACATTCAAAGAATTGGTATCGATCCTACTGACATTATTCCAAAAGATAAAGAAAGAGAGAATCCTCCCTAAATCATTTTATGAAGCCAGTGTCACCCTAGTACCAAAAGCAGGAAATGACATAGCAAAAAAAGAAAACAACAGATCAATATCCCTGATGAACATAGATGCAAAAATCCTCAACAAAATACTAGCTAACTGAATCCAACAGCATATCAAAAAGATAATTTACTGTGATCAAGTGGATTTTATACCACAGATGCAGGGATGGTTTAACATCCACAAGTCAATAGATGTGATACACCACATAAACAGAATTAAAAACAAAAATCACATGATCATCTCAATAGACACAGAAAAAGCATTTGACAAAATCCAGCATTCCTTTAGGATTAAAACCTACAGCAAAATCAGCATAAAAGCTACATACCTTAAGATAATAAAATATGTCTATGACAAACCCACAGCCAACATTATACTGGAAGGGGAAAAGTTGAAAGCATTTCCCCTGAGAACTGGAACAAGACAAGGATGCCTACTTTTACCACTTCTATTCAACATAGCACAAGAAGTCTTAGCCAGAGCTTAGACAAGAGAAAGAAATAAAGGGCATCCAAATCGGAAAAAAAGAAGTCACACTGTTGCTGTTTGCTGATGACACGATCATATACCTAGAAAACCCTGAAGACTCATCCAAAAAGCTCCTAGAACTGGCAAATGAATTCAGCAAAATCACTAAAACAGCACGGTACTGGTACAAAAAAAAAGACACATAGACCAGTGGATCAGAACAGAGAACCCAAAAATGAAGCCAAATGCTTACAGTCAACTGATCTTCCACAAAACAAAAATATAAAGTGGGGAAAGGATATTCTATTCAACAAATGATGCTGGGATAATTGGCAAGTCACATGTAGGAGAATGAAATCAGATCCTCATCTCTCACCTTATACAAAAATCAACTAAAGATGGATCAAAGACTTAAATCTAAGAACTGAAACTATAAGATTTCTAGAAGATAACATTGGGAAAACCCTTCTAGACATTTACTTAGGCAAAGACTTAATGACCAAGAACCCAAAAGCAAAAGCAACAAAAACAAAGATAAATAGATGGGACTTAATGAAACTAAAAAGCTTCTGCACAGTAAAAGAAATAGTAAGCAGAGTAAACAGCCAACCCACAGGTGGGAGAAAATCTTTGCAAACTATGCATCTGACAAAGGACTAATATCCAGAATCTACAACAAACTCAAACAAATCAGCAAGAAAAAAAAATCCCATCAAAAAGTGGGCTAAGGAAATGAATAGACAATTCTCAAAAGAAGATGTACAAATAGCCAACAAACATATGAAAAAAATGCTCAACATCACAATGATCAGGGAAATGCAAATCAAAACCACAATGAGATACCACCTTACTTCTGCAAGAATGGCCATAATCAAAAAATAAAAAAATAATAGGTGTTGGCATGGATGTGGTAAAAAGGGAACAGTTTTACACTGTTGGCAGGAATGTAAACTAGTACAACCACCATGGAAAACAGTGTGAAAATACCTTAAAGAACTAAAATTCCTTAAAGAACCACAGTTTGATCCAGCAATCCCACTCCTGGGTATCTACCCAGAGGAAAAGAAGTTATTATATGAAAAAGATACTTGTACATGCATGTTTATAACAGCATAATTTGCAATTGCAAAAATATGGAACCAGCCCAAATGCCCTCAATCAATGAGTGGATAAAGAAAATGTTGTATATATGTGTATATATTATGGAATACTATTCAGTCACAAAAAAGAACGAAATAATGGCATTTGCAGCAATCTGGATGGAATTGGAGACCATTATTCTAAGTGAAGTAACCCAGAAATGGAAAACCAAATATCGTTTGTTTTCACTCATCAGTGGGAGCTCAGCTATGAGGATGCAAAGGCATAAGAATGATACAATGGACTTTGGTGACCTGAGGGAAAGGGTGGGAGGGGGGTGAGGGATAAAACACTACACATTGGGTATGGGGTACATGGCTTGGGTGATGGGTGCACCCAAATCTCAGAAATCACCACTAAAGAACTTATTCATGTAACCAAACACCACCCATTCCCCAAAAACCTATTGAAATAAAAAAAAAATAGAATCTGAGCACACACATACACACAAATAAATAAATACATTTTTAAAAAGTGAAAAAAAGAAAGAAAGAAACAGCACACTGCATTGGTATGAGCACCGCACCAGAGCAGGAGATCACGTCGGAGCCTCTGTCTGCCTGCCACACCCTGCTCAAAAACAACAACTACAAAAAAAAGAAGACTCCAAAAAAGAATAGAGGTCTCTAAGGTTTCCTTGTAGCGCTAAAGGTTTCTGTTCTCAATGCCTGTTGTGTCCAGCCTGCCTCAGGGCTCAGAAGGCTGCCTGGGAGGAGCCGACCCCTCTCTGTCCAGAACAGCTCAGTGCCGTTCGTAACTGAAGGAGCCATGAGACACCATCATTGTCACTGAGATGCTCATCTGGGAAGCTGACTCACAGGTTCTTTCTGTAAAGCACCAAGGACAGTTTGTTGAAGAGAACCTGAGAATTCTAGTTGAAATTCGTGGGAATCGACTTCTGAAGAAACCTAGTGCTATAAGGGACAAACAAACAAAAAGGCCCTCAAGTGTCTGGCCTTGAAGCATCTAGAGACTTCAAAGAACTGACTGCTGAGTGGAGTGTTCCTGGGAGGCCGGTGACATGAGTGGTGACAGGCCAGGTGTGGGTGGCGAGTTTACACTGCCCGGTGTAGCTTAGAAAAGGGAAGGGAACATGAGCGTGTCAGCAGGGTCCGCAGGGTCCTGCAGCAGGAAGACAGTCTTCCCATAGCTGATCACCCCTTTAAAGTAGGTTTGCCACTCCATCTTGAGATTCTCATCCTTCTCACCAGTTTCCCAAAGTAGCAACACGTTTTCCCTATCTGTTTGCTTCATGTGATCTCAAAATCAAAGTATCACATGCGCAACGCCCTTCCTTCTGCATGCTCTCGACCAAGAGCTCCCTGGAGCAGGGCAGTCCTGGTGAGCCTGCCCTGTGTCTTACAGCGGTATTTATAATGGCCAATCCTCAGGATGGGCCCACTTTCCCACGCACCCTCCTTGTCACATGGCTCCTCTCGCCTCTCTTGCCACCCGGCTGCTTCCTGGAGGTGCAGCAAGTGAAGGTGGGCGTGATGACTGAGACAGGTTTTATACTAATCTTTTTAGATCCAAAGTAAATGTGTTTTAATGTCTAAACATTAATATTACTTTAGATGCTTAATATACTTTTAAATTTATTTTATGGCACGGCTACTAGCCTGAAAGAGAAACACCACACTACCTGCTGCATTGGAAAAGAGGATAAATTACTACCAATTGTTCCTTTAGGTCAGACACCAGGTTAAACATTTTTCATTTATGAGCTAACTTCATGTACACAATTACCCTACATGATAGGGACTCTTGTTCCTGTTTTGCAGACAAGGAAGCTGAAATGTAAAACTTGCCTAGGGTCACATAGTCTGAATACAACTCTGGGATTCTGACTCCAAAGCCACATCCCTCCTGCTCCTCCCCACCTGCCCCACTCACATCCTTCTGTCCCCCTGAGCGCATCCTCTGCCATCCATGGCTTCCTTCTATCTGGGGACAAAAAAGCCTCTCTTTATGCCTGGCCAGACATCGCAGATGAGTATGGTAAAAAATGACCTTATACATCACAGTTGACCTTTTTGCATGATTTGCCATAGGTGGAGTGGGTGGAACCTGTACACACATTTCCATCTTTCACCTGTGGGATTCAAGAACTGTAGAGAACAGTGATTTACCCATGCTTTTTGTCAGTAGCAAAGCTAGGATCGATCTGCTTCTCAGTCTCCGTCTCTGTGATCACCCACAAGCCAAGTCCTACTCCAGCCACACACAGGACACAGGCATCCACACAGGGGGCAGAGCACACTTCCCTGAAAGCAAATGGTGTAAGTATTGGTATGTATCGCCTGAATGAGACTTTTATGCAACTTATTTTACCTTATCTTTTCAAATCCAAAGTAAGTGTGTTTTAATGTCTACACATTAATATTATTTTAGATGCTTAATATACTTTTAAATTTCTTTTGTGGCATGGCTATCAGATTGTCTATAAATATAGGTTAAAATGTTCTACCAAAAGTATTATTACGTAGGCCATGGAACCTCATGAATTGTCTCAACTCTTGCCTAAAACGTCAGCGCTGGGTGATTTCCCAGTTGCAGGGACTCTGTGACTCCGATAGAGCTCTGGGCTTTTGGGTCCATGTCACTGGGGTTCATTATCCAGCACCCACGGGTGAGCGGGACCCTGGGCTTTCAGGGTCATTTCACTGAGATTCATTATCCAGCATCCACGAGTGAGCACGACCCTGGGCTTTCAATGCTGTGTAACTGGGGTTCATTATCCACACCCGCAGATAATATATCTGTGTGTCTCGGGCTGTGCTGGTCACCAGAAAAATGAGAAGTGAGATGGGATCCTTGTCTGTTGAGGGCTCGGGGCTGAGTGGAAATCTATCCCATTTAGCCTGGTCCATGGCTCCAGCTGCAGACATGGTCCCCGTCACTGCAGATGGAGCGGAAGCTGACATCTGTGCTGCAGGACAGAGCATCTCCACATGGGCTACCTCGCACTGGCTGTCAGGAAGACCTGAATGTCTAGAGGTTTTCTCTCCCCAGTCTTTTTCTCTCTTGCTGTGGCCTTTGCCTTTCTCAGCAATGTGCAGAGCTTCTGAATTGACAGGCTTAAGAGATGAATATGGGTCTAAGCCAGCAACAGTTTTGATCGCCCATTGTGACTAACCTCACATCACCTGATGACAATTTCCACAGCAGCCTCTCCAGAGCCACTTCCGAGAAGGATGTGGTCAAGATCAGCATCCATTAGTTGGTACCTACAACCAGGCAGGTACAATTCAGATGTCACATTGCACCCAGGACCAGCAGGCTAGGTTTGACTGGGGCGAAAGCATGAGCCCCATTGACTGGGGTGAAAGCATGAAACCTCCCTGTGAAAAGCGCTCAGAGATGAAGAGAGGATGTGGGGAGCAGCCCATGGCAGCTGGCATCACTCTGTGAAGTCAGGAGGCACCTGCTCATCCAGGAATACAGACGCAGTGCCCCAGGCCCACCAGGCAAACCAAGTTGGAGCAGAGATGTAGAAGCCTAGGGAAAAAATGTTTTCTGCTTTTGTTTCTTTATTTTACGTGATGATAAATGGGGGAAGAGAAAGAGTGGCCCAAGTTTATAGAAAAGAGTTGGGATTCCTATTACTAAAGGCTTGCTAATTCTTTTTTCTTTCTTTTATAAAAAAAAAATAACAATCAAACTTTTAAAATATATCCATGGATGGAATGAAAGGTACAAAGCGGTGCGGTAGACAGTTTCTCAGCACACCTCTACGTGGCCAGCCCCTCCCTGGAGTCACCACGGCACTGCCTGGCGCTTTTCCTCCAGACCAGGCCTTGCTCGCTGAATCCTAAACCCAGGAAGAGCATCCCAGGCTCTAGGTCCTGCCGTAACCAGCATGGATCAGGAGTTCCCACCGGAAATTTACCTCTTAAAAACTTAGCAGTGAGCTGTGACCACACCACTGCACTCTAGCCTAGGCGAGAGAGTGAGACCCTGTCTCAAAAAAAAAAAAAAAAAAAAAAACTACACTAAAAGTTTTCCTTCCCTGAGCTCTCCTCCTCCACTGTGTAGCTGAGAACTTTGAACATGAAGGAGGCGGTGACCCCACCTGCCTTTAATTAAAAGCTCAGTCCCACCGCACAGCACCCTTAGACAACAACTTCTTCAGGATGTTTGAAGTGTCAAGTCCAATCTAAAATGGAACCCGCATTCTAATCTCCGTTTCCTAATGAGCACATGCTGCGTTGACTGCACGTGAGGTCCAAGGTGAAGGGGGTGTGGGCCCCGGATGTGCCGGCTCAAATCAAGCAACCCTGTGGCAGGTGTGGGGAGTGGCTGTACCCCTCCAGCCTCCCTGCAAGCATAGCACCGGCTGTTTACATCTTGGTGCTGTTCTGTCACTTACTAAGCCACCAGGGGAGATGAAACATTCTAGCTTTGGTGGTGCACAAGTGAGCGCCAGCTGTTTACATCTTGGTGCTTTCTGCCTGCACACACGCCCACACACACACGTGCCCGCACACACGCCTGCACACACCCGCGCACACACCCCCACACACCCGCACACACGTGCCTGCACACACGCCTGCACACACCCACGCACACACCCACACACACCCACACACACATCCGCACACACGCCCACACACACACACCCGCATACACGTGCCCAGGCACACACGTGCCCACACACACGTGCCCCCACACGTTTCCGCACACACCCACACACACGTGTCCACACACACACGGCCGCACACATGCCTGTGCACACACGACACACACACGCCCACACACGCCCACACACATACGCCCACACACATGCCCACACACACGCCCACACACGTGCCCACGCACACAGCCGCACACACGCCTGTGCGCACACACAGACACACTCACACGCCCACTCACATGCCCGCACACACATGCCCACACTCACGTGCCCACACACGCCCACACACACACGCCCACACACACGCCCGCACACACAGGGCCACACACGACACGCACACACACCCATGCACACACGCCTGCACACACGCCTGCACGCACGCCTGCACACGTGCCCGCACACACACCCGCACACATGCACACCCGTGCACACACACCCGCACACACACAACCACACACACACACACACACATGCCCAGCAGATGTCTTCTACTAGCAGGGGAACGTGGGCAGCGAGGCCTGTCTCCTGTGTTCCTAAAATGTGGACACACGAGGGCACATCTTTGCCGGCCTCCCTCGCCACTCAGCCACGTGGGCTCAGCAGCGAAGCTCACCGCCTTCACTCACATTCACACTCGCGTTTATTGAGAGCAAGTGAATAAACGTGTTCTGATATTGCACTGTAACTGGTTAGTTCTTTTTCAAAAAGAGGGATAATTCAGTATTTTATTATTTCTGCTTATTGAAACAGGCTCTTTTTTGGCTGACACCAGATTGTACAAGCATCTGCTTGTTGCTCCATTCCGAAAGCAATGTGAAAATCTGGTTTCTTAGTTTTTCCTCATATTATCACTATTACAACCATGGCTTGGATTTCAGATTCATGCATCCCTAAGCTTGGAGGTCCATGTCTGGTGAAGCTGATTAGCTGCAGGGCAACAGGAACTGGATCCTCGGGGATAACAAGAAAGAACCAGTCTCTTTAGAAACACAGAAAAACTTTTTGCCAAAATGACAGACAAGTTCTCCTGAAACTGAGAAAGTGTGTGTGTCACCCTGACACCACATCCCGTCTCTGACTCATCAAGTGTTTCTCCTGCAATCCCCCTGTTGAAAGCTGGTGCAAGGGGCTGTGAGAAGCTGGGAGCCTCCAGGCGAAGCCCAGCTCCTGCCAGACCCTGATGCAGCCGTAACCATCACAGCACCATCGCGGCAGCCCTGACCTGGCCAATGTCCTTCCACCCTCTTACCTGAACCCCAGTGTCCGGGCCGGGACAGGAGACAGACTCTCAGCTTCCGGTCCTTAGAAGCTCCCTTCTGCTTCCATATCCAGGTCATTGTCACACAGTACAAAGCCTCTGCCACCAGCAGGGCCGAGAGCTGCGGGCTCTGATGTTCGTCCCATCATATAAATGTGTTCATCAAACTAAAGCCTCAGACTTTCCTCTTTTGTGTGGGCTGACAGCTCTGACTGTACAAGAGAAAACGGTTTTGCCAAAAAGTGAAAAATACCATTTACTTGGGAGAATGGTGAGTCATTCTAACTGAATTTGCACGGAGCCTGCAGGGGTCCTACAGGACAGAGGTCAAGGAGGTCATGCTGCCTGCCGGGGTCATGTGCTAATTAGTGGAACAGCTGGGACCAAAACCTGCCTTGAATGAGGCGAGCTGTGCAGAGCCGCTGGGTCAAGACCCGGCTCCACCGCGCTCAGGAAACGAGTCTGCATCTCTCTCGCCGCTCAAGCGCCGCCTCCTACAACACTCCTCCCTGACTCAGCTCGACAAAACTCGTCCATTTTCCACTATTCAGGGAGTTAAATTAAATTTCTTATCACTTGTTTCAGCCACACTGGCCCATGCCGGGCAGCTCAGGACCATCCAGGCCTCCCTCAGGCCACCTACATTCAAGTTTCCGAGGATGCTCTCAGACCAAGGTGGGCGGTGACCCTCATGCACCCCCTATTTCCGCCCCATAACCATCTATTCAGCAATGAGACAAAAATCCCATCTGAACTCTATTCCATAATATGCAAAGCATATGCCCTAAGTTACAAGCGCTATTCAGTTTTCATACAGGAAACACTGTCTGGGTCCCCATAACAAATAGACACACTCTGGGCCTACCCTGTCTTTTGGTGAGTGCTTGCTGGTTGTCCTAATAAGAGAATCTTCCTCTCGGAATATTAACTGCTATTTTTATTAATGAGGCTCTTCTGAACAGTCTTTCTGCAATAACCATTGTAACACTGTTTAAATAGCTTTTTGTGTTAAGACAGGGCCTTCAATATCACCTAAGTAAACCATTTTGATTTAAAGATAATTAAAAACCTTTCTGATGGAAAATTTTCCCCAATGTCCTGTTTAAAATTTCCACTCTTGGTCAAATGAAGTAAATGAATTGATTTAACCATTAAAAGTATTTATTGAGTATCTGCCATGTTTCAAACATTCAGCTAAACAGAGCAGTCTATCAGAAACACAGTAGGTGCATTCCAGTCTCACCACACAGCTTTGCTGACCCCACAGCCCCCCAGGTGCTTGCTGGCATCCTAGCCTGTGGGCACTGACCTGCTGCCATGGCCAAAAGCCGCGTATCCTCAAGAGAACACGAGAGAGCATTGCGAGGGATGCATTCTTGGGAGAAGGTGAAGAACACCGCGAGGGACGTGCTAGAAGCTGCTGGCCTGTTTTCAACCCACAGCCCCAAGAGCCACTGGCTCGAGACTCCTGGGCTGAGGGGCCACGGGGCCACCCCTCTGCCTTCCCGCACCCTGCGCACTGCACGGCTGTCCACTTTGCAGCCTTGGTTGCACTTTCTCCAGCTACTTGCTGTGGAAACTATAATAAAGTTTAGTCTTGAAGGCACTGGGTAACCTCTGTTTTATGGTTTTTAAAAAATCATTCCTCTTCTTTCTCCTCTCCTCAATTCAAAGACACCTGTTTCATGAAGACCAAGTGAGAAAATTAGTTAAGTGTTAAATAAATGCATGTAGAAACTGTATTAGTCTGTTTTCATGCTGCTGATAAAGACATACCCAAGACTGGACAATTTACAAAAGAAAGAGGTTTAATTGGACTCACAGTTCCACGTGGCTGGGGAGGCCTCCAAACATGGCAGAAGGCCAGGAGGAGCAAATCACGTCATACGTGGATGGCAGCAGGCAAAGAGAGAGCTGTGCATGGAAACTCCCGTTTTTAAAGCCATCAGATCTCGTGAGACCCATTCACTACCATGAGAACAGCATGGGAGAGACCCACCCCTGTGATTCAATCATCTCCCACCAGGTCCTTCCACACACGTGAGGATTATGGGAGCTACAAGATGAGATTTGAGTGGGGACACAGAGCCAAACCATATCCAAGAACAAATACACTAAAAGCCAAAACCAAAGCAACCTCTAAGCCTGACAAGTCAGCTGTCCAGGGGCCACTGCCCCCCCACACCCAGAGAAGCTTCCTGGTGGCAGTGAGATGCCTCCAGGACAGGGGACCAGAAGACAGGAGGGTCTGGCCACGGTGGTGAGGGACCCCCAGCAGGTGTCTGGGCTGCAGACAGACGCCTCAATGTTTTCAACTTGGGGAACAGAGCCACACCGTCAAGAGAGACAGCCTTTCACTCACTGCAGCCAAGCCTCTCCGTACCTTCCCAGTCAGCAGCAGTTGTTTCAAGAGATTTCGAAGAAGAAACAGGTTCGACCTCGATGCCAGCTCTACACAGCAGTGACAGAATAGCCCCAAGGTTTAGTCACCTAAAGCCAGTGAGAGAGGAAGTACAGGCGAGCCCCCAAAGCTCCTGTCCAAATGGACAGAAACCTATTTGTCTTGGTTGCCTCCTGATCCCGGCCTCAAACGGTGCTTTGTAATCTCTGTGTTTTCTTTGGATTCACTGAAGTGGGGGATTGTTACGCATTTGTGAGCTGCACTAAATGCTACCTCTTTCAGTAACAACTCTCCCAGGATTAAAGACGATAAAAAAGCCACTGGCTGGCAAGCCCCCAAGCTGAACACAGACCTAGATGTGTATCACCCTCCCCACAAGTTATTTTTTCCACCGAATTAAATTCCAGATGTTTACAAGCACAGATACCTGTGTTTCTCTGGTCAGAAACGTGATGTGGCCCATTGTGTGGAAGCCCAGAGAGGCGCTCGGAGGCCCCCATATCGTGACGCTAAACGCGGAAATCCAGTGAAATCATCTTTGCGAAAAACTGGCTCACTTTGCTTTTTAAGATGCGGTCGTGAACGGGAGCTAGGGCACCTCCGTTCCCCGCGAACCGAATCCATCTCAGGTCCTTCTAGTCGGCATGGCTGCGTGCCCAAACACACCCAGGGTTAAACTGGGGTTCCGCCGCCTGTCCCGTAATCCCACACGGGGGACTTTACGGAGGGCCCACGCCTGGCCTCCAGTGTCGGTGGAACCAGTCCCACGGCGGCCTCACAGCCCTGCGGCGGGGCCCGCGCCCGGCCTCGGGTCACAAACGCCCGCCCTTCTGCCTGCCCCTCGTCTGGCTCTGCGTTTCTCCTCAGCATGTTGTCACCTGACACGCTGTGGACTCGATTTGATTTGTGCGTCCTCATTCTGTCCTCGCTAGGATGGAGGTTCCACGAGAACAGGGCTTTCCTCTGGCTGCTGACGACGGAGCTCCCGGCACCTGCACGAGTGCGTGGCGCGTGGGAGCAGGTGTGCGCTGAGTGCTCGGTGCAGTTGCTGGCAGCGCGTGCACGTCCGCAGCTGTGAGCGTAGCTCTAGCAGTGTAGACACCTGGGAAAGTCGGGGCCCAATCAGTGAGCTGCTCCTGCCCCTCATCCGCTCCAAATTTTGAGTCTGTGTCACCCACTTTGCAGCTTTTCCATCTACTCTGATAGAATCGTCTCGATAGGACAATGCCTATTCCTGTTCTGAGCCTAAGTTCTATCTCCTGCATGGGTCACAAAGCCGAGCCCCTGGCCACTGAGGCCTCCCCGTTCGCCTCCCAGAGGCCGCCACTTTCTTCAGGGCTATCAGATGAAGGCAGCAACGAAAACACCACCACAAGACCAACTTCAGGCTGGAGCTGATGATGCCACACAGGTGCTCCAGCTCGCCCTGCCCGCTTCACCGCTTTCCCTGCGGGAAAGCCCCAGGCATTCCTGCCCAGTAGTCAGGGCTTTGCTGCAGCCCCGGGGGTGGGGGTAGGGGTGGGGACAGCGAATGCGTTTGTCCACAGACCTTGCTCAGGTCACGTTCTGAGCCTGCTTCTCACTCCTGCCCCCTCCCACCCTCCTGGTTCTGCCATGGACAAGCTGAAGTCTCTCTGAGACCAGGGGACCCGCATGGCCCAGCCACCCCACCCCACCATCTCCCAGGCATGTGAGAAAATATCACATTCTCTGTGTTTTGGAGATTTCTTCTAAATGTATTTTCCAACTATCATTTCATAGCAAATCAGCGAGAAAAAAGGTAAGTATGTGTGTTCACCTGGCCATCTTAAACCAAAGCCACTTAACCACCTCATTTGTTTTTCTAAGTATGTTTTAACACTGCTGTGAACAATTCTCTCTCCTCTTATTCTTTCATTCTCTCTCAGTACACACACACACACACACACCCCTTCCCTACTTATTCTTTCATTCTCTCTCAGGACACACACACACACACACACACCCCTTCCCTACTTATTCTTTCATTCTCTCTCAGGACACACACACGCACACACACCCCTTCCCTACTTATTCTTTCATTCTCTCTCAGGACACACACACACACACACACACACACACACCCCTTCCCTACTTATTCTTTCATTCTCTCTCAGGACACACACACACACACACACACACACACACACACACACACCCCTTCCCTACTGAATAGGATCCCACTGCTATAGGAACAATGTCTTACTCTCTCTGGTATCATTTTTAGTTTGCATAGGACATACCCAGCATGCTTGTTTAAAACATAAAGGGCTCTGGGCCTTTGGCAGTTTGATGCAACTGTCCCAAGCAAGCCTAGAAATCCGCATTGTAAGAGCTCCCAGTTTTTTCTGATGCTAGGAGTTGACAGCACATTTTGCAAAATATGCTAGGGTGTTCTATATAGAAGGCATGCTATAAACATATGTTGCCTTCTTAACATAAAGGAACTAACATTCTTTGTGCCTATTTACAAACAAGAAAATAGACTCTACTTAGAAATGAAACTCAACTAAAGGTAAAAGTTGTCAGGAACATCTCCAAGAAAGCCAGAGTCAGCCTCTAAACTTTGCATCAAGAACGCAATGGCTTCCCTGAGGGCCCAGGG